>NC_000004.12:186497138-186800168 GCF_000001405.40 Homo sapiens | reverse complement strand
AGAGAAAATTTTGCTTGAATCCAGGACTACATCGTATTATTATAAGTTTACTTCAAAATGTACTATTCATACAGCTGCCTTTTAAATGTTAATTACAGAAAAAATATTAAGATGAATATCAAACTAATATTATTTAACTCTGACAATAAAGTAACTTCAAAATTGTTTGAAATATGGATAACATATCATGTTTTATTTGTTTCTCTATGGACTTTTAAGCATATGGCAAATTATATGTATAGAAAATACAGAAATGACAGAAAATAATGTATCATTTTAAATAATACAACTCTGTATAGGGTTTTCATTGGTAAATGAGATTGATAGAAACAGAATTCATTCAGTCATTCAAAGATATTATTTTGTGCCTTCTATGTATAAGGCACAGTGATGTATAAACAAAATAATCTGTTAGTGCTTTTAATATCTATGTGAAAATTGAGATTAGATAACTCCCTTCTGCCTGTTATAGTTAGGAATAACATTTTATACTTGGAAATAACATTGTTTACTCAGACTTCATAAATTCATTCTCATTTGTACATACCAAAAAGAGTCCTCTTCCAACACTAGCATTTGGCAAAATTATGCATGTTATTGTTTCATTGTGCATTGCACTGAACAGCTAGGTGGAGAAAAGATCTAACACCATCACAATGGAGTGTCTGAGATGGAAAATCCCCACCTCTTTCTGCAGATAGTTAGATTTACCAAGTAATCTTCTACTGAAAACCAAAGAGAAAAAAAATCCCTAATTCAACATAAACCACAACTCGGAAGTAAACTTTGTGGTGAAATTCTTCAACTTGGTTTTATTCAGTTAATCACTTAAAAATTGAAAGAAGGTGTTCAAAACTTATTTTAAGTTTTGAGTCATATTCAGGCTCAAGCAAAAGCATTTGTAAAGCACACATTGACATGAGAACCACAAGATAAAACAAATCTGATAGCCTCTTTCCTTGGAGTTTGACCCAAGGGGTAACTATCTTCAGAGTAAATGTGAAAGTACTAAAGCCGTGATGTATTAGCATGTGGAGGGGTAAATGCTGGATACAAGATAACAGTTAAGTGAAAACTTGAGAGGTGGTGACTTAGCACCAATCTGCTGTGAAAAATCATCCGTCATATCCTTGAAAATATTTCTAGTGTCTGTTGCCAAGTATGTCCTCTCCCAAGGAAATCTGGAAGTAAATATGACGACAGTTATAGGTTTTGTCTATAGCTATGGTTGCCAGACTTTGAATTTCATAGACCAATAAGAATTTAAATATAAATTTGGGGATTAATGTACAGTTGCCAAACTTTAAAGCTTGTGGTCAGGTAAGAACATTTTGAAAAGAAAAAAATCATTTTAGCAATGATCTTTTTTTTAGAAAAGGATGTTCTAGCCATAAAATAGTGAAAACAGTACAATACCAGAATAAAGAACAATCTTTCAACTTGAAAAAAAAACTTAAATTCCACAGTATTATCCTAACTTTCCTTATTTCAAGACAGACTGAAGTCTTCAACTCATTAAGTGGTTAGGAGCTACTGAAGGAAGGGAGAGAAGAGAAAAAGATTCAAGGAAAACTTCGTTGAGCAAAAACTGAGCAAAGACTATCTTACTCTGGAACAAACATTTCCTGAAACTAGGAATTGGTTTACTTACAATGGCTCCTCACTGGTACAAGAATAGCTATAGGGAAACCAACTCACTGGGTCTAATGAGATCCTCACTCCTGCCTTAAAGTTCTAAACTCCTGATGGTATGATAGTGTTTATTTTAACATGTTGTTCAGTTTCTCGGCAGATAATAAAACCGGAACTAAGATATGTGGGGCTTACTAATGCTGTAGCTTTCTTTATAGAGTTCCCAAGAAAGACTTTCAAAATGTCCTTTCTAAGATATATTCAAGAAGAAAACTGCTGGTGCTGCATAATACTTGATTCCAGACCATCCATAATCTTGCTCTCAGGTGAACCCAAGTCTTCCCAGTTGGCATTCTAGCAGCACCTATCATGCCAGGTCCTAGGACGCGCCAGGTCCTAGGCACTGGCAATACCAAGTTGACCTGCAAGTGACTAAAAGCAGATATGCGCACTGAAGTAATAGAGGCTGACAGTGATTTATTTAAAGCCTGATTATGAATATTCCTTAACAATACTGCATAATAATTTAGAAATATATTTTTGGAATTGAAATCCAAAATCACCTTAATCTCCAAGCCATGTTAGGTAATTATAACAACAGCAACAATTGTTACCCTATATAGAAAGCAATATGCTGGCCGGGCGTGGTGGCTCACGCCTGTAATCCCAGCATTTTGGGAGGCTGAGGTGGGTGGATCACTTGAGGCCAGAAGTTCAACACCAGTTTGGCCAACATGGTGAAACCTCCTCTCTACTAAAAATACAAATACTAGCCAAAGGTAGTGGCAGGTGCCTGTAGTCCCAGCTGCTCAAGAGGCTGAGGAACGAGAATCACTTGAACCCGGGAGGTGGAGGTTGCAGTGAGCTGAGATCGCGCCACTGCACTCCAGCCTGGGTGACACAGTGAGTCCCTGTCTCTCAAAAAAAAAAAAAAAAAAAAGAAAAAAAAGAAAAGGAAAGAAAAGAGAAAAGAGAAATCAGCCAAAAGAAAAAAAATAAGTTGAAAAACATTTTGAATATATAAATAAGACACCTCTTGCGCTAATCTAGATTTTGAAAGCTTTTCTCCCTCGTGAGCCAGTATTTGGCAATGCACAGGATTCGGAGAGAACCTATGTAGTACAATCTGTGTGGAGCCTTTCAAGATACCAAGTTGAGGACAATGAACACACCTTGAACAGCCACAAATGATGCGGCCACAGTAACACTAAAAACAAGAGAAAATCATACGCTGTATTGTTAGTAAGTTGTAGACACATAACTTAGTCAATAAAGCTTACATTTTGGACAACCACCATAGTATAAATGTTAAGAGATCTTCCCTCACATCAGTGCACTTTGGAGTTAACAATAGTGGCTATGACATTCCATATATAGTATGAATGTCTCAAGAACATAACGGCAGCAATGGTACCATTTAACTTAGCACTCTTTTTGTCCTTCACACATCCTCTGTTAAGAAGTAAATTATTGTGCTCAAGAAAAGAGTTCGTGATATTAAATTAACAGATATAAGCTAAGCACTTCAGCTGGAAACGCCACCTTTGGAGTTATATCTTTTATAAATTCGTATTGGAAGTTCTGAAAAAATCAATTTTAACCTTGTACAGGAACCCACAACACAAGAATCATGAAGTGTGTGGAGACAGAAAGGAGCCATAAGCCAAAGAAGGGAAAATATGTGGAATTGCGAGGGTGAAAACCATAAATCTTAGCTACATTAGTTCAATTTCCATAGTAAATCAACTTTTGATTTTTTTATACTCTATATACGTTTCTACCATTATTAAAACAATAAATAACATCCAAGAAAAGAAGTAAAACTTATTCCTTAAAAATCCAATTTTATTAAAAGAAAATAAAATCTTATTTTGGAATACAGCAATTATTTGGCTTATGTGAACATACAGTGTTGGATGCGTAATGCTAATAATTCACCTAACCCCTAAAGGAGAAGTTAGTTGTTTTATAAGAGTAGTTCATGTCCCATTGATCTTCCCTTATTTTTTCAGAGACACATCGTCATGCAAATCTGGACTCACATTTTTGAACCTCAGCTTCTTCACCCAGATAATTATGACAACAGTCCTCACCTCCAAGGATTGATCTGTGAGTTAAATGAAATAATGTACATGAATGCTTATCGCCTTCAGCATTTAAAAATATTAATAGTAGTAGCAGCAGTAGCAAGAGTTGTAATGTGAAAGTACATGGATGAGAAAGAGGGGAAGCACCTGAATTAAATTTTTCATGACATTAGGCATGATAATCCGATTCATCAATCTCACAAATAGTATGCTGCTGCCCGTGGGGTCAAATAGTCCGTGCAGACAGACATTCTGGAATCTTTCTTCATTAGGAATGTCTTTGCTAATAGGATAGAAATAATTGAAGTCTGTTGACCAAAGGCTCTTGTCCTGGTTCTTCCTGGCTCTGCCATTATTTCTTTTTTTTTTTTTTTTTTTGAGACACAGTCTTCCTCTGTTGCCCAGGCTGGAGTGCAGTGGTACGATCTCGGCTCACGGAAACCTCTGCCTCCTGGGTTCAAGTGATTCTCCTACCTCAGCCTCCCAAGTAGCTGGGACTACAGGCACATGCCACCACGCCCAGCTAATTTTTGTATTTTAGTAGAGAGGGGGTTTCACCATATTGGCCAGGCTGGTCTCGAACTCCTGACCTTGTGATCCATCTGCCTTGGCCTCCAAAAGTGCTGGGATTGCAGGCATGAGCCACTGCACCCGGCCACCATTATTTCTTTAATTTTCATTTTCTAGTCTTCCAACGTTGCCCAATCTCTCTTTTCATTGATAATTGCTACTGTTTTTTTAATGTATTACCACCCTCACAGCAGTTAGAGTCTCACAAACTCAAAAGTAATTTTCCTTTCTCCCTGTCATGAAATGATCAATTCACAAGTTGATCTTATAGCTTAATTTTCTAGAGGGAAATATTTTCCTCTCCATTTCAAGTTATGGAGTTCAGGACACACTACCCTGAAACATGGCAGCTTTAGCATTTGAGGAAACAGCAGAAACAAGAAGGTCTCTCTGACCTTCTCCCACTCTCCTCCCCTGATGCAGGCCATAAACGAATTCTCATGAGAGATATACTCTCCTATACCCAGAGGAAAGTGATGTTCCTATCTCTGAGGACAGAGAAGGATCTGAACAAACAGGCCTTGCTAAGTTTTCCCAGTTTGCTGCCATTAGAGCACACCTCTTATGCAATCAAACTTCTGCATGAAGCCCACTGTTCATCTAACCTCAACATAAAAACATACATTTTCCTGTTTCTTTGGGTCTTCATTCTGAAATCTTCTGTGTCACATAAAACTTATATTGAATAAATGTGTATGCTTTTCTCTTGCTAATCTGCCTTTTATTATAGGTGCCTCAGCCCTGAACCTAATGATGGGCAAGAAAAGATATTCCTGCTTCTACCCTACACAACTCTAAGGGGACAGCACACTGAAACCCTCCCAAACTGTCAAGAAGATCTGAAAAAGTCAATCACTTTTGCTTTGCACATATTTGATATTAGCACAGCATGAATCCCAGTTTGAGCCCGCATTAAGTTAAGCCTAGGATTCGACATGGGCCCATGCCTAAGACCTAGGGAAAGGAACTGCAACGGAACAATGTCCGAAACCCAAGGCTGCTTATTACAATCTCGTTCAGAACAAAAGTGCAACCAGGCCGAGCGCGGTGGCTCACGCCTGTAATCCCACCACTTTGGGAGGCTGAGGCTGGTGGATCACGACGTCAGGAGTTCAAGACCAGCCTGGCCAACATGGTGAAACCCTGTCTCTACTAAAAATACAAAAAGTAGCCGAGTGTGGTGGCGGGTGCCTGTAATCCCAGCTACTCAGGAGGCTGAGGCAGGAGAATCGCTTGAACCCAGGACGCGGAGGTTGCAGTGAGCCAAGATCGCGCCACTGCACTCCAGCCTGAGTGACAGAGCAAGACTCTGTCTCAAAAAAAAAAATAAAATAAAAAAATAAAAGCGCGACCAGACAGCACTGCTTTCTCATTTCTGCAAGAGTGTAGTTCAAGTCAAAGTCAGAACTGTGATGCCCTAGACTGCCGAAAATTGTTGGACCAACAACTGCCGGGAAGCCCAGGGGAGGCCTGGTAGGCAGGCAGAGGCCCATGAGGAAGAGCTCTCAGCCAGTGCCACTCAGCAGAGCCCTCTGCATGGAATTAATCACAACAAAGAGAAAGAAGGACCCAGAAGAAAAATCCAAACACCTCATGGAGTCTCCCCGAAGAGCAGCCCCCAAAGGAAAATCCAAACACCTCATGGAGTCTCCCCAAAGAGCATCCCCCAAAGGAATCGAAAAGAATTGGAGCTGGTTGGGATTTCCATAGTGTGTGCCAGGGAGACGGTAAATCATTACTTTGATTCTGCTATACTAGCTTTGTTTTTACCTCCAGGCAGCTGTGAAAGAGGTAAATATGGAATACATTAACATATTATTTCAGAAAATTGTAGCCATTAGGCTCAGCTTGCTTTTTTTTTTTTCTTTGAGACAAAGTCTCACTCTGTCACCCAGGCTACAGTGCGGAGGTGCCATCATAATTCACTGCAGCTTCAAACTCCCAGCCTCAAGGAACCCTCGAGTCTTAGCTTCCAGAGTAGCTGGGACTACAGGCACATGCCACTACTGCTGGCTAATTTTTAAATTTTTTGTACAGACAGGGTCCTGCTATGTTGCCTAGGCTGGTCTTGAACTCCTGGCCTCAAGCAATCCTCCTGCCTTGGCTTCTCAGTGTTGGGATTACAGGCATGAGCCACAGTGACCAGCCAGGCTCAGCTCTTTAAAACCATTTCCTCATCCTTCATAATAAGCCATAGTTTGGACATAGGGACTTCTCTGGTTATGTCAAAGAATATTTCACAGTCCAACCAAAAAACCAAGTTAAAGGATTAGAACACAGTTCTCTATTCTTTCAAATTACCATTTTTGTGTACATTATCAAACCAGCCAGTTGTCAAGAACGTGGACACTAAAATAAAATGCATCTGTTCAAACACCAGCGAAAGCTCTTATAGCTGTACAACCCTGAACAAATTCTTTAATTTCTGGTGTCTCACTGTCCTCATTTGTAAAGTGAAGCTAATAATTTTAGCTACCTTATGGTTGTGTTGTAAGGATGAAAAGGGTTAATGCATTTAAAGCACTTAGACCAATGCCAGGCACCTACTTAAGCTTAGCTCGGTAAAAGTTAGCTAATAATGAAATACACATTCATTCTGTGGTAAGAGACCAGCAGGATTTGCTTTCTGGTCATAACCCTGCTGACCAAAACAGGATCTGGTCCAGAGAGGAGAAACTGAAGAAATCAGCAGAAACCAACAGATGGCAGAGAGGCTGATCCCTGGCTGCCCTCATTGCTTAGTTGCATAAGATACTTCCACCAGCACCATCACAGTTTACAAATGCCATGGCAACAAACCAGAAGTTACCATCCCTTCCATGGCCACCACCAAGAAGTTACCATCCCTTTCCTGGAACATCCTAAATAACCCACTCCTCAATTTGCATTAACCTGCCCCTGAGTTTGCATAGAATTGAAGTGTGTAAAAGTGAGTGTAAATATAGCTGCCAATAGCCCATATGTTGCTGACTCTGGGCCCACTGCCTATGAGTTAGCCCTGCTCCACTAGGAGCAGTACCAGTCAATAAAAGATTGCTAACACTACTGGCATGTCCTTGAATTCTTTCCTGAGCAAAGCCAAGAACCCTCCTGAGCTAAGCCCCTATTTTGGGGCATCAATTCCACGAGTACTTGTGGAGTGCATGTACATGATGAACACTTTTGCACACTGGAGATATGGGAGAGAACAAACTATACAAGATGATCTTCCTCAGGGAGCTTATATTCTAAATATTCTCTAAGTGGATCAATAGCTCAATACTCCAGTGTACCATAGTTAAATACTTCCATACAATCAGGTATTCAGAGTTCATAGCTTCCCGTTGTTACAAATAGCATTAGTAACAATCAAAATGTCTGCCTAGATTTTGAATTTTTTTAGAATGGACATCCAGAAATTGAACTATTGGGTCAAAAGTTTCCGACATTATTTCAAGGAATATATACCTGGTCTTTAAAATAATTCAGTTAGCATCTATCTGTAAAATATAAACATGTAAATGTATATCAAAATGTAGTGAAATAAAGTTTACTGAAAATATTGTTAGTTCATTTTGGAAATTAGATAAAATTATGATTCCTGACACTCTAATTTCTGACCACGTAGAGAATAAATTTAGTCTTTGGTAAAGTATACCTAAGACCTAAGCTAAGCTAATATAGTTCGTTACACTGTCCTCAAAGAATAGCTTTGCACAGCAAAATCTTTTCTGGAGGGTAGAGTTTATGTACAAGTGATGTACTGTGATTGGAGAAAATTGTGTGAATTTCCAATATTCAGATATATGTAAAAGCTTCAAGAAATAATATGTTTCTTGGACACAGTGAGGGGAACAACACACACTGGGGCCAGTTGGAGAGTGGGGAACTAGGGGAGAGAGAACATTAGGACAAATAGCTAACGCATGAGGGGCTTAAAACCTAGATGACAGGTTGTAGGTGCAGCAAACCACCATGGCACACGTATACCTATGTAACAAATCTACACGTTCTGCACTTCTAAAGTAAAATTTAAAAAAAGAAGAAATAATGTGTTTCAAAGCATGAATGACCCATATTAAAAAAATTTTCAGTGTCCTACTTAACCACAGACAACTTAGATTGTGGAATACCACACATTCATGGGTCAGAAAAAAAGAAATTGAACCATGTAGAAATTGAATCACGCCTGTAATTCTAGCACTTTGGGAGGCCGAGGCAGGCAGATCACAAGGTCAGGAGATCGAGACCATCCTGGCTAACGTGGTGAAACCCCGTCTCTACTAAAAATACCAAAAAAAAAAAAAAAAAAAAAGAAAAAAAGAAAAAATTAGCCTGGGGTGGTGGCGGGTGCCTGTAGTCCCAGCTACTCGGGAGGCTGAGGCAGGAGAATGGCGTGAACCCGGGAGGCGGAGCTTGCAGCGAGCCGAGATGGCGCCACTGCAGTCCAGCCTGGGGGACAGAGCGAGACTCCGTCTCAAAAAAGAAAAAAAAAAAAAAGAAAAGTACCATCCGAAGTTGGTTAAGGTGTGGGGAAACAGGAATTCTCATATGCTTCTGGTGAGTGTGCCAATTAGCACAACCTTTCAAAAGGCAGCTACTGATTAGCAACAAGGGTTTGGCATCAGGAAGGCCTGAGTCCCACTTCTGGTTTTCTTACTTACTGGTTATATGACCTTCGTCAATATTTTAAGTCCTTTAAGCCCCTTTATCTTTATTATTATGATTATTTATTAATTTTTGTAGAGACCAGGTCTCGCTGCCCAGGTTACTCTCAAACTCCTGGGCTCAAGCAGCCCTCCTGCCTTGGCCTCCAAAAGTCCTGGGATTCCAGGCATGAGCCACCATGCCCAACGAAGCCTTATTTTCTAACCATCTTTAAAATGGGTATGATGATAACACTCAATCTGAAATGCTGTCATCAAGACTGAGACACAGAGCTCAGTGCACTGTAAGCATTCCTAAGTTTGGTTTTATTATGATCATGATTAAATATTCTGGTTTGCCAATACAAACAAAAGCCTTTAAATTAAACATTAGCTTTTGCCCCAGAAATTCCACTTTTAGGAATTCAGCCTAAAGAAATAATTAAGGACACCCACAATGATTTAACTGCCAGAACATTGTGGAATTCCAGAATCATAATTCTGAACATTGGCTGTGTGTGTTCAGTCCTGGAGCTGGAGCCAGAAGGTACAATGAGACACTGTAGTGACTAGGTCTTACCTGCTGTTCACAGCCTTTCTCTGATTCTAAGTAGAATGAAGAACATTAAATTTCGATTATGAGATTTTATTTGTTTGATGACTTCATGATTTTGATTATGAGAATGATCTGGAATAGCAGACTTGAAATTTAGAAGAAAAACATTTAAAAATAATCTTCTATTTGAAAGTTTTATTGACGCTTTAAGTTTGGGTTTTTTCCTCATCTCCAGTGAAGAAATGCTTTTAACTGACAATAATTAATAACAAGATTAGCCCTAGGAGAGTGTATACTTTGTATAATTTCCTAAACCCCATGTTAAAAATCCACTGGTTTGTTTGTTAAACATGCAGATCCATGTTTTCATCCCAGGCCAGCTAAATCAGAATCCTGGACAGGGGCTTGGAAATCTGTCCTGTTTCAAAGCACCCAGGCTATAGTTTCAGTTCCAGTCCCTGGGAAATGAGGAGCACCAGTCCATCAAGGAGAGCAGTCCAGGTCTTCTCAGGGGGTTGGAAGGTTCAAGGCTGTGGACAGTCATGGCATTATTTGAAAAGAGAAATATAGAAATGAATTATTTATAAAGGAAAATAGAAATAGATTTTTTATTGCACTGTTCTTGCTTTCAAGGATCTATTAGATGACTTGAAATAGTGTCACTTACGCCTGCATCTGTTTCTGCACATGGAGTTTACAGGATTCTAGCAGTGGGTCTTTCTTAAAGAGTTTCATCGACAAAGAATGTTCATATAAGCATTTCATTCTTTGAGGGGCACTTTCTTGTAAACTCTTATATCCCTTACAAAAATCCAGCAGCTGTCCAGCCTAGCTCTGGCAAAGGGTTTCATTTTTCTCTCTCCACTCTCTTCACTGGTGTAAGCCTTACATTTATTGTCAGAGATGAATGCAATTGAAAGATTGGCTTTCAAAAGGCAAATATGGTCCACTCCATGGCAACCATTCTGTAGAGCTGAGGAATCTCTTCCGCATTCTTTCTACATTGTGAATTATTTCTCTTTTAGGTTGTTTAAGATTACAAAAAAAAAGAGTTTAATAATTCATTTTAGCTTTAACATCACTTTCTCAAGCAAGTCAACTTCAAAAAAAAGTCAGAGTAGCCTGTTAGTAACCCAGACTGTCTGATCATAGACCTGTTAACAGAAGGTGGACCTTAGAGACCTGTTAAAAGAAGGCGGACCTTTGCTTTGGTGCCTTCCATAGACAATGCCTTGAAAATCAGGTGTTTAAAGATGACAGTTCAAGAAAGCTCCCGATGGAAGGCAGAGAAAGAGGTAGTAGTTCCAGCAAATATGAAATTTCTTAATTGAACAAAGGTGTAATATGTGCATGGAGGCAACTCATATAATGTTAGATATATGTGTTTTTGTCTATATAGTACGATATGAAAACATATTAATCTATATAATTATTCTGCATATATGTTAAAAAGATTTTACATTAATGACAAAACAATTTTACTTTCAACGAAGTTTTGCTTTTCTTCTATATTCTAATATCCAAAATCCAGGCTAATATGTAAAATCTGAAAGCATGCATTTTTTTAATTCATCTTGGACAACCTGGCACCAACTATCCCAGCCACCCTACCTCATCTCCTGTTTTCCCCAGTCACACCTACCCACCTACACACAAATTGCCCATATGTAAGCAGGTAAAATCTTCTGATGCAATTCTCATTAACTGTAATTCCCTCTCTCCCCTTTCAGCTGTCATATCCAGATCTTAACCTGAGATTCCTCAGCTTTACAAAGGGCATTACGTTTCTGCCCAGTGCCTCCCTCTGTCTCTCACAGTCCAGGCATCCTTGGAGCAGTAGGCCAGCCTCCTAGCCTGGAAGAGTGAGAAGTTCCAGCCAGGGTTCAAAGGAGTAGTAAAACTCCAGGAGAATGTTCTCTGAAGTGTGCATCTGGGAATCTTGGGACAGAGAGATGGCCTGTGGGAGGAAAAGATGAGGAGAGCTAAAGTGGGGAAGCAAGGAGGGGATAGAGCAAAGGGATGGCTGTAAAATGTAGCCACAGCTGGCCATGTGTGCCAAGAGCCTGGCATTAAGCCCCTCAGGCCTGCATGCAGACCACAACCTCTTTAGGCAAATGGGGAGGCTGGGAAGGGACATTTTTTATATGTTCTTACCCAATGCCTTGAGCATTCTTTGAAAGGTAAATTGTTTTCAAAGGCCCCATTGTCCCAATAACCTACTGTTCTCATTTACAAATTTAAAATAAAATAAATATTGGTGTTCCATTACTAAAGAAATTTAAGAAATATTTTTTAACCTGCAAAATTACACTTTGGCATAAGCACATTTTCTATAAAGAGTAAATAACGTGGCCGGGTGCAGTGGCTCATGCCTGTAATCCCAGCAATTTGGGAGGCCAAGGTGGGCAGATCACCTGAAGTCGGGAGTTCGAGACCACCCTGGCCAACATGGTGAAACCCCATTTCTACTAAAAATACAAAAGATAGCCATGGGTGGTGGTGGGTGCCTGTAATCCCAGCTACTCGAGAGGCTGAGGCAGGAGAATCACTTGAACCCGGGAGGCGGAGGTTACAGTGAGCCAAGATCGCGTCATTGCTCTGCAGCCTGGGCAACAAAGTGAGACCCCATCTCCAAAAGAAAAAAAAAGTAAATAACTGTAAATATTGCCTGTCTTAGTTTACTCGAGAGGAATCTCTGTAGCTAACTATTAAATAGGAGCTGCACTAGGGGCAGGGATATCAGGGGAGGTGAAAAAACAGAAAGGACAAGCCAAAGGCGGATGGCACAATTCACTCCAGCAGTTCAGAGAGTTCACAGTCTCAGCGAGGGCCTGCCTGTCTCCTTAGTGATGGAAATGGAAGATAGGCAGAGGCACTTTTGGTATTGAAGATTCTGTATGGCTGGGAACAAAGTGCCTTGACCTGCATTCTGCCTGACATTGCCTAGGCGGGGCCAACTCCTCTGCCCTGCTGGGCCAGTACCACCTGCTGTTTCATGAGATCTGCAACATGCGCACACTCCTTCACATGCAACAAGACACTATTATATGATTCATCTGGAAACTCTATCTCACATCTCTGTCCTGTTTTTGGAGCTGTCTTTTCAACATCTCTCTTCTCCTCCAGCCACCTGAGTATTTTCTCCGTTCAAAATCCAGGAGATCTGTTTTGTGCTTCTCACTCTATCCACTCTCCAGAGACAATCTCATCCATTCCCATAGCTTCACTGATGATCTTTACATCCAAAACATCCTCCCCCAAGTCTTCCTCTTGGAGTTGTCTTGATTTCTAGGCCCTAATGCCCAGCTGTGCACTGGATGACTGCTCTGCCATACCCAGCAGACCCCTCAAACACGATGTCAATAATGGAACTCATCATTGTCCACCCTCCCCAAAGGCTGAGTCCCCCATCTCAGCAAAATGCTATTACTATTGCACTGGGAATTCACCCTGGGCCTTTCATTTCTATTCACCAGACTCATGTTTCTCCTACACACACATCTAAACAATCACTTGGTCCTGTCATTCTGAAGAATTCTACAGTTCTCTATCCCACTGTTTCAAGCCCAGTCCACACTAACATCATCTCTTGCCTCTGTGGAAGATTCTAACTACTGTTTCTATATTATCTTCTGCCCTCGTTAGCCTCCACCCAAAAGATCCAGAACATTCTTTCTGAAAAAGGCAAAACTCAGGTCGGGTGCAGTGGCTCATGACTGTAATCCCAGCACTTTGGGAAGCCAAGGCAGGTGGATCAGCTGCGGTCAGGAGTTCGAGACCAGCCTGGCCAACATGATGAAACCCCATCTCTACTAAAAATACAGAAATTAGCCGGACTTGGTGGCGCGTGCCTGCAGTCTCAGCTACTCAGGAGGCTGAGGCAGGAGAACTGCTTGAACCCAGGAGGCAGAGGTTACAGTGAACCGAGATTGCACCACTGTACTCCAGCCTAGGTGACAGAGCAAGACTCTGTCTCAAAAAAAAAAAAAAAAAAAAGCAAAACTCAGCAAGCCAATTCCCCTCTATAGTATGTCAACACTTTCTAGTTATTCACGGGTTCAAATACAAAAGTCTTAATATTGCATGAAAGAAAGGCTTTGCCTAGCTTTAGCTGAATGTTGCTATTCTCTCTACCAGCATCATTTTCATTTTTCTTTATTGTTTTTAAGTACCAAGCTCCAACTCACCTCAGTGTTTACTTCTATTCCAGATTGTTCTCTCAGCTTAAACCTAACTTCACCTCAACCCTTGCTTTGGCCTGGCTATTTTTTCTTAGCATTGGTAATAATATCATTTTTAAGAAGTAAACAAGAAAACAGAGCTGTGGTTTGAATGTCTGTGCCCCTCCACATTTCATATGTGGGCACCGAATCCACAATGCAACAGTATTAAGAGGTGGGGCCTTTAGGAGTGATTAGGCCATGAGGCCTCCACTCTCCTGGGTGGGATCAGTGCCTTCAAAAGAGCTGGAGGGAAACAGGTAGCCCTTTCTGCCCTTCCACTTTTTGCCACACGCACAGTTTGTCTTCTCCAGAGGACACAGCAACAAGGCACCATCTTGAAAGCAGAGAAAGCAGCCTTCAGAAGACACCAAATGCTGGCACCTTGAGCCAACACTTCCCTTCCCCAGAACCTGAGAACATCAATTTCTGCTTTTTAAGAATTACCCAGTCTCAGGTGTTTTGTTAGAGCAACCTGAACAGACTAAAACAACAAATAAACAATAAATGACTCAAATAAAAAGTGAGCAAAAGACCTTAATAGACATTTCTCAAAATAAGACATACAAATGGTCAGCAGGTATGTAGAAAGGTGCCCAACATCACAAATCATCAGGGAAATGCAAATCAAAACCACGAGTTATCACCCCATACCTGTCAGAATGGCAGTGATTATTAATAAAAAGATAAGTGGGCTGAGGCGCGGTGGCTCATGCCTGTAATCCCAGCACTTTTGGGAGGCTGAGGCAGGCAGAGGTCAAGAGTTTGAGACCAGCCTGACCAACATGGTGAAACCCCATCTCTACTAAAACTACAAAATTAGCTGGGCATGGTGGCAGGTGCCTGTAGTCCCAGCTACTTAGGAAGCTGAGGTAGCAGAATCACTTGAACCTGGGAGGTGGAGGTTGCAGTGAGCCAAGATTGTGCCATTGTACTCCAGCCTGGGCAACAAGAGTGAAACTCTGTCTCAAAAATAAATAAATAGATAATTGTTGGTGAGGATGTAGAGAAAAGAGAATCCTTGTATTCTGTTGGCATGAATATAAATTAGTAAGTCATTATGGAAAACAGTATGGAAGTCGTTAAGAAATTAAAAATAGAGCTACCATATGATCCGGCCATCCCACTTCTGGAGATATGTTCAAAGGAAATGAGATCAGTGTGCTGAAGAGATAGCTGCACTCCCATGCTCATTGCTGAGTTTCTCATAATAGACAAGATATGGAATTCCAAGACACTGAGGAATCAACGTCAGCATCCATCACTGGATGAAAACATTTTTAAAATGCGATAAAATCAATACATAGAAACAGAGAAGAACGGTGGTTCCCAGGGACTGGGAAGTGGGGGAAATGGGGAGATGTAGATCAAAGAGTGTGAAGCTGCAGTTAAATAGGAAGAATGTACCTAGAGCTCTCATGAGGACTTCAGTTAATAATGTTGAATTGTATACTAGAAATTTGCAGCAACAGTAATTTTAGATATTCTAACCACACACAAAAGGGAAAGGTAACTATGTGAGATGGTGGTTATTTTAATTTACTTGAGTGAAGTAATCACATCACTATGTGTATGTATATCAAAACATATTGTACACCTTAAATATACACAATAAAAAATGTGGTATGTGTACATGCAATGGGATAGTATTCAGCTTTAACAAAAAGAGAAAAGAAATTCTGTTATTTGCAGCAATATGGATGGACCTGGAGGACACTGTGCTAAGTAAAATGAGCCAGGCACGAAAAGACAAACACCACATGCTCTCACTTATCTGTGGAATCTTAGAAAAGCTGAACTCATAGAAGCAGAGAGTAGAATGGTGTTTACCAGGAACTGGGGAAGCAGCGTGGGGTGTAGGTGAGGGGGATACGGCGAGATGCTGGTCAATGAGAACAAAGGTTCAGTTAGACAGTAGGAATGAGCTCTGGAGATCTGCACAACACGGTGATCATAGTTAATAATCATGTATTGTATTCCAGCAGCTGCTAAGAGAGTAGATTTAAATGTTCTCACTACACACAAAAAAGATAAGTATATGAAGTGATGGATATGTTAATTAGCTTCATTTAATCATTTCACAGCCTATACATAGATCAAAACATCCCATTGTGCACTGTAAATATATGTAATTTTTATTTGTCAAATATATCTTAATAGAGCTGGAAGAAGGAAGAAAATCTGCCTTCCCCAGTTTTCAGTCGAGTTCCATCGCTTTGGCAGACACGGCTAGTTTCCAATGCCAAATTCACTCTCCCCATCTTTCATCATCACAGAATCTAGATTTTGTTCAGGGTAGCAATGTGCTCACCTTCTGTGTTGGGGTGACTATGTGATCCACTTCTGGCCAATAACAGGTCATTGGAAGTCTTCCAGTGGGGCTTACCAAAAAGATTTTTTTTTTTTTTTGAGATGGAGTCTCGCTCTGTCGCCCAGGCTGGAGGGCAGTGGCAGCATCTCAGCTCACTGCAACCTCCGCCTCCCCAGTTCAAGGGATTCTCCTGCCTCAGCCTCCCGAGTAGCTGGGACTACACGCACGTGCCACCATGCCAGGCTAATTTTTTGTATTTTTAGTAGAGATGGGGTTTCACCATGTTAGCCAGGATGGTCTTCATCTCCTGACCTCGTGATCCACCCCCTTGGCCTCCCAAAGTGCTGGGATTACAGGCATGAGCCACCGTGCCCAGCCCCAAAAAGATTTTTTAAAGAGAAAGATTGAGTTGGCCTGTGTCTACAGCCCTTCATCTTTGGCACGTTTTCTCCTCCTCTCCCTTCTGTCTGAGCTCATGAGTGATGTCTGGATGTAAGGGAATACATGACAATTTAGGCCCATGATGACACTCACATTGTGATGGTGGAGGAGGAAGGTAAAAGGAACTCAGGTCCTTGATATATCAGGGGAAACCTCTTACTTTTAAAAGCTTACTGCCTTGTTCATTACCACATGCCTGCTACGGTGCTTGATGCAAAGTAGAAACAATAACTATGGAATGAATGAAGGAATGCAAGGGAAAGGAAGGTATGCAGTCCGTAGTAGCACTGAGCATGAGCTTCCTCTAAGGCCAAGTTTCTTCATTCCTTTTAAAGGTTTAAAGGTTCTGTGGATATATAAATATAAATATTAGGATATGAGTATCTACTATTCTCTCATTGGTCATTCATCTGATTTGAAAGCCTAAAACTTTGGTTAAAAATGCAGGTATTATATGGACAGATAAACATGTTATATTAATATTAATGCTCAAATTAGCCTATCTGGTTATCTATTTATAATTTGCTTACCAGTAACTTGGAGGAATAGGGCCAGGACCCGAGACAAATGTTCATGGGGAAAAGGAAGCAAATTGGAGAGAATGGGAAGGGGATGTCAAAATATAGTCTGGAATATGATGAAGCGTTCCTGTAGCAGTATCTGTGTTGGCAATAAACAGTGATGCTTCCTTAGTTCACATAGGACAGCTCTCTAAGAATCTCTGGGTATAACTGTAATCTCCTTTACACTGGAAACATTTGCAATACCAGTACAGCCACCAGAGGAGTGGTATCATTTTTACTAACTGAAATACAATTTTATAACTACATTGAGAACTGCTACAGGACAGGGATTCAGGGCTGTGGCTGAAGTATTGGTAGAAATGGAAATGTTCTTTTTGTTGCAATTGTCAGTCTCAGATCCCATTCATGGGAATAACAGCGAACTGTGAACTGATTGCCTGTAGCCACTTCTCATATTGTTATAGTTAATGCACATAGCAGTAAGTATCCTATCTCAGGCTGCTATAATGAAGTGTTATAGACTGGGTAGCCTGTAAACCACAGAAACTTATATCCCACATTTCGGGAAGCTGGAAGTCAGAGTGTCAGCGTGGTCCGGTTCTGGGGAAAGCCAGCTTCTTCGTCCATAGATGGCTGTCTTCTTGCTGTGTCCTCAGTTGGTGGAAAAGGGGCCAGGGCGCTCCCCAGGCTCTCTATTTTAAGGGCACTAATCCATTCATGAGGGCTCCACCCTTGTGACCTAATCACCTCCCAAAGACCCCATCTTCTAATACCATCATATTAGGTATTAGGTATTAGGGTGATTTCAACATATGAATTTGTGGGGGGCATAAACTTTCAATCCATAACAGTAAGTAAAAGGAAAAAATGTAAAAAAGAATAAAATAGTATCTTCTGAGGGATGTTACTTAGTCATAATAGTTACTTTAAGAGAAGAAAGGACCCGAATTCATTATCAAGGAGTTTATCCTTAGTTCCTAAGAAGAGAAACTGGTGAACTCCTTTAAAACATATGCCACTGAAAATGTAGATAAGTAATAGGAAACAGAATACAAAGAGAAAAGAAACAGGTGCTGAGAGTTTTCTAGTCCTTTGATGCTAAGCCTACATTTTTAAACATTAAATGATATTAAAAATAAATAATATTTTGATCCAATGACTATAAAATACCAATATAGTGAAAAGCAGAAGTTGACAGTTGACACGCTATCACATTACGTGTCTACAAGAGCCAAAGTAAATAAAATATAGATTAATTGGGATTATGATTTTTTGAAAGTACTTCTGTTTAGCTTTAATAAATAAGTCCTGTATTCACATAATGTTTAAAATATTGTTTCTTTTTTATTTATTTATTTTTTAATGAGAGGAATTTCACTAATGTTCTTCATTTCCTGAATAGCTACAGCAGCTATCTCACCATGTCAAACACTGGGGCCCATGACTCAGAAAAGACTTGTGGAAACATAAACGTCTTGTTAACAATTGAAGCACTGTTAGCAGGGAAAGGGGCAGGCTTAGACAAGACAAGCTAGGTAAGGCGTTTATCTTCTCTTTTGGAGGAAAATAAACAATTTGGATTGGTTGGAGAAAAAGATTGAAAATGTATTGAAAGACAAATAAAAAATGTGATAAACACTGGCCCTCTGTACGGAAAGACAAACTTTACATCTTCATAGGAAAAAAATGCAGCTCAAAATCCAGCCCCAGCAAGCCAAGGTAGCTGTCAAAGATTGCAGAGAAGCAAACTCTCAGAAAACACTTTCTTGTGCTTTGTCCCTGATGGTTGAAGGGAGTGAGTAAAAAGCCCTGGAGCCTGGCTAGCAGATGTGTGGCCACACTCTCATCACAAGAAATACAAGAGAAGAAAGAATCTTTCTGAAAGTTGATAGCAAATGATATTTCTATCTTAGCAGCCTAAATATGCATAGTTTATATGGGCTTCAAAGGGGGATCTCTACAGCTAGAGATAATACTGATTGAGGTATTCACGATACGGCAATGGACAGATTGCCTTCATATGCGCTGTACTGTCTGAGGTCCAGTGTGTAAGATTTATCTAGATGGGCACCATATTTTGAAAAGACTAATTCAGGATATGGGAAGCTTAAGATTGCCTTCATTTGCACTGCAATGTCCTAGGTCCAATATAAGATTATCTGGATGAGCACAATATTTTGGAAAGAGTAGTTCAGGAAATATCACCACCTACGAAAGGCATGTATTTTTTAGCAGAAACTGCAGTGAGAGACAGATGATGCATACATTGCAAGCTTCTAATTCTAGCAAAGGGGTACAGGTCCTACCATGGCCACTCTGAGTAGCCACCTCAGACAAGCATGACATGCATAGCCAGCCCCTGGAGGGAGTTTCCCAGATGAAGGAGCTCTGCCTTTGGAAACGTACTGTTTTCTCCACTTCCTTGAACTCTTCCCCAGGTCTATATTGGGCAAAAGGAAGGGGATCCAGGATCTCCATATGGAATGCTAGGCCTCATCTCCACTTGCCTCCCCAGGGATAAACTTTCTCTTCTGTCAGAGGCATGGTACAGAAACTTAAGGAAAATAAGGCAGGGCAGCAGTCCTCGGGGGGAGGGTGGCTGAAGCAGTTTTCACCTCTCTTCATCATCTTCCTCAAGGAGAACCACAAGCAATAAAAAGATTACGTCATCAGGTATTAGATTGGGCATGAATCTTAAACAATAGTACAAAGGACAGCAGAACCATCATAATTATTAGGCTCCTCCATAAGGCACTTCCTGGTTCCTTGAGCCACAGTTGGCCAATCCCTAGTAATTGCCACCTCAGGACTTTATGTCTACTTTTATTGAAACACTTAATGAGTTGAAGTAAAATCATTTATTACATGTCTGTCTCTTTCCTCTTGTGGCCTGTTAAATGTTGGGTCCTTCATGGCACATCGGATGTCTTCTAGATCATTATTTCATCCCTAATCTATCCCCCTTGTCCCCAAACCTACACATGCCTAACATTTGTCTGGCACTTACAAGGCAGTAGTAAAACAGTCATTTGTTGAACAAATAAATTAATGACTTGCAATCTGAGCCAATACATTATTAAAGCAAAGTTTCCTGGCCAGGCGCAGTGGCTCACACCTGTAATCCCTGCACTTTGGGAGGCCAAGGTGGGCAGATCACCTGAGGTTCAAGACCAACCTGGCCAACATGATGAAACCCCGTCTCTCCTAAAAACACAAAAATTAGCCAGGCGCAGTGGTGCTTGCCTGTAATCCCAGCTACTTGGAAGGCTGAGGCAGGAGAATCACTTGAACCCAGGAGCAGAGTTTGCAGTGAGCCCAGATTATGCCATTGCACTCCAGCTTGGGCAACAGAGTGAGACCTGTCTCAAAAAAAGAGAAAAGTTTCCATATAGAAGATCAAGAATGACCTAACACATTTTTGTCCCCGAGAATTGTATCAACTTCAAAGTTAGAAAATAAAGGAACTTGTATTAAAAACATATGGAATATTTGTATATATGTGTGCATTTTCTTCCCAATATATTATTTTGAGTCTAAATATTCCAATAGAATTCTTCTAAACAAAATTCCATATTTCTGTTTGTGAAATAATTTTGTATTGAATACTTCATGCATTAGTCCATTTTCACACTGCTACAAAGATACTACCTGAGATTACATAATTTATAAAGAAAAGAGGTTTAATTGACTCACAGTTCCACATGGCTGGGGAGGCCTCAGGAAGCTTACAATTATGGCAGAAAGAGAAGCAGGTACATCTTACATGGTGGCAGACAAGAAACCATGAAAGGAAGGGGGAAGAGCCTCTCATAAAACCATCAGATCTTGTGAGAACTCACTAGCACGAGAAAAGCATGTGGGAAACTGCACCCATGAGCCAATCACATTCTTCCCTCAACGCGTGAAGATGACAGGTCCCTCCCTCAACACGTGGGGACTACAATTCGAGATGAGATTTGGGTTAGAACACAAAGCCAAACCATATCATTCTGCCCCTGGCTCCTCCCAAATCTTATATCTTTTCACATTTCAAAACCAATCACGCCTTCCCAACAGTCCCCCAAGTCTTAACCCATTTCAGCATTAACTCAAAAGTCCAAGTCCAAAGTCTGATCTGAGATAGGCAAGTCCCTTCCATCTATGAGCCTGTAGAATCAAAAGCAAGTTACTTACTTCCTAGATATAATAGGGGCACAGGCACTGGGTAAATGCACCCGTTCCAAATGGGGGAAACTAACCAAAATGAAAGGGCTACCGGTCCCACTCAAGTCTGAAATCCAGTGGGGAAGTCATTAAATCTTCAAGCTCCGAAATGATCTCCTTTGACTCTA
The DNA here is from genome assembly GCF_000001405.40 of Homo sapiens. Lineage (NCBI taxonomy): Eukaryota > Metazoa > Chordata > Mammalia > Primates > Hominidae > Homo > Homo sapiens. The sequence goes on along the minus strand of NC_000004.12, from coordinate 186,778,871 downwards.
TGTCTCACATCCAGGTCATGCTGATGCAAGAGGTGGACTCCCACAGTCTTCGGGAGCTCAGACCCTGTGGCTTTGCAGGGTACACATGGAAGCTGCCAAGGCTCGGGGCTTGCACTTGACCAGCTCAATATACTGCAAAATGAGTATGTAATGGGAAGCCCAAAGTAAGAGCAAATGCCGAATCTCAGATCCAGGATGCAATGAGCGCAGTTAGAGAGCAAACAAAAAACAAGTAAAAATACAACATAAAAGGAAGATCCTCCAACAAGCCCAAACAGGGAAAGAAGGGGGCCCAGGTGGGTTCGCCTCCAGGGAAGTAGGTGCCTGAGTGTTTGTCTGTCACTTGCTTGTAACTTGGGAGAATTGTTTTCAGCGTCCTTCAAAGAAACAGCCACTGCTCACCTCCGCCCTCCCAAAAATAAGGTAGACCCGCACCGCTGGGGACTCGGGCCTAGAGAAACATGTCAGAAAGGTGGTGTTACTCAGAGGAGAAGGCCGAATCTAAGCTCAGGGGAAGGGGCTGGGGAGGAGACTAGGGGACCCTGGGCTCCATGTGCCAGGCCAGGTGGGGGCGATCTGCCTATTCTAGCAGTTTATGGAAAAGTGAACTCATAAACAGGCCACAGACCTCCCTCCTACCAACTCCCTTCTAGGTGGATTTCAGAGTCTGGTGTTCTCATTACTTCCTCTAACCTCCTTTCATTTTAGTTTTAACAACTTTGTCAACACTTTAAAGTCTGTTACAAAGGTTTCCTCTAGAACTGCTGAGGAAGAGGAACAACCGTCTCCCTGCTCCCCACTTGCTGTGGTTTTGGTGCTACTTTGAAAGGCAAAGCAGAGAACGACGGAGGGGAATGATGGAGGGGCTTCCTGATAGCAGCAAGTCACAGCAGAGATTCCAGAAAATTCCAAGCCTGCTATTGAAAAGCAGATGAAAGCTCATGGGTAGAGGTGCCCTGCCCAGGGAGCACATGGGGCTTCTAGAATCAACAGTCCTTGTGCGCAGGAAAGAGAGTCTGCCGTGTCTCCTTCCGCTGGGCAGGCATGTGCCCATCGGGAGGAAAGACAGGGTGGGGCAAGAGGGGAGGGAGAATCCTGCCATTGGAGAGACTTTGATGTCAATCAGCAGTTATTCATCTAGCCTGAGTTACAAATGTTAAATATGGTTCATGTTGCTAGACAAAAAAGTAGCCAAATAAAAATTCAAGTTTCTTGTAATAATATACACTCATTCGGACAAAAATACTTTCTTTTTCATTTGGGGAGATACAGATCTATAAATTATTTTGTTTGAAAAAACCCTATTAGTAAAACAATTATAGATAAAGCACTCACTCTTTGATAAGATGGTTTCAGCATTTAATTTTGAAGCCCCTCAGCAGAGATCAGAACGCCTTCTTTCTTCTAGCTTGTCTAACTCTTATTCACCCCAAGAGAATGCTAATGACTGTATTTTTATATGTCAATTTGCCTCCTCCTGAAGATTGTCTTCTAATCCTCTTTAAAAATTCTCTTGTTCTAATCAACTTCCAGAGGAATTAATTGTCTGAACAGAGGTGTTCTTGTTTTGATTTATACAAATCACTGTGCAATATCAACAAATGCTTGCCTGATGATTTCACTTGCACAAATTTGCCTGGAAATAATGAATACCATCCACCTAAGCTTCCAAAGGCATTGACATGTTCTGTTGTGGCATTGCCACCTGCATTTAATCTTTGTTCTGTTTTAAAGATGAGGGAAATCATTTCTTTCTATGTATCAAATATTTTATGTACTTTAATATTTGAGAGATAGCACATTTACATCGATTTCTTTTCCTTCATTCTGTACACTAAAGTATGTAGTCATTTTGAATATTAAGAAATATAGGCCAGGTGCAGTGGCTCACGCCTGTAATTCTAGCACTTTGGGAGGCCAAGGTGGGTGGATCACCTGAGGTCAGGGGTATGAGACCAGCCTGGCCAACATGGTGAAACTCCGTCTCCACTAAAAATACAAAAAATTAGCCAGGCATGGTTGTGGATGCCTGTAATCCCAGCTACTCGGGAGGCTGCGGCAGGAGAATCGCTTGAACCTGGGAGGTGGAGGTTGCAGTGAGCTGAGATCACGCCACTGCACCCCAGCCTGGGTGACAGAGTGAAACTCAGTCTCAAAAAATATATATATATCCACTATTAAAAAGTAACATTCTTATAAAAAGTAAAATTTCTTATAACTCTATTTTATTACATTCATGTGCTTAGTATTACATAGGCAGGTTTTACCTTAATTTTCGGTTATCACGTTGTTTTGTTCGTGGTGGTCAGCAAATACTTATTAAGTAAGTTCTATCTACAAGTTCTTTCTGGTAATCCTTATAGCAAATAAGAAAAAAATGAGCACATTATTATTATTTCTAAGAAGCTTAAAACATATTTAGGAAAAAATATATCTGGGGTGATACTCATAATAATGAGTATTTGTAAAGTATTTAACAATTCACCAAACTCCACCACATACCTGATCTAATATGATTCTTTGAGATTCCTCTGAACTAGAACAGGTATCACTATCTCCATTTTATAAAGGAGGAAATGAAGACTCAGCAGGTAAAATAACCTGCTCACTTAATGGTAGAGCCCAGATTAGAGCCAGTAATTGCAGTATTAGACTTCAACTACTGTTGTTTCTATTGCACCAAATAACATTTAACTCAGAAAGCACTGAAGGGTGATATGAGAGTGATTCAGACAATTTGCTGTAGTGTTTACCAGGGTGATGTTTCATCTGATGAAAGAGGTAGCATGAAGATGGAGTAAGAATTCGTCCTGTGGAGGCAAGGGCAATAACATTCCAGCAAATAGAATCACATAAGGAAAGGCATGCAGGAGGGAAAGGACAGGGGACAGGACATACTTGGGAAAGACGAGGGGATCAAATTTGGCTGGATTATGCCATATCTTGTGCAAAAGAGGGCTAAAAGGCATTTTGAAATGACAATGCAAAGGGTCTTTGAAATCAGGCAAAAATGTCTTCACTTTACTAAGTTAATAGGGAGCTTCTGGAGATTATTTGGTTGGGAAAATAATAAACTAAGATTCAGACAATAGGAAAATTACTATGACAGTGGTTTATGAATGAGTTTGAAGAAAGAATGATGTAGAAATGAGAGGAATATGGCAAAAGCCCAGGAAAAATAAGAATGAAGACCTGCCTGGAAGTGTTAGTGGGAGAAAGGTAAACACAGGAATGGATAGGAGGATTATTTCCAAAGTAGAAGCAAAAAGACAAAAGGACCACAGGCATAGCACACGGTCAACTGTTGAGAGGGAAACAGGGAGACTCGTTAAAATTTATTCTAAAATTTCAAGCCTGGGTGTGAGGAAATCAATGGCAGCATCAACAGAAATGTGGAAGAGCCTGCTCCACAGATATGTGGAGTAAGAAGTGGTGTGGGTGAGAAGAACGCAATTTCCATTTCGGGGATGGTGAGCTTGAGGTATTGGTAGGGCATTCATATAAATATATAACATAAATACATAATGGATGGAGTTCCACCCCCATGAGAGAATGCATAGTAGCAGACATAAGAGTCAAGGGAGGGAAGAGAAAGAGAGTTAAAAGAAGTTAAAAGACAGGATTTAGGAATTACAGAAATGTGTTGAGCCAGGCAGGAATGAAATGGAGAGATGGTCACTTCACTTGCAGGTGATTAGTCAAAGGAAGGAAGGAATGGTCAAAGAAGTAGAACAAAAGAAGAACCCAGAAGTAGAAGAAAAAGATAAGAGCCATCAGTGCTGCAGAATTCATCCAAAAGAATAACACTCAAAAAGACATGATTGGATTTACGGCTAATAAGTAAGGAAAGAAGTTCCTGTGGCCAGGCGAGGTGGCTCACGCCTGTAAACCCAACACTTTGGGAGGCCGAGGCGGGGGGATCACCTGAGGTCGAGAGTTTAGGACCAGCCTGGCCAACATGGTGAAGCCCCGTCTCTATGAAAATACAAAAATTAGCCAGGCAGGATGGCATCTGCCTGTAATCCCAGCTACTTGGGAGGCTGAGGCAGGAGAATCGCTTGAACCCCGGAGGCAGAGGTTGCAGTGAGTCAAGATAGCATCATTGCACTCCAGCCTGGGTGACAGAGCGAGACTCCTTCTCAAAAAAAAAAAAAAAAAGAAAAGAAAGAAAGAAATTTCTGTTTAAGGATGGGGTTGGCAAACTAATTGTGTGAAACTGGAATGGGAAGGGTTGAATACGCTTTAAAACTTTGGGAAAGATAAGATAGGATAAAGGAGGAGAAAAATAAGGAAAGTAACAAGATAAGGTGGTAGTTTGAGATGGAGGTACAACTAAATGAAGATGCTTTAGAATACATGGGAGAGCTAAGTAGAAAAGACAAAGGAAGGGGATATGATACCCAAGACAGAGGAGGGAAAACCAACGGAGCCAGTGGCTGAGGGCATAATGTAAAGATTCTGGGTGAAAAGAATATAGAAAGAATATATTTAAAGAGAAATTTTGATGGGGAGAGAATTTAAGGGTGCTTGTACAGAATGGCCCAATTTTTATTTTTCCGCTTCTCAACACAATCTTACACTGAATAGAGATTGTAGTATGTCACCACGATCCAATTCTATAGGTAGATTTCACCTACTCCACAGAAGCAGAATAGATTGATTAGGTATTATAAATTATCGCTGAGGATCAGAAATAATTTAAAACTCCTACTTGATACAATGTAATTTCTTCAACAACGAATGAGCAAGCCAAACTGTAGCAGAGCACCCACCTAATAAAGAAAAAAGGAGTTTATTTCTCCTTCAAGTTACAGTCTGAAGTGAGCGTGGTTTGTCAGAGGTCAGTTCTACTCTACACAGTGTTTCGGGGACCCAGGGTGACGACAGCGCCTCCATCTTTAACAATGGTTTTCAGGGTTGCTCTGGACATCATTCATTTGTCCAGGGACAAAAATATCCTCTTAAGGAAGTTAGGCAGAAACAAACACATCCCCTCCATTTATATTTCTTTGGTGTGTCCAAGGGACAAGCAACAAGCTTCATTGCCAGGAGCTAAGAAAACGTAGCCCCTTGCTGCGCAGCCCCTTCCCAACTAAAGTTCTACGTCTAAGGAAGAAGAAGAGAATAGACATTGGTAGTGAACAACAACAACAACAACATCATTGCCACAGTATCTTCAAAAGGAAACTTAATTGTGGCTCGTGCTCTAGAACATTCAAAATTAAATAACAGAAGTGTTTTCACTCTTGAGGAAATCTCCAAGTTGTAAAGAAACAAGCCTGGAGAAGAGAGTGAAATGACAAGTTTATTTCTTACTGGCTGAACTGTAGATAACATTCCCCACTTTGGAAGGACAGATTAAAGCCCAATAGATCATAGATGCTTATTAATTATTTACATAAGTAACACTTACTATCCCTCGCTTGTGCGATCTGAATCTTCTCCGGGTGCAATTAATTAGAAATGAGATCAAAGCTACACACTCCTTTTGATGTCTCACTTATGTAACTTATTTCTGTCAGAAGAAAATAATCACAACGTCATGTGTGATGTGAATATATGCAAGTTCTGTCAAACATGGTTGTTCTGCGTTTTTCAGCTTTTTCTCACAAAGGACATGCCCTGTGATGTGACATCTTGTCTATTCTCACTGCATCCTTTTATGTATACAGACTTGGTGGTCTCTCTGTGTACGTCTTCTAACTTATTTTTACTTCATTGACGTCACGTTTCTGGGCTTCGCATTGTTCACTTATTGTTCCTGGACCCTGAGTCATGTCTTAGGTAAACGGCACAGTAAAGAACATGATAGCACTATTCGCCAATGTGCTTAAATTGTGATCCTAATGATTATTACTTATATTCACGGCCCATAACATGTCTTGGAAAGTTGATAGGAATGAGGTTACACATTTCAAAAAGCTATTTACATAGATTGGAGAACCAGTTATTTCTAATTTAAACAGTTACCAGTTAATAACCTACCCAATGTTCTGAAATGAACCAGTTGCATGTTGTCAACAAAAATGTGCTCTTTTAGTGGATGCATATAAAATTGGTTTTTGGTCTGGCCCTGCCAGAAAATAGATATATCATTTCAGTCAAGTCTCTTACGCTTTCTGGATTCCTGGCATATCCTCACTGGTCAAATGGAAATGGTATCTTCTGAACCTACCTTGTCAAGTCATTAGAAATTTTAAAAATAAAAAATAAAACTACATTAAAAGGCAAAATCAGAAGGATAATTATTTTAATTCCTCAAAATGATTTCAATTTCCTGATAGATCCAGTGGCAAGAATTCACAGAAGAGTTAACAGCAAGAGATCACACCAGTAATCACTAAAAAAATTCTCATGTACTCTAAGGACTAAGAAAATCCTATTAAAGCCATTTTGCCCTTTAAGGCAGAAAAAGACCATCTCAATATTAGTAAGAAGAAAGGTTTAATTGGAAAAAGATAAATTTTCCTAAAACTATTACTAATTTTATTTTGGCCCTTTTTCATTAAAAATCCAATGGGATTTTTATGTCTTCATTAAATCAATTAAGAAAATGGTTTTAAAGTGGGCTTCTAATCTCAGAAGAGAATCTAAGGATAGCATTAGTTGATTGTGTTAGTTAGGTACAGGTTGGGTTGCTGTAAAAAGAAACCCTAAACGCAGTTGTTTAAATAAGACGGAGGTTTATTTCTCACACACATAACAGTCCAGAAGATGGGCATAGTCTACCCTGGCAAGACAGTTGAGCTTGGGAACTCATTCAGAGACTTATGTTTCTTCCATCTCGCTCTACCATTTCTTAGAGCAACAATTCTCAAACTTTTTGGTCTCAGAATTCACACTTTAAAAAACTACTGAGGACTCCACAGAACTTTTGTTTGTATGTGTTATATCTACCAGTATTCATCCAGTCAAAATGAAAACTAAAGCATTTATTTGACTCTTTAAAATACAACATTATACTCAGTTCCTATTTCTGTCATAACTAATTACCACAACCTTGGGAGCTCAAAGCAACACAACATGATTTGCTTAGAGTTCTGGAGGTCAGGTCTCTAAAGCTGAGGCATCAGCAGGGTTGAATTCCTTCTGGAGGCTGCAGAGGAGAGTCGGTTTCCCTGCCTTTCTCAGCTTCCAGAAGCTTCCTGTATTACTTGGATTATGACCTCTTCAATCTTCAAAGCACATTCTTATCCCTCAGTCTCCCGCTCTTTCTTACTTCCCCCTTTTTTTTTTCTTTTTGCTTCTGACATTCCTGTCTCCTTCTTGTAAGGATCATGCTGATTACATTGTGCCTACTTGGATAAACCAGAATATCTTCTCCCTCAAGATCCTTAACTTTATTACATTTACAAAATCCCTCTTGCCATATGAAATAACATATTTACAGTTTCCAGTGATGAGGAAGAGGATGTCCTTGGTGGTGGGGGGGGGGGGGCATTGCTCAGCTTACCACAAACATTAATTAAGCCATTAATGTTAACATGACTAAAACAGATGTTTATGAAAAAAAAACTATATTTTCCAAAGCACAGACTATAGTAAGAGGAGTGACATTGTTTTATATTTTGCAAATGTCTTCCATGACTGGATTAATAAAAGACAGCTGAATTCTCATACTTACTTCTGTATTCAGTCCATCCTGATGTGTTATTGTGGTTAATTATACAAAAAAAATCTATCTTCCTACAGTCACATATCTGTAAAATGGAGAAGCATTTTAGAAGACTTATCAGATAATGTAGATATGCATGGTATTTAATACCACACCAAAACTTAACAAGAGGTAGGTTTTTAAAGGTTGGTTGCAATGTATTATCTGAAACAATATTCATGAACTTCTCACATTCTGTCACAGGAAAATTGGTTTATGTTGCAACTTGAATGTGTCTCTTCCCCATGAATTGCACATACCTTCGGAATTTAGAAAATGTATTACACAATGTTTTAAAAATTCATTAATAGTAACACCAATCGCATCAGAGAAGTCTTTAAATGGAGCATTGGGAAGCTATCAAGCTCATAACAGCAGATACAGGTTTTCCAGTTCTGATTTCCTTTTGATAGAGCTTGAATTCTATCTCTGGCAACAAACACCATCAGTTATTTTCCTTGAAGCAACAGGCTTCCATCGCTCATTTCCAAGGAAATGTCTGCCAAGTCCCCAAGTCTGAATAACCAGGATTTGTCTATCAGTTGTTTTTGCAAGTAAAATGGTGTTACAAAAAAAAAAAAAAAAAAAAGAATGGTTCAGTTCTCAGCTCAAAGAGTTGCACAAGCACTTCTCTTCCAAACAATCCTTATGCTTCATATGCATGACGGTTTTATGCATACTCCTTATATGTTTACACATACTGCTTAAAGCCAGGTACTCAAAGTTCTGGGTTTCATAATATCAATCATTGTTACAGCTTCATCAAGGATATTTCTAAGTGCAACTGGCACTTTTCTTCTGTGGGTGTACAGCAGTGAAGAATTCAGGGACTACTCGGTGTCACTACCTTGACTCAAGGAATCAGCATTGCCAACATCAGCACAAAGGTCAACCCAGTGAAAAAGGCCAACAACTACTTAGTACAATTATTGAAGTGGCTCTGACAATTCAGACCCACTGAAACTGCCCCGGGGTCCCTAGGGATCCAGGGGATGGCAAATTGAGAACTGCTGCCTTAGGGCATTCTCTTTGCCTACCTCATTGAATCAGTGCCACATCCATGATCCAGGTTTCAGGAAGAAATAAGACCAGAATTGGAGGGCAAGCAATTTCTTTTTCTTTTTTTAACATCTTTTTTTTTTTAATTGTACTTTAAGTTTTAGGGTACATGTGCACAACGTGCAGGTTAGTTACATAGGTATACATGTGCCATGTTGGTGTGCTGCACCCAGTAACTCATCATTTAACACTAGGTATATCTCCAAATGCTATCCCTGCCCCCTTCCCCCACCCCACAACAGGCCCCGGTGTGTGATGTTCCCCTTCTTGTGTCCATGTGTTCTCATTGTTCCATTCCCACCTATGAGTGAGAACACGCGGTGTTTGGTTTTTTGTCCTTGCGATAGTTTGCTGAGAATAATGGTTTCCAGCTTCATCCATGTCCCTACAAAGGACATGAACTCATCATTTTTTATGGCTGCATAGTATTCCATGGTGTATATGTGCCACATTTTCTTAATCCAGTCTATCATTGTTAGACATTTGGCTTGGTTCCAAGTCTTTGCTATTGTGAATAGTGCCACAATAAACATACATGTGTATGTGTCTTTATAGCTGCATGATTTATAATCTTTTGGGTATATACCCAGTAATGGGATGGCTGGGTCAAATGGTATTTCTAGTTCTAGATCCCTGAGGAATCGCCACACTGACTTCCACAATGGTTGAACTAGTTTACAGTCCCACCAACAGTGTAAAAGTGTTCCTATTTCTCCACATCCTCTCCAGCACCTGCTGTTTCCTGTTAGAATGGTGATTCTAACTGGTGTGAGATGGTATCTCACTGTGGTTTTGATTTGCATTTCTCTGATGGCCAGTGATGATGAGCATTTTTTCATGTGTCTTTTGGCTGCATAAATGTCTTCTTTTGAATAGTGTCTGTTCATATCCTTCACCCACTTTTTGATGGGGTTGTTTTTTTTTTTTTGTAAATTTGTTGGAGTTCATTGTAGATTCTGGATATTAGCCCTTTGTCAGATGAGTAGATTGCAAAAATTTTCTCCCATTCTGTAGGTTGCCTGTTCACTCTGATGGTAGTTTCTTTTGCTGTGCAGAAGCTCTTTAGTTTAATTAGATCCCATTTGTCAATTTTGGCTTTTGTTGCCATTGCTTTTGGTGTTTTAGACATGAAGTCCTTGTCCATGCCTATGTCCTGACTGATATTGCCTAGGTTTTCTTCTAGGGTTTTTATGGTTTTAGGTCTAACACGTAAGTCTTTAATCCATCTTGAATTAATTTTTGCATAAGGTGTAAGGAAGTGATCCAGTTTCAGCTTTCTACATATGGCTAGCCAGTTTTCCCAGCACCATTTATTAAATAGGGAATCATTTCCCCACTGCTTGTTTTTCTCAGGTTTCTCAAAGATCAGATAGTTGTAGATATGTGGCGTTATTTCTGAGGGCTCTGTTCTGTTCCATTGGTCTATATCTCTGTTTTGGTACCAGTATCATGCTGTTTTGGTTACTGTAGCTTTGTAGTATAGTTTGAAGTCAGGTAGCGTGATGCCTCCAGGTTTGTTCTTTTGGCTTAGGATTGACTTGGCGATGTGGGCTCTTTTTTGGTTCCATATGAACTTTAAAGTAGTTTTTTCCAATTCTGTGAAGAAAGTCATTGGTAGCTTGATGGGGATGGCATTGAATCTATAAATTACCTTGGGCAGTATGGCCATTTTCACGATATTGATTCTTCCTACCCATGAGCACGGAATGTTCTTCCATTTGTTTGTATCCTCTTTTATTTCATTGAGCAGTGGTTTGTAGTTCTCCTTGAAGAGGTCCTTCACGTCCCTTGTAAACTGGATTCCTAGGTATTTTATTCTCTTTGAAGCGATTGTGAATGGGAGTTCACTCATTATTTGGCTCTCTGTTTGTCTGTTATTGGTGTATAAGAATGCTTGTGATTTTTGCACATTGATTTTGTATCCTGAGACTTTGCTGAAGTTGCTTATCAGCTTAAGGAGATTTTGGGCTGAGACGATGGGGTTTTCTAGATATACAATCATGTCATCTGCAAACAGGGACAATTTGACTTCCTCTTTTCCTAATTGAATACCCTTTATTTCCTTCTCCTGCCTGAGAGGGCAAGCAATTTCTTTCCGGACAAGGGATAGAGCAGTTTCGCCCATTACTTCCACTCACATCCCAAGAGTAAGAACACAGTCACGTGATCAAACCTGGCTGGCAGCTGATGGGAAATGTGGCCCCAGTGAGGCCAGGCTGCCCTTTGGCTAAGCTGGATTACTGTAAACAAAGGGGAGAACAAATTTTGAGGGAACAAGAAACATTCTGCAATATTAATCCCATCCAATAGCATCAGCTAAGTTTCTATATAATCACCTTCTTACATATTAATTTTAGCACATGTATAGCTTTCGAAGGACCGTAAGCTGGCTATGTAATTCATTTTAGGAGTCGAGTTCTGCTGAGAAACAGCCATGAAAATGCTGCAAATACGAGATTGCGAGGAGTAACATTCCTGAAGTGGAGGCCCCCTAACGCGGGGACTAGCTCTGCGCAGTGGATCTATGGGGAGTGGGGAGGAGAAAATGAGGGCAGCAGATCATATTTTTCTGTAGACGGAACCAGATTAAAATAAAAATCTGGATAATTTTAAAGAAAAAACAGGCTGGGTGCAGTGGCTCACACCTGTAATCCCAGCACTTTGGGAGGCCAAGGTGGGAGGATCACTTGAGCTCAGGAATTCGAGACCAGCCTGGGCAACATAATGAGACTGCATCTCTGCAAAAATATATGTATACATATATTTTAATTAGCCAGGCATAGTAGCACATGCCTGCTGTCCCAGCTACTGGGAAGGCTGAGGTGGGAGGATCCCTTGAGCCTGGGAGGTTGAGGCTGCAGTGAGCTGTGATTGCACCACTTGCCCTCCAGCATGGGCGACAGAGCGAGACCCTGTATCAAAAGGGAAAAGAAAATCTCAATATATTTCTATCTTATCGTCTCCCTCATTCAAGACAAGAGCCTTCACAGTAGTGGAAGGAGCATGGGCCTTTACACAAGAGAAAGTCAAAGTTTTTTCTCGGGTGCCACATTTGTAAATGGGAATAAATAAGATCCTTTATTTATTCCTGATGAATAAGATCTATCGGATTAAGTGAGATGACCTGCGTGGTGCTGTCACCACAGGCTTCTTAGCAAAAACAACAGCAAAACTCATGCGGATTGCCAGGCCAAGTGATTTTTCTGGTCAGGAACTAAAGCTAAAGTGATTGAATTGTCTCTGGTTTTCTAGTTCTAACACTACCATTTAATGATTCAAGTCTATGTACAATAAAAGTTGGCCTCTCAAATATCCCTAAACCATTAGGTGAACAATAGGAGGCTTCTCAAGGTCACAATTTTCTATACCACAGGGTTGACTACATCCCTGACCTGTGGAATCTTAGGCATTATAGATATGTTTTGTTTTGTTTTGTTTTGAGACAGAGTTTTGCTCTGTTGCCCAGGCTGGAGTGCAAGGGCACAATCTTGGCTCACTGCAACCTCCACCTCCCGGGTTCAAGCAATTCTCCTGCCTCAGCATCCTGAGTAGCTGGGATTACAGGCATGAGCCACCACGATGGCTAATTTTTGTATTTTTAGTCGAGACAGGGTTTCACCATGTTGGTCAGGCTGGTCTCGAACTCCTAACCTTAGGTGATCTGTCCGCCTCGGCCTCCCAAAGTGCTGGGATTACAGACGTGAGCCACCGCACTCCGCCGCATTGTAGATATGTTTTAAGAGCCTCTCCCCATCTAGGTAAATAACTCTAAGATCACATCAGCCAACCCACCCCGCCACCCCTCCCCACAGGGTAGCGGGTAAGAATCAAGGCAGTAGCCGGGTGAGAAAGGACCAGATAAGCTGGAATCCTGCTAGCTGCTCCCTAACAGGATCTGATCTCTGGGATGGTAAATGCGAGTGTTCCCAGTCACTGATTTAGCAAGGGTCTTCCTGCTCTTTCACTGCTGCTGCTAGAGAGTTGTCCTGGGGCAGCATTCCTTAATAGCTCCTCAACCTCCTAGGCAGGCCCTTTGCCTTTTGTTCCTGTCAACAGAGGAAGTATCTACCACCTGTTCAATAATTGCCAAATGCTGGGAGCCTTGGGGACAAAGATGAATTTCTTCTAGATTACGTGGTTAGTCTCTGGATTCATCAGCGAGAGCCTGAGCACTTTGATTATGTAAGAGCAATGGCTTTTCATGAACGTAGGTGCAGAGGTTGAAGGCCATTTCCCATTAGGCTCCTGGCCAATCAGGTTACAGTGCAGGGCATACAGAGAGCGCTGGTGAAGGCCTGTCATTCAGCTGTCTGCAGGGAGGACGGGACACAGGCCGCAAGCAAACCCTAGCACATTACAAGGAAGACAAAAGGCTAACCACACCACGGGGCTGCAAAAAGCAAACATGATTAGCCCAGTTCAGCCCTGACAGTCTCCAAGATGAATAAACAGGCTATGGTGTTCCCTCAATCATGTAGTGATTCATACTAATCATTAATACCAGGAAAAATACTGCTTCTGGTATATTACATTTTTTAAAATATCTGCACCAGCTACATAAAAGGTAGCTCAAAATATGTTCTTTTTCTAAAAGGAAAAGAACTTAAATTTACGAGAGTAGGAAACGGCCCTCTCTCCTGGCTTACATGGGGTGAGATGGAATGGAACATAAACTACATAAAAACACCAACATTTGCAGCTCCTTTTTGCAGCCCCCTCCTCGATCGATGCCTCAGGCACATCTGTCTGCATGATTGGAGATCTGAGGCAGAGCCATGGCCAGATCAGCCACACCCACATTCACTGGCCGCACCCACATTCACCGGCCACATCCGCTTTCAGAAAGTTGGCAGATGCAATGACTACCACTAGCCACTGCTAAGAACCCCTCAGGAATCCAAATGTGCTGGCAACTGGGCACACTCAGGGTTGCTAAAGCCCTAGGCAACAACAGGACATCAAACACGTACAACTTTATCCACTGAGACTTTTCCCCCTTTCTTAAAAACGTCGTAGCATGCCAACAATAACCAAAGGATAGCTTATGATAGTCCACGCCACTTGCACAATAATATCTATTCATTATTCTGTAACTCAGTCACAAACACAAACGGATTGTAAAAGCAAAGTTTATAAGCACAGAAATGGAAAGTTAGAGCACATTAGAAAACATAAATAATTTACAAGTGATTACTGCTTGTAATTTTTTTTCTGCTAAGTTTTGAGGGAGAGCCATTTCATAATAATTACGGACCTCTGCGTTGATGCCTCTTTTTCTAATGGCACCCTTTCTTCCTCTACTTGATTAAGAGAATACATCTAGGCTGTTTTAAAATGCTGCAACCAGGCATGGTGGCTCAAACCCATAATCCCGGCACTTTGGGAAACCGAGACAAGAGGATTGCTTGAACTTAGTTCTAGACCAGGCTGGGCAACATAGTGAGACCCTGTATCTACCAAAAAAAAAAAAAAGTAGCCAGACATGATGGTAGGAGGCTGAGACAGGAGGATCGTTTGAGCCCAGGAGGTCAAGGCTACAATGAGCTATGATCACACCAGTGCTCTCTAGCCTGGGCGACAGAGCAAGACCCTGTCCCAAAACAAAAAACAAAAAAATACTGTGACAAAATGAAAGCCCCTCCCTCTCTGCCTGGGCTGAAAGTTTTTCAGTATTTTTATTTTTACCATTACTTGTTTTAAAAAGAACACTCATTCAGATAATACCCTAAAGATAAGATTCAAAAACAATTCAGAACCTACCAAACATTGATTCGTAACCATTACCTTTGGATATTTTTCTCCCCTAAACAATTATATTCTCTGGAAATGAGAATCTAACAATTCATTTCCATTCTCCTTCTTGCAGGTGTTCATTTTTCTAATTAGGGACCAAAATGCTAATTTTGTTCAGCCCATCAACATCAAATTATCAGTACTCAGAAGCTTATTGTTTACAAATCACACAGAGAGAGTGGGACCATACCTGAAATGGAAATCACATAGTTTGTTTGTTCATTTATTTATTTATAAATTTATAAATTTATATATTTTATTTATTTATTTATTTGAGACACAGTCTCGCTCTGTCGCCCAGGCTGGAGTGCAATGGTGCAATCTCAGCTCACTACAAACTCCAGCTCCCGGGTTCAAGCCATTCTCCTGCCTCAGCCTCCCAAGTAGCTGGGATTACAGGTGCCCGACACCACACCCAGCTAATTTTTGTAATTTTAGTAGAGACAGGGTTTCACCATGTTGGCCAGGCTGGTCTCAAACTCCTGACCCCAAGTGATCCGCCGAACTCGGTCTCCCAAAGTGCTAGGATTACAGGCGTAAGCCATCGCGCCTGGCTGAAATAGCACAGTTTAAATGAAATTTTAATCAAGATTAGTGATTAAGTCAATATGCAATTATTTTGGATTTCAAAACTTTCTTTTCTTTTGAAACACATTATAATCTGTAACTACCCTATGAAAATTTGTGACATAGTTGAAATAGTTAGACCTCTTGCTTCCTATAAGCAGGCTGGGAGTCAAGTTGCTCCATGCTATTATTTTTTATACTTTATTTTCTGGTCTCCCAGACTCTTTATAGGAGGTTCCACAATGTCCAGGTCCATAGACCCTTCTACTGCTACACTCCTACTTGAAACATAGTGAGCACCCAATTAGTGCAGGTCATCACTATTATTAAAATAGTTATTAAGATTAGAACACTAACCCTATTTCATTTCTCCACGACCCAATGCTAGCAAGTTTGCTAAAGTCAAAATGTAGGCTAGCCTCTCAGTGGGTGCTACCAAGATTAGCTCCTTGTACCATATCTTATTCTTGTTAAAGTAGACCTTGTAATATTTATAATGCCCTAAACTTAAACAGTGGGAGTTTCATGTTCACCTGCAAGTAGAAGTTTTGCCTTTGCAAACATTGCGGATGTCAGGGAACAATCCAAAAGGGCAGATGCTAATAATCCACTGTGATCTTCGGGTTCTATGTGACATTTGCTAGCCCTCTGTTTGATGGCATGTCTCCAAGTGTCGCTCAGTCCATAAGAGACAAAATTTACCTCCCTTTCCTTTCCGTGCTCCACAATATATGACTCCTGCTGTTTTATATTCTCTATCTGATGACAAATATTCCCCCAGGATAATACTTGTCTCTCAGGCAGAATACAGCAAACATTTTTAATCTCTTTCTTTGACATACTCTATATACCTCATGAATAATTAAATAATGATTCACAATTGGCCAGTTTTTCTTCATTTTTTTTTTTACTTTGCAGACTTCAAAGGACTTTTGGACAGGTAGAAGGTGAGGCGAGGCTGGTGATAGATATCAACCAAAATTATCACTCAATATGTTTTTGCTAAGGAGAAATTTGTTATTTAGCAATGATGAGTGAAAGCCAAATCTTCACCTTCGAAGTTTGAAAGTTTTTAACAAATCCTTGCTCACTTCAATCCATAATTCTGAATTGCACCTGTATCTGCTCAATCATCTGAGTCAAAGTCTGTGAGCCATCACCTAAATCCATACGCCTCACTAACCAAGGCTGAATTCTCCTACTGAGCAAAGTTGTGCAAGTAGAGACCAGATTAGCCAAGGTCAAAACACATAGCTTTTACAGCAGCAGTACAGTTTTCAAATGCATAAGGAAATTCAGGCAGTTCAGTTTATGATAAAATCTGTAGTTCATGCTCTTCACTAAATACTTTGTTTAATGGGTTAGCTTTTAATAGCAAAAAGCTAAGTGAAAACAATCATTAGAACAAGTCCTCAGCACATCAATTCACTTCTTATTTTAGAAATTAAGGCTGGGCATTATAGCTTATGCCTGTAATCCCAGCACTTTGGGAGGCCTATGCAGATGAATTGCTTGAGCCCAGGAGTTGGCCAGCTTGGGCAACATGGTCAAACTCTATCTCTACAAAAAACACAAAAATTAGCTGGGCATGGTGGCATGTGCCTGTAGTTCCAGCTACTTGGGTGGCTGAGGTGGGAGAATCACTTGAGCCCGGGAGGTCAAGGCTGCAGTGAGCCGTGACTGTACCACTGCACTCCAGCCTGGGTGACAGAGTGAGAACCCAACTCAAAAAAATAAAAAATTTAAAAAGCAAATGTTAAGTGAAGTGCTAAATTGAATCAATTAAGGTGGATACTAAAACAAAGCATACTTCAGAAATGTGTTGCCAATACTTATTTAGTATTAATTATGACATGTTTGGCCTTCAATGGTTCATGCTCATTATTTATTTTATGAGACTTTTAGATCTAATTTAACTTTCCTTGTTTTCTTGCTTTAATCCATTATTCTTAATAAAGGAAGTGTTCAGCTCCCATGAATAGGATTTAATCAACTCTCTGGCAAATCCATGCTGGCCTCAGGCCCCTGGGTCAAACTTTGGTAAGGATCCCTATGAGGACTGACATTGGCATTTGGTTGCCTAGAAACTGTTCTTGGACTCAGGCAAAGACCCAACACATAATCTGGCACCTTCCTAGGCAAGTTTAAGACTGGCACAGGCTTCAGTGCATATCTCTTATGAGTAGACTATTAGTACCATCCCTCTGGGATTGTCATGCAGATTAAATGTCATGCGGATTAAATAAATTCATCCATATAAAGTGCTTAGCACAATGCCTGCTATCTGGAAAGCCTTCAACACTGCTAGCTTTTATTTGGTTAGTGTTGTTGTTATTGCCTCAACCCGTGAACGGACAATTAGAGAAACAAATCTCTATCTCTGTCACTTGCTGAATCTGAGGCCCTGCAAGGCATGGGTATACCCAAGGGGAATGCACTTGAATATGACGTAATATTTTACAATCGGTTTCAGGTGGAGATCTCAAAGAAAGCCTTTTCTTATAACACACAATATATGATTAGTATTATACATAGAATGTATGAATAAAGGTAGCACATATGGAGGTCACTGTGCCAAATTCAGAACAAGCTTTTCTTTACAACCAAGAAAATGTACTTCAGTGCTTGCGTTGTTTTAGTTCTGGATGAGTGTGTGGCCAAAGCTGATAGAAGTTGTCGAGAAGGGAAGATGGGGAGAAAGAAACCAGATGTATAATGTAGGGAAGAAGGAACTCACATCGTTTGCAGTGGTGCCTTTTGGAATGATGATGGGACAAACCTGGGTATGTCACATTCCAGCACCATGCATTCTGCATTTTCAAAAAAACATCAATCCTAAGTTTTCATTCAATTCCATCATCTCCTCAGAACAATTCAGTTCATCCAACCATGCATTCCAACGTTTAGAAAATCTGTATTTAGTCATTTCATTAGTCAGAAGATCCTATTTTCCCACCCCTCCTCCGCTCCATCCCAGTATAAAATGCTTTCTCATACCAGCTTGCTAGTGCTTCACATGCCAGCAACAAACGGAAAAACCCTCCATTTCACAATTCCAACCTCATGCATGATACTTGAGTATCTCAGATCCCCTTTGACTTTAAAATTCAAATTAGGTTACACACCGCTGGATTCAGCGTGCACCCAGGAGCCAGCATTTAACAGCAGTGGTGAACACAGACACACGGGGGCTGTAGGGTGGTGGAATGGGGGTTGTGTGCCCTGGAGTAGGTAGCGGGTAAATAAAATAATAATAATAAAGGGTAGGGACCCAGAGACTAGTTTGTAGCCTTCAAAATTGTTGAAACATCAGACCTGCACAGGAGTGTTTGTTCAATAGGAGTAAGAAGGTGTTTGTAAACAACCATTATTTTTTATAAGGCTTCGATTTTTATAGAATCTAGAGAGTTTTATTTAGTAGTCTACTCTCTAGGGGCAAAATGGATTGAAGAGGCACCAGTGTCATGAACTCCCCATGAGAAGCGTTGTGTCCAGAGAGCAGATCTTGTTGGTATTGAGTCCACAAGAATGGACGGCAACGGATTCTGAGCTCCTTTCCTTAAACTAGGCCCTCTGAGCTAACCCCACAGCCCCCTCGGCGGGTGACTAAGGGAAGGCGAGGAAGTGATTCTCTGTCCTAGCCAAGTATACGTCCAGGCTTGGAGACGACTGGTAGGGCTTGCTGCAGCTTGTTCTAGAATCAGTAAGAACAAAAGATTTACCGAAATGTCTTTTTTCCCTCCTTCACTGCACTAAATTCCCTATTAACTAAAGCAATCTGCACGCAGCCACCCACAAACACTGGAAGCGTTTGGCAGATAGGCCCGCTTTCGTGTGGAAGCTGTGAGGAGGTTCTTTTTGTCGATATGTTTTGAAGTCCCAATTAATATCAATGCAATGCTCAATAAATATTTCCGTATTCGTCTCAATATCTTTGGACTTTCTTCATAGCTAGTTGTTTTTTTTTTTTTTTTTTTTACTCCCATAAAAATTTAATATCAGTGTGTTGGGCAAGGAAATGGATCCATGTATAAATAAGTGAAATGCAAACCATAGTTTTTTGTATGTCATTTCCTTCTAAACAGAAAATAAAAATAAATGATAGACATCTAAAACACCCTTACAGTTTACAAGAGGATCCCCGAAGCTACAGAATCACAGATGACGCGGAGCTGCGTGAAGGCGTCTCTGGGCGAGTCCCACAGGGAAGATGAAAAGCAAGCGGCCCGGAAGGGCCCGAGGGCGGAGCGCAGGCTCACGGGACACAGCGCGCACCAATGATGAGCAAACTGAACCAGCGTCAGGAGGCGCCAGTTAAACTCAAATGTTTCAGCTCAACAAGGCCTGTGAGGTGGTTCCTATTTCTCCAGTTTTACGTGTGAGTAAACGGGGGCTCAGGAGAAGTGATGTACCTAAAGTCACATGGCTAATAAATACCCTACTGGAGAAAAGATTTGAACTTGAGTCATGCCCATTCCCCCTGATATGGTTTGGCTGTGTCCCCATTCAAATGTCAACTTGAATCGTGTCCCCCAGAATTCCCCCATATTGTGGGAAGGACCCAGAGGGAGGTAGTTGAATCATGGGGGTGGGTCTTTCCCGCGTTATTCTCGCGAGAGTGAATACGTCTCACGAGATCTAATGGGTTTATCGGGAGTTTCCACGTTTGCTTGCTCCTTATTTTCTCTTGCTGCTGCTGCGTAAGAAACGCCTTTCGCCTCCCGCCATGATTCTGAGGCCTCCCCAGCCACGTGGAACTGTAAGTCCAATTAAACTTCTTTTTCTTCCCAGTCTCCGGTATGTCTTTATCAGCAGCATGAAAACAAGACTAATACACCCCCACACCATGGTACCGAAGACGGGACACAGCTGCTCTACTGATTAAATTCAACTGACGTGAGGTTGCAGCTATTCTATTCATATATTCACCATCCCATTCTTGATGATGTTCCTCAAGCTTACTTAACTTGCACGTGGATGCAGAAGAAAGGTTTCTTTTGAAAGACTGTTGTAAATAAAAGAGTCTGTAGTGCTTATGTTGTTGTTTGTTGACTGACTATAAAATAGATCCTTGCTGATTTGTACATTTGATTTCCCATGGGGCAGTAACAATATGAAAGTAGGATTAAGGCCGGGCACGGTGGCTCACCCCTGTAATCCCAGCACTTTGGGAGGCCGAGGCAGGTGTATCACTTGAGGTCAGGCGTTAGAGACCAGCCTGACCAACATGGTGAAACTCCATCCCTACTAAAAATACAAAAATTAGCCAGGCGTGGTGGCACGTGCCTGTAGTCCCAGCTACTCAGGAGGCTGAGGCAGGAGAATCGCTTGAACCCGGGAGGCAAAAGTTGCAGTGATCCAGGATCATGCCACTGTGCAGCAGCCAGAGTAACAGAGTAAGACTCCGTCTCAAAAAAAAAAAAAAAAGAAAAAGAAAAAAGTAGGATTATTATGTGTTTTTCCACACTATTGTCTTACTGTCTTTGTTCCCCTTCCTAAGTGTTCTTTTCGAATCGCACCAGGAGAGGGTTAGGATCACGGTAATAAGCCAACCCCAGGAATGTCTCCCATAACACATGAATTAAGTCAGCTGTGGCTTTTTAACACGCTTCGCCCAGTGGCTCCAGGTGCAGAGCGGGGCGGGCAGGAAGGGTCCCAAAGGACCATGAGGCAGTGCAACTCCTGACCGTGCACTGAGCTTTAAGAGCCTCAGTGCCTGGATTTGAGAATTCCAACCTCGGCATTGCAGCCCTTTTTTTTTTTTTTTTTTAAATAGTATGCCCATCTGTTGGCCTCATGAGCAAGCAGCTGCACGAGGGCCTGAGTATCAACATTCTTAATGTCAGGTGGTTGTGAAATTTTGCATTTGTGACAAAAAGTCTTCAGGGCCGTAATTAACAGAGTAGGGAATTTCAATTCGAATACTATAACTTCTTTAAAACTATGCCCATCTGCTGGCCTCATGTCCTCAACAGAGCTTGAGTCCTGAAAGCAACAGGAAAGGAAAATTACAAAATGTAATTGTTATTTCAATAAGTTTTGCAGAGAGGAGGGGACATGGTGGTGATGAAGTGGTGAGGAAAGAGGGATGGGCATGTTCGTAATTTACAAAGGAAGTAAGAGGAGCTGTTATAATTGGATTTCAATTCTGCTTTTCAAAATGTTCTCAGTAGGACCAGGCACAGTGGCTCACAACTGTAAGGACTTTGGGAGGCCAAGGCTGGAGGATTGCTTGAGGCCAGGAATGCAAGACCAGCCTGGGCAACATAGACTCTATCTCTACAAAAAAAAAAAAAAAATTCTCAGTAGAAATTGGGCTGTAGGTTTGGAGAGTCCTGGATTAATGTCTTACAATTAGCAAAACTCATGGTCTTTGTGCTTTCCTTCTCCCCCATGACCCCACTCCTTTCCAGCCTACCCCAAAATTTGAAAAGCAGCTTTATTTCCTTATGTAATATAGTAATGTGAGTAAACCTCACACTGATACTTTTTGTGGCCAAAGTGGGAGAAAGTTCCAGTAAAACGTTGTAACTATCCAGTCATGTTACCTGGGTATCCTTCCAGTCATTTTTTCTGTGTCTGTATATACATCTAATTTTACCCCAAAATTGAGATCACATCAGCATCATCTACTGAGCAACTATGGCTGGAATTAAGGATATAAAGATGAATAGGACATAATCTCTGCCCTGGAGACAAACCACATAACAGTTAAACAGATCATTCACCCTAGGGTGATAATGCTTCCTCAAGGAAGGCCCAGAGTGCCACCAATGAGAGCACTCCTGGACCCAGGATAAACAAGGCAGACAAAGCTTCCCAGAAGAGGTGTCACCTGCATGGAAGGATGAGGAGTTGATTAGATGACACAGGGTGAAGAGGGTGTTCCAGGTCAGAGGAGCAGGTCGATGGTAACAGCGTATTAATAGCTGTTCGGAATTGCTGAAGCATGCACTATCCACAATAGCAAAGACTTGGAACCAACCCAAATGCCCATCAATGATAGACTGCACAAAGAAAATGTGCCACATATATACCATGGAATACTATGCAGCCATAAAAAAGATGAGTTCATATCATTTGCAGGGACATGGATGAAGCTGGAAACCATCATCCTCAGCAAACACAGGGACAGAAAACCAAACACCGCATGTTCTCACTTATAAGTGGGAGTTGAACGATGAGAACACATGGACACAGGGAGGGGAAGATCACACACCAGGGCCTGTTGGAGGGTAGAGAGGGGAGGGAGAGCATTAGGAGAAATACCTAATGTAGATGACAGGTTGATGGGTGCAGCAAACCACCATGGCACATGTATACCTACGTAACAAAGCTGCACATTCTGCACATGTATCCCAGAACTTTAATTAGAAAAAAAAAAATTGCCGGAGCATGAAATGCCAGTGTGGAGGCTCCTCCACTGAGCAGAGGCCAGGTTGTGGAGGACCTAGAAAGGCGCGCCAAGGAATGTAGATTTTACCCCTTGGAAAACAGAAGCATTTCAATATGGTGTTGCTGTTTTGATAGATGATGGTGGAAGCATGTGAGGTTTGGATTTGAGACAGAACACACTATGGAAGACCAGTCAGGAGCCTAGAATTAGTCCAGGGAACAGAAAGCAAGGAAGAGGGAAAGAAATCCAAACTATTGGTGGTTAAGTTCACTGGACTTTGTGACTATTATGCGCATGTAGGAGTTGCAGGACAAAGAGTTACCCAGATTACCACCAAGGATGAGGTAATAATTATCTAATTCAGTTAGACAAGACAGGAAGTGAAGCTTGCCCTATGGCAGTGGAGGCAGACCAAAGCTGAGTTCAGTTCTCTGCATGTTGTGTGTAAGGTAAATATATACACAGGGCCAGTAGATCTGCAGCTTAAGTTCAGACAGGGGTTGAGGGATAGAGATACAAGGATAGAATTTATCTGCATACAAGTAAAAACCATGAGAGTAGATGGATTGAACTAAGGAGCATGTACAAAGTGAGACGAGCTGCAAGCAATGAGCTCTAGGCTTCATGCTTCAGAGGCTCCCAGGGTGTCAAGCTTTGTGGTCAATAGGTTGAAGGGTCTCTCACCAAACACCTGCGTAGTCATAAATCGAGATGTACCCACACTCCAAGTACAAGAGATAATTTATGAGTCAACCTTTCCTAAAAGGTTATTCCCAGTATGTTGACTGACTACAAGAATCATTCATTTATTTGACAAATCTTTACTAAGCTCTGTAAAGCAGGCAACAGTTCAAGACCCTGTTGGTGATGGTAGGAATGTAACGGCTGTTAGAATATGGAAATATTGCTGCCCCAGAGGGTATATCACAGTGGTTCTCAACTAGGGTGATTTTACTTCCCAGGAGACATTTGAAAATATCTGGTGACATTTTTTGGTTGTCATAACTGAGGGGGAAGTGAAAATGGCAACTAGTGGGTAGAAGCCAGAGAGATTCCTAAACATCCTACATCAGGACAGCAGCCCCCAACAGCAAAGAGCGATAACGCTCCCCAAAATGTCAGTAGCACCACGTTTAAGAAACGCAGGAATCCAGTCATGATTATGGGGTCCCTGCCAGTGTCCCCACCCCGCCGTGGCCTCTCCCTGGGTTCCGCCCCTCCCACTTTCTCCATACGAGCCACTGACGTGTTCTTGTATGCCCCTGAGTGAGCCTGCACACTTTGTTCAGCTTTATGGCCAGTGTCTGTTCTGCTTGGTTGGTGCCTGAGCCTTATCAGTTGTTAAATGTCTTAAATATTTTATAAATATTTATAAAATATGGTCTCTCTCTTTAATGAGTTCGTGAGAATCATCTACATGATGATTTTGACTGACATTCCTTCCTTTAAGAAAGATAAAACCTTCTACTAAATAATATGTATGACCAGAAAAATGAAGCTTTGATACACCTAGCTCTTTGTGAGGAGTTGGGAAAATATATATTAGTGGTACATGATACTACAAAAGAAAGAAAATAACATGATTATTGCCAACATAAAGGAAAATCTGGAAAAACTCTGAGAAATGTAAAAGGCAATGACCTGGACTCAGCTAGTTTATTCAAAAGTATATTAAGGTTAAAAAATTTAAATAATACTCAAAAAGATATTTGCAATATAGCAGGTGATAATAGGAAAGAAACTTTCCCTAAACAGTTGTTGAGCCAGTAATTTTCCATCCTTACACTTTTATATAAAGTTTATTAAATGTGAGTTACTACTACTATTTGGATACATTGTACAACATTTTAAAAGCTTTAACATAAACACTCTTAAAAATAAAATACCCCAAAGAAATTGCATAGCAAAGGAAGTCTGTTTTGAATATGTTTTTTCTTTCAGAACATCCTCACATATTGACATGGTTAGTTACTAAAGATAAACATAAAATATTAATCAGCCACCTACAGTGTTGCTGTCTCTTTGGTGCTGCTGAGAACTGGACAACTGAATTATGCTTATTAAAATGCACTGTGAATCAGAAAAACAGTTTGGTAAAGGCTTATTTTCCTGGTCATACAACTTAAAACAGGGTGGCATGTCTTTTAGTTCTCAAAGTTCTCCATTTCATCACAGCATTTAGACCTAAATAGGCAGCATTTGTGTAAAAGTAGTTTTCCCCAAAAAATATCTTTTTAGCCAACAACCTGGACTCCTCAAAAAATGTGTAAGTGACAGCTGCCTCCAAAGTATACTTTCATTTCTTTTGTTACTTGTAAAAGCAACTATTCTTTTTAGCCAGAAGATACTATTGCAGAAACAAAAAGGAAAACAAAAACAAAACGAGTTGTTCATCTCCACATAAAATTTAAGTCAATGTTTACATGAAAATGTCTTTCAATAACTTATATAAAAAATCCATTCCAGTTTTTCTGTACAAAAAGAAAAACATACACGAATCCAATGAGATATAATCAAAGTGCTTTTAAAAGTATAAAGTAGGCTGGGCGCGGTGGCTCATGCCTGTAATCTCTGCACTTTGGGAGACCAAGGCGGGTGGATCACCTGAAGTCAGGAGTTCGAGACCAGCCTGGCCAGCATGATGAAACCCTTTCTCTACTGAAAATACAAAAATTAGCTGGACATGGTGCCTGTAATCCCAGCTACTCGGGGGGCTGAGGCAGGAGAATCTCTTGAACCCAGGAGGTGGAGGTTGCAGTGAGTCGAGATCGCACCATTGTACTCCAGCCTCGGTGAAAACAGCGAAACTCCGTCTCAAAAAAAAAAAAAAAAAAAAAAAGTATAAAGTAAAAAACTAGTATCAGTACTTTCTTTGTCACGAGGAAATTGAAAATTTAATCTTAAGAAAGCGCAGGACTGGTTGGGCACGAGAAAAACCATGAACAACCATGTATTTTTGCCCTTATAATTAACATCATTTATTGCCACCTGAAATCTCGCTTGCTGAAATGGCCTTAAACTTGTCTATGTTTTTTCAAAAGGAGAATATTTTCATGTTAGCTTTCATTCAATGTTTACTCACCAAGTACCTGTTAAGATTCTGTGTCATGCCCCACATACAGTTTGACATTGTGAACTTTCTCATAAATGCCAAGATACTAATTACAGAATCTGCATTGTGTGTGGTCTAATAGGGCCATGGCCTTGGAAATCAGGTAGGGATCAGGCTCTGTCCTGGGGCACATAGATGGGAACTGATTCTGATCCCATCCAGGTAGCTCTTGAACCACATTAAAGACTCAAATTCATTTGGAACAAAAAAGTCCATAGTGGTATGCTCACTAAATATTTGTTAATCAACTTGATATTTTAGAATGTATATATCTTTCTGTGTTTTATCAGACATCTCAGATTTAAGACATACTATTGATTCATTACTGCCCTTGAAATTTTAGGAGACGGACTTACATGCATACATACACGAATCCAGCTGGAAAGAATCTGTTTTGTAGAAATGTTCTTATCTGTTATAAATGGCTTGTATTGAGATGCAAAATTTTCATAACATTTAGAGAAACCAAACTTTCCTAATGTTTCAGAGTTTTAAAAGACTTCAAAATCTTTGGGCCTCAACTACTAACAAACTCTACAGCACATGTGAAAAGTCCATGGCTGGATATTTCCATGGAGAATCAAAATTGGGCCACACCTAAACTTTCATTTTTCAACATCTATTGAGAATCTCTTTGTCAGATTACCCCTTCTTCCTAATTCTCAGTTTCTGTGTCTGCCAAGTGTGAATAATAAAGTTTCTTATATCATCATGTTGTTGTTAGGTGTAAATGAAACAGTGCATGCAAAGGTGTAAATGAATAGTTCTAGGACACTCCTACTTGGTCGGTCAGGCACATCGAAGCAGCTGCCTCCAGTCCGCTAAGTCACTCCCGGCCTGACCCGAGCACCTCATTTCATGCCTGAGTCTGTAGGTGTAAATGAAATACTGCGTGCAAATGAGTAAATACATTTTTATTCATAGACAAATAGGATATTAGAGCTGGAAGAACCTCAAATATCTAGTCCTCCTTCTGTTTAGAAATGAGAAAATTAACCCCCAGAGAGAGTAACTTGAAGAAAGTCACACAGCTTATCAGCGGGAGGTCTAAAATCAAAACCCGGGTCTCAGGACGTCCAGCTTGGTGCTATTTGCAAAATATTATCCTAGGGTAGAAGCTAAACTAACTTTGAAATAATAGTAAACTTTGTGCCGTAAAATACACCACAAAGTTCTACCCCCAAGCTAGCCACTCATCAAAAAGTTTCTCTTATTTTAGACTATAATACAAGCCCTCGACAGTGACTAATTTGATTTATTTTCTGGATTAGCTACTATAGGTGCTTTTAAAAATGTTTTTCCACAGGCTTTCTCATGGAAACAGAGCTAAATATGAACACTCATTAATCTTTTTCCCAAATCTGCAGAGGAATTTTAATAGATCTACAAGCTGTAATATCGAACAGGTTCTCCTGCGTCCTGAATTCCTCTGTACCATTGGCCCATCCCTGAGATTGTGAACCCTACATAGAAATCTGGGAGTGGAAAAGCAGCTGAGAGTAGAGGGGCTGAGATTTTGGGGAAGAGGGTTGCTAGGCGCAGAGGGTAGTACCAGCTTCTCTGCACTCACCTCTGCTTTGTTCTGAGGTCCTCTCTACCTGGGTCCCAAGGCTATTTGATTAATCAAAACCCGCTGGGGAAGCTTGTTTTGTTGGCTTAAAAAGAATTTGTTCATGTATTTTAATTTTTTAACCTTTGATTATGGACATTTTCAAACATTCACAAAAGTAGACAGTACTACATAATGAATGCCATGTATTCTCACCCAACTTCAACAAACTACCAACATTTGTCCATATTTTCTCATTTATTCCTCCCCACTTTTTTGCCCACTTCTAAATTTTTAAAAGTAAATCCCAGTCATCATATCATTTTGTCCATAAGTTCATCAGTGTGTATATCTAACAGATATAGACTTAAAAAAGGGCTGGGCGCGGTGGCTCGTGCTTGTAACACCAGCACTTTGGGAGGCCGAGGTGGGCGGATCACCTGAGGTCAGGAGTTCGAGACCAGCCTGGCCAACATGGTAAAACCCCATCTCTACTAAAAACACCAAAATTAGCCAGGTGTGGTGTGGGTGCCTGTAATCCCAGCTACTCGGGAGGCTGAGGTAGGAGAATTGCTTGAACCTGGGAGGCAGAGGTTGCAGTGACCTGAGATCGCACCACTGCACTCCAGCCTGGGCAACAGAGCGAGATTTCATCTCATAAAGAAAATAGATAATCACAATGTCATTATCACACTTGACAAAGTTAGCAATAAATCTTTAATACATGTAACATTTAATTGGTGTTGTTCTTCCAAATTTTCTTTAAAACATATTTAAAAATTGGTTTGAATCAAAATCCAAACAAGATCCTAACATTGTATTCAGTTTGTTTTCTAACTCTCCTTAAATATTTTACTTTCTCCCCTCCCCTTTCACCTATTCCCATTTTTCTCTATGCCTTTGTTCAAAAATGGGTTATTTTGTCTCTTAGGATTTCCCTTATTCTGAGTTTGGGAGACTGTATCCTTAGTGAGTCAATTGATATGTTCCTCGATCCCTCACATTTTCTATCAACTGGTGGATCAAGATGCTTAGTTAGATTCAGGCTCAGTCTTCAGGCTTTAATACCTCATAGGAGGTAGGACATCCTATGTGCAGCTGTCTATCCCCCTTTTAGGGACAAGATTCATCAGTGGGCTCAGGTGTTGTCAGACTGCCCCACCGTTATAAGGTTTCTCTTCAACCTTTTACCTAATGTTTCAAAGAGGCTCTCATTCCTCCTGCATTTGTAAACTGGGATTCTATTACAAGGAGAGAATTTTGCCCATCCACTATCTGGTTTTCCTGAAAGAAAGTACAGGGAAGGCAAGATAGATGCCTTTTTTTCCCTTTCTAAAGTTTTATCTTCAATTCATTTTTTGGAATATCACTATTGTCTCCTGAATTTTTATTTCACATATTTGATATGTCGTAATCCACTGCACGCATTCTCTTTGCTGCTGAAATTGCCCCATTTTTGACCAACAGGAGTTCTCAAATTGGCTCTTGTGTCCTTTTGACACGACCCAAGTTTGGCAGCCTCCTTTCTTTCTGGCATGATAAGATGACCGAGTATCATGTCGTACACCGTCTGCTCTCGGTGTGTGCCTCCCTGGATTGGCTTGGCCGTTGTCTTTTGCTCAGTGCTGTTGAAGACCCACTGGGAAGGCCAGCTGGCACTGACCACAGCTACAGGGAGCTTTGGTTAAGAAAGCTCATTAAGTTTCATCACCCTCTTCGTGGTGGAGGCCAGTAGTTCTAGGACACTCCTACTTATCGGTCAGGCACATTGAAGCAGCTGCTTCCAGTCCTCTAAGTCACTCCTGGCATGATCCAAGCACCTCATTTCATGCCTCGGACTGTAGGCCTGTCCTCCCACCTGGAGTTTGTAGGTCATCACTAGAGCGCACCTGCTCACCTGGCTGCCTACATGCTGCAGGCTGCTGCCGGGGGGCCGTAATTTGCACCTGCACACTCGTGTGCTTGGCATACTGAGGCTCTATTAGTCAGGCTGCCCAAAGGGCCCCAGCAAGAGAAGCAGGAAGTGAGGCAAACTTTGACCAGTGGGGGAAGAGAGACAGGAAGGGGCTGGCCGATTATTTACCCTTCCTTCTTGCTAACATTGTTCCAGGACGCAATGATTTCATGTCACCTCTCAGATGATATCCCTGCTGACCTGGCAGCCAGCTGCGTTTTCTAGAAGAATTCCGGCTGGTCAGCGATGTACTCTTATATATTTGCTTCCCTTCTTCTTTGCCTCTTTTTTCTTTTATCCTCATTTTTGCTTCCCTGGGGTTACACCACACACACCCACACCCACACACACACACCCCTCAATAAAAAGTTAGCATGTAAGTTTTAAGTTTTAATGATAAATATATATTAACATTTCAATAAATAGCCACAACACATTTTCAGTTAAGAGCACACAAATACCTTCCTTAAAAACCCGTAAAATCATTATTGTTACAATAATTTCAGTTTGAAAGACATCAGCTGACAAAACAATGCTCTCCTAAGCTTTGCATTTTCATACCCAACACCTTGAACAGAAGAGTTATGGTGCACACTTTTGACAGAAAGCTTCCAAACCAGGGAATGCAATGCTCTTGGCACAGCTGCAAAGAAATCCTTTACATAATTCACTCTTAAATAAAACTCAGAATCCAGGGCTCAGCAGGGTAACTCTGTAACTGGTTTGCTCTCCTCTTAACAGATTCACCAAAGTTTATAGCACGTGCACAAATCAATTTATAGATAGTGTTATTATTTGATATGGCTTGGTTTGCTTTGTTTTTAGCATTGGTTATTTTTTTATACAATAAATTAATTGGACCGCAGCCGGCAGTGAGTGGCAAATCAAGAAAAGGAGGTTTGATTGTGGAAAGCAGTATGGCGATTTCTCAAAGAGCTAAAAAACAGAACTACTATTAGACCCAGCAATCCCATTACTGGGTATATACCGAAAGGAATATAAATCATTCTCCCGTAAAGATACATGCACGCGTATGTTCATTGTAGCGCTATTCACAATAGCAAAGACATGGAATCAACCTAAATGCTCACCAATAGCAGACTGGATAAAGAAAATGTGGTACACGCACACCATCAAATACAACGCAGCCATAGAAAAAGAACGTGATCGTGTCCTTTGTAGCAACATAGATGGAGCTGGAGACCATTGTCCTTAAACTAACACAGGAACAGAAAACCAAATATCGTATGTTCTCACATATAAGTGGGAGCTAAATGATGAGAATATATGGACACATAGAGGGGAACAACACCCACTGGGGCCTTTTAGTGAGTGGAGGGTGGGAGGAGGGAGGGGATCAGGAAAAATAACTAATGGGTACTAGTCTTGATACCTGGATGATGAAATAATCTGTACAACAAACCCCCATGACACAAGTTTAACTACATAACAAACCTGCACATGTACACCGCAACCTAAAATAAAAGTTAAGGAAAAAAAAAAAGGTTTGGGGGATTTTGGTTCCTTGGAATTGACAGTAACTATAGGAAGCCTTTGTAAAAATAAAGATTCTCTGCTTCATATTTGAGAAATTCAGATTTAGTAAGAGCTGAGATGGGGCCTGGACAATTGTACCTTTCTAAAGCTCTTCAGATTATTCTGTTGTACAATTGGGTTTTAGAAGCAGTTCTCATACCCTTGTCTTCCTCTTGAAGGGGAGGGAAGAAAGTGGATGAAGTTTTGAAATAATCACACCTACCTACCCCAGCTATTCTCTTTTCTTGGCTCCATTTTTTTAAAATGGAAGAAAAATTGGGCTTCATGTGTAAGCTCTCAAGTCTATTCAAGCATTTTTACAGAAATAATCAAATTTTCCATCCAATTAAGTGAATCTGCATTCAAAACAGAAGAAATCATGGGTACTGAATCCTTATTGTCACTACACAACTCAATGTCTGTGTCCGTGCTGGATATATAAGCCTAAGCTGCAGATGGTTTTGAATGCTTATTGCTATTGTTTTGTTTTTTAATCAGTGAGACTCTCAAAATCCCAGCATCACTCATCTGCCAACACCAAAAACTGCTGGAGCTAATAAGTTGTCACCAAAACATTACTAAAGGAAGCTACTTTGTTTAAAATATGTTTTGCTGTGCTATGAACAACTCCAACTATACAGAAAAGTATACGGAATGGTACACAGTATCATCTAGTTTTGTCAAATCATCTAGTTTTGTCAAATCTTGACATCTATTCCTCTTCTTCTAAGAAACAAAACATTATAGATAAGAAGCTTTGTTACCCACTCATCAATCTCATTCTTCTCACTCCCCTTGGAGACATAACCACTTTTCTGAATATAAATATATTAGATCAGGTGTGGTGACTCACACCTATAATCCCAGCACTTTGGGAGGCCAAGGCAGGAGAATCACTTGAGGCCAGGAGTTTGAGACCATTTTGGGCAACATAGCGAGACCTCGTCTCTACAAAAAAGAAATAATAAAATAAAAAATTAGGCACAGTGTCACATGCCTGTAGTCCCAGCTACTTGGGAGGCCTAGGCAGGAGAATCATTTGAGCCCAGGAGTTCGAGGCTGCGATGGTTGCTGCACTGCACGCCAGCCTGGGCCACAAGTAAGACCATGTCTCAAAAAATATATATATTATTCTTACATCTTAACAAGTTCACTACATATGTATCCATAAGTAATACAAAACGGTATTCGACATTTTGTAAAATTATGTTTTATTATACTGTATTTAGCCTTCTCCAGAAAGCTTTGGAATAAACATTATGTTTAATACTTACATATTTCGACACGTGTGGTCTTTGTTCACTCAATATAACTACCTTTTATCCCAGCATCTGAATATCCCACAATGCATTTAGTCATCTTTTCTAATGGACATTTATGTCATTTTCAAACATCACTGTTTAAGCAATGTTGCCGTGAACTCATATGCATTAGTCACCTGGTGCCAGAGTAATAAACAACCCTCAAGTCTCAGAGGCTTACAATGCAAAACATTTATTTTTCTCTCAATGAGATCACGGTTTGGAGATAAGTTCAACTCTAAAACTGGGGCATGAGGGACCGGATGCAGTGGCTCACACCTGGAATCTCAGCACTTTGGCAAGCTGAGGCGGGCAGACCACTTGAGGTCAGGAGTTCCAGACCAGCCTGGCCCCCATGGTGAAACCTGGTCTCTACTAAAAATACAAAAAAACTAGCTGGATATGGTGGTGGGTGCCTGTAATCCCAGCTACTCGGGAGGCTGAGGCAGAAGAATTGCTTGAACTTTGGAGGCAGAGGTTGCAGTGAACCAAGATTGTGCCATTGCACTCCAGCCTGGGTGACAGAGCATGACTTCATAAAAATAAAATAAATAAAACTGGGGCATGAGGGAACAGAGAAAAGGAAAAGAAAAACAGGAAATTTCCATAGCCTAAGAATTATATATTCCCTTTCCTGCTCTTCAAGCTGGACTAGAGTATTCTTCTGGAGCTCTCTGTCCTTACTCCGGAGCTGGCCAGGGAGAGTGAAAGAAGGAAAAAAAAAAAGTAAACTCACTACCAGTTAAATGCTACTTGAATTCTGATCTTCTGTGTTCTGCCTCCTACTATTTACTTTCCAGGATCCTCAAATAGCTGCTGCATGCATTCTGTCTTAGTTTTACGGCTGCTGTTCAGTGGGAGAGACATCGAGTAGAGTGTACGTGCTCCATATTATTTGGAACCAGAATCTGCTTTCTAAATTTTAAAAAGTTATCTTGTGAATTGCATTGTTGCATGGTAAATGCACCTGACAGCAATAACTTAACACACCTGAGAATGACCCTGTATGGCAGACACACCTGAATGTGTGTGTGGCGCTCTGAAGTAAGGAATCCCAAAGTGCTGAACTCCGAAATTCATTCCTTATCTATGAGGAACATCTGAGCCCCAGCGCATCCCATGGAACATGGGCTTTATGAAGGGATTGAGGCCTTTTGGGTTAAATGAGGATTGCCACATGGGGGTTGCAGGGGAAGGGTGCTAAGTGAAGGTGCTAAATAAACTACACGCTTCCTGCACGCATATAAACCACACGCTTCCTGCACGCATATACACCACACGCTTCCTGCGCGCATATACACCACACGCTTCCTGCGCGCATATAAACCACACGCTTCCTGCGCGCATATAAACCACACGCTTCCTTCAGTGGCAGCAGTTCTCCCATCCGCCTGCCATCACTGCACTGCCCTGTATGTAAGCCCCCTTCGATCAACCCCATATTTCATTTGCTGGCTCTGGGTCTCTTCCTCGGCCTCTCAAACCTGGTGCCATCCTGTTGGAGTTAATAAGGGTCCAGCAAGACAATTATATAAGGAAAATAGTCAATATTCTATTAATAGTTTGATATTTTTTGAGGCTTGTTTTGTAGCCTACTAAACATCAATTATTGTGGGGGTTTATTTGTGCTTGTTTAGAAAACAAATGCTCATTACCATCTCTTCCTCTCATTTGCTTTTATAATAACACCACAGCTCGTTTCACTGGTGTGCTAGAACCAGCAACCACCAGCTCATCGCTGCGACTGTGGAAAACACTCTTCCCAGCTCCGCATGCGGATGTTACGTTGATAGTCTCAGGTCGGCCGTGGTGGGAATAGCTGCACCACAGTTATGAGAGCTCTCCCTTCCGATTCCCTTCCCCTACCCCCACTCCAGAGCTGGTTGTTAAGCATTTCTCAGCACACCTTACACCTTTTCGCTTCCACAAATACATCGTCTTCTTCTACCTCAACCAAGTCATAAAAACTTCCCCATAATTATATGTTTAAAATGATAGTTTAGAATACTAGACTTGGTAGGACTCGAATAGTGGTATTTCGAAGCCTGGTCTCTGAACCAGCAGCATCAGCAATCCCCGGCAACTCGTGAGAAGTGCAGATTGTGAGGCCCCAATCAAGTCCTCCCAATTCTGAAAATCTGAGTGGGTGGGAAGAACCAGCAACCTGTGTTTCAACAACCCCTTGGGTGGTTCTGATGTCTGATGAAGTCCAAAAACCACAAGCAGAGAAAAATAAAGAATTAACAGTAATAAACATTGTAAGATCAGTAGTAAAGTGAGAACGTATATGTGCTCCTGAATGTCCTGAAGGTGGAAAAGTGAATAGATATTTATTAAACAATGGGATTCTTTTTACACTGCAGAGGGTTACATTATAAAGTATTTGCAATTGCATAAACTATGAAACATGAAGAAACCAAGAGATACTATACTACTTATTGACATCTTAATAAATAATTCTGATTGATGTGATGATAGCTGAGTGTACTACTATTAATTTATAGGAAGATTCTACTTTGATTTATGTTTTTGTCTTATTACTACTGACCTTTGCGTGATCCCATTTTGTGACAAAGTTCTTTGGATCAGAGTACTACAATATTGGTCTCTAAATGAACACTTCTCCCGAGTTCATTTTCTGGCTAATTTGCATCCAAATGGCCCTATCTGAAACACTGATAACAGGGATAAGATAGTTGAAAGACCCAAATCTATGGAAGAAAGCTTATTAGAGTTCAGCTTGAAGAGTTGTATTATGCCAGGAGATCAAATTTCCTATATAACAATTATCTAATCTATGCCTTTTAAAGATATAAAGAAGACTTTTAGGTTATTGCTCAAATAGAATTTGAATACGTTTTACAACAGTCAATAGGTAACAAATACATAAAGGATGGAGAAAGTTGGAACCTATGTTGGAGTAATTGCTGTGTCTCAGACTTTATTAGGTGCTTACATATGTTCAGTCAATACGAGCCTATTAGGTAACTATTATTATGTACATTTTTAGATAAGAAAACTGGGGCTCGGAACTGTTAAGTAACTTGTCCCAAGTCCCAAGTGGCAGTCTGACTTCGGTGTGTCTGATGGCAAAGCCCACGTTCTAGCCCTGTCATTTGTATTCTTCAGCAAAACAATCTTTCCATGAAGTTTCCACGAATAATTCCCAGGTAGATGCATTAAAAAGGGAGTCTTGGCACATGAAAAATGCAATATGAACCTAGCCAAGCAAGAGTCAGATCTGAGCCTAAAATAAAACTGGAAGGTAATTTCATAAAATGCATAAAAACATTCACCATAGATTATTCGGGTTTTTTTTTAAGCGGGTATTTCAGATTAGCTTTCTATATTTGGCTATGTAATCGTGTCCAAAAATGAATCAGTGCAGCATGCCAAGATAATGATCACAGTGACACAATTAGTTGTGGAACTGCTGCTTAATGAACATAGCAAGTATTCATGGCCACTCTCCTGGATCCCGCGCCTGCCTTGTTCCTTTTCCAGAAGCGTCTGGATCACAGTCACCGTGTCCCGTGTGCACAGCCTGGGCGGAGCAGCACATGAGAGGGTGATGCTCAGTGGTCTAAGCACCGTGATGTTTACACCACTACTCTTGCTTCCTGTTGAATATTCCCATAGCTAATTGTGAAAATACTGAAGTTTGTGAAAATACTGAAGTTTTACAGAATAAACATTTGGAATATATTGCAATAGCAAACACAGATGGCCCGCATAGTGGAATTCAAAAACTTCTCATCCTTTTCAGAAGAACATTAAGCTTCAAAAAAAAGAATCCTGAAGATTTTCAGAAATGGATTCACTTGACTTGGCAGACTAAAGTCTACCAAAAAGTTATCCCTCTTAATACAATCACTATATTTAAAACACACACTAAAATAAAACCACTATTCAAAAATAACTATCCAACAGGAAATATCTGGACATAAAGGGAATCGAGAATGTTCCCACAGCTAAACCTTTTCAAAACACATATACACAATCAAAAGGCATATTGGATACGTTTTTACCTAAATAGGATATCTTGTAATTAGAACATTTCCAGAAAATGGGTGCCTCTTAAATATATTTATACAACCTTTATCTCAGTCTCTTAAATGTACAGCATAACCTCAACATTGCCTCTTCACAATAGAAATAAATAGACCAGAGATGACACACATACTTTCAAAAAAGAAAAACAAAAAACCAAAAAATAAACAGAGGTAGTCCAGTTATTTAGGCTTCTGCAGTCAAAGTACTCAACTCATTTCCAGAACCTTTCATTTCACATCCAAGCAATATGATATCAGAGAGCCACTGCCAAATGAAGCACAGGTAAATGCATTTTATGGCTATTTAATCAAAATGCGCTTTACTTCAGAGAGGCATTAAGAGACACGATTAAGGAGGCTTTCCAAAAAAAAAAAAAAATCAAGAAATGTTAAGAGTGAAGAAACAGTAACTTTTATTAAACTAAAGATTCAGCAATGAGGTTTTGATGGGCTTATCCACACAGGTGCCCTGCCCATATAGGACACATTAAATACTGACCCCGGGCCGGGTTTGGTGGCTCACAACTGTAATCCCAGCACTTTGGGAGGCCAAGGTGCAAAGGTTGCTTGAGTCCAGGAGTTTGAGACCAGCCTGGGCAACATGGCAAAACCCTGCCTCTACAAAAAATACAAAAACTAGCCAGGGGTAGTGATGCATGCCTACAGTACCAGCTACTTGGGATGCTGAAGTGGGAGGATGGCTTGAGCCCAGGAGGCAGAGGCTGCAGTGAGCTGAGATCATGCCACTGCATTCCAGCCTGGATGACAGAGAGAGACCCTGTCTCAAAAATAAATGAATAAATACTGAACCCCAAGAAGGCCTTCCTTCCTGGGAGCTAACTCCAGGGGATGGTGGCACCAGTCTTGGAATATTACGCTATCAATAATTTAGGGGGTCCTGAGAAAATAATTAAGGGGGTCCTATTTTTTCATGAGATCATTTGTAGCCATTATGTGAAATGCACAGGACTTTAGGGAACTGTTGCTAGAGCTCTTATAACATCTCCCAAAGGTGGTGATATTATCCGCTTACACTGTAGGTTTATCATCTCTCTGCAAAGCACTGAAAGCTAGTAGGAGTACCAAAACCTCCTAAGACATCCCATTACATGGAAAATCCTCTTGGAAGATACAAAGCGTGTCGCTCCTGACTATCACAGTTCTAGGTGTTTGGTAATAACTCATCCACAAAACGAACGTAGTGAATGCTTATCCCCTCAATAAGCTACCAAGCGATTTCCTGAACTCAAGGTACTAGACCCTGGGCTACCTTTGCTCTGTTATTGTGACTAGAGTAATTATCACAATCATTTTAGGGATTTTCCCCCCTCATTGTCAAATGTGGGGAGGGTATGGGCTATAGAATTAGATGATGGGCCGGGCGCGGTGGCTCATGCCTGTAATCCCAGCACTTTTGGAGGCCAAGGCAAGTGGTTTACCTGAGGTCAGGGGTCGAGGGAGGTGTATTACCTGAGGTCAGGAGTTCAAGACCAGCCTGACCAACATGGCAAAACCCTGTCTCTACTAAAAATACAAAAATTAGCCAGGCATGGTGGCGCGTGCCTGTAATCTCAGCTACTCTGGAGGCTGAGGCAGGAGAAGCGCTTGAACCCGGGAGGCGGAGGTTGCAGTGAGCTGACATTGCGCCATTGCACTCCAGCCTGGGCAACAAGAATAAAACTCTGTCTAAAAAAAAAAAAAAAAAAAAAAAAGAAGAATTAGATGATGATCTCATTAACACGACTCTCTTCCACAGGATCCCTCAATTCATTAATCTCCAAAAAAGTAATCTGTTTAGAAGATTGTTGAAACAGCCTTGAGTCACTTAAGATGATGGCATAATGATCCCCTGAGACTCGCCCCCATATGAAATCCTTCCACAAGAAGTATGTTTTCCCTAGTCTTTAAGCTTCCCTCCTCACTTCTTCCACGTCTGCAGTATTAAATTCTATAAAGATCAGTCATCCAACTCAGACGGTGCTACTCCTAGCATAAGATCAGAAAATGGGACAAGTACTCAGGGTTTATGTTGCTGTCTCTGGTGCCATCGCCTCACCCTCGACTCTCAATCTTGAGTGTGGGCTGCTAAACCAAAGGCAGGGATGGCAGGGCCTAATACCTTTCGCTTGCCTCTACCTTCCGCCCTTCTGCAGTCTGCTAAGGGGGTCGAGCCGCTCCTATCAATGCACCTCCTGCTCTTCCTTGCTTCAGTGGGAGCCCAGATGGGAGATGCAGGGAGGGAGGCTAGTGAAGACATGGTATTTGTTCCCTGGCAAGCTACGTGGGGATGGCTGTGTCCTTCAGTGGCACATGGCTGCTTTCTCAAGGTGGCGCAATCTGACTTTTTCTTCCTGGGTTCTAGGAACGCCTCCCTTCCCTTGTCCCTTCAGGCTGTGTTAAATGTTCAGCTGCTACTAGCATCAAGCTGCTGCCTATTCCTCCCCATTCCCCTCTGCTAATGGTTCTGACACTGTAGCACTTATCGTCAGCACCCGAAGGGCTTATTAAAGCAGGTGGCTGGCCCCAACCCCAACGTGTGGGATTCACTAGGTCTTGGGTGGGGCCCAGACATTGGCATTTCTCACAAGTCTGAGGCCACCTTTGAAAACTGCTGCTGCTTTATAGACACCTTTGTTTACAAGGAATATAGGCAGAGAGTGGATGGCAACTGCTGCCAAGAAACCACTCCCACAATTGCCAACAGCTGGTTTGGGAGAGATAATTAATAGGCCTGCTTGTATCAGTTAGGGTCCCAACTGCAAACAGATGGTGCACTTCAAATAGGATAACTCCCTACAGCCAGTCAGTGAATGTGCAAACCTCTCAAGGCCCTGAGGTTTTGTACTGAAGACCTAAGCACACAGGTAAGAAATTGAACTCTGCCCGTCTTCACTCATTGAAAATAGCTAACACAGTCAGGTGACCAGGCGACATGGATCTGCAGGCTGGCTAAAAGGCCTAAGCAGGTATTCCAGCTGTACCCTCTGCAACTTCTGTTTTTTTCTCCAAAAGCACTTGATGGCCTTTTCCTCTTCATTGCACTAATTCATCTTTACTCAAAGCATGACTCTTGTGATTTTAAGCATCTAGAAAAGCTTTTTTGTGATGGATAAAACTTTTATCTTACCAGCTGATGTATAGCCCATTTCTCTATTACTCACGATAACAGCTCTTCTCACTTCCACACATGTGCAGAGCATTTTCCATTTCTAGGCTGGAGGTTATATCCATTCTTGCTACTCTGTTTCTTCATATACTTGTCAAAAGAGTGTTAAACTGACACACTGATAGCTTTCAGGTTACAGATGGTCTCGATGTGGCCCTGTCCAATTTTCCAGCATTCTCCTTTTATTTATTTTTATCTTATTTATTTATTTATTTATTTATTTATTTATTTATTTATTTTTTGAGACGGAGTCTCGCTCTGTCCAGCCCAGACTGGAGTGCAGTGGAGCGATCTCAGCTCACCACAGTCTCCATCTTCCGGGTTTAAGTGATTCTCCGGCCTCAGCCTCCCAAGTAGCTGGGATTACAGACGCCCGCCACCATGTCCGGGTAATTTTTTTGTATCTTTAGTAGAGACAGGGTTTCACCATGTTGGTCAGGCTGGTCTCGAATGCCTGACCTCAGGTAATCCACCTGCCTTGGCCTTCCAAATTGTTGGGATTACAGGCATGAGCCACTGCGTCTGGCCTTGTTTTGTTTTGATGTTAGATATTTTAATAGTGACAAATATTTTAAATAACATATAAAATATTTTTAAGTTATGTACAAAATAAATACCAGCTACTAGAAACCCATTTCCCATCTCAGGACTAGAATATACCCCCTTCCTGCGTATCTCTCCTCATCCTTTTAAAAAACGATTATGGGGCTGGGCGCACACCTGTAATCCCAGCACTTTGGGAGGCCAAGTTGGGGGATCACCCGAGGTCGGGAGTTGGAGACCAGCCTGACTAACAAGGAGAAACCCTGTCTGTAATAAAAATACAAAAAAAAAAAAAAACTAGCTGGGCATGTTGGCGCATGCCTGTAATCCCAGCTACTGGGGAGGCTGAGGCAGGAGAATTGCTTGAATCTGGGAGGCAGAGGTTGCGGTGAGCCAAGATCATGCCGTTGCACTCCAGCCTGGGCAACAAGAGTGAAACTCTGTCTCAAAAAAAAAAAAAAAAAAAAAAAAAGCAAATATGCTATCTCTTCTGTATATTTCCCTAAGCAACATATTGTTTAGTTTTGCTGGTTTGGGCACATTTTCTGCAATTTGTATTTTCCACTCCCTCATAGTTCTAAGAATTATTCATATTGTTACATGTAACAACAGCACGTTCATTTTCCCTGTGTAAAGTTCATAATGGGAATATGGTATAAATTATTTATTCATTCTGTTGCTAGATACTTGAGTGTTTTCCAGTTTTTGTTATTATCAACAATGCTGCTGTGAATTTTCTTAAAGATATTTCCTGGTGTACACGTTTTAGAGTTTATCTTGGGTCTCCTAAAACTAGTAGTAGAATTGCTAAATTATAAGATACATGCATCTTTATGTTATATTACCATCTTTATAAGGTAATATCAAATTGTTTTCCAAAGTAATTGCACCAACTTCCAGTCCTACCAGTATTGTATGAGCTCCTGTTGACCCATGCCCTCACCACCTGTGATATGACATCTTGATTTTTTTGCCAGTATAGTTTTTGTAAGAGGATATTACATTTCTCTAATAGCTAGTGAAATTAATTATCTCAGCCAGTCATGGTGGCTCACACCTGTAGTCCCAGCACTTTGGGAGGCTGAGGCAGATGGGTTGCTTGAGCTGAGGAGTTTGAAACCAGCCTGGGCAACATAGTAAAAAGCCATCTCTACAAAAAATATTAGAATTAGCCAGGCGTGGTGGCATGCACGTATAGTCCCAGCTACTCAGAGGCTGAGGCGGAAGGATCACTCGACCCTGGGGAGCTGGAGGAGCTGCAAGTGAGTTGTGATTGGGCCGCTGCACTCCAGCCTGGGTGATAGGGCGAGACCCTGTCTTGAAAATAAATGATTTATTCTTAGACACTATATTAGTTTCTCAGGGCTGCCATAACAAATGACCACAAGCTGGGTGGCTTAATAATAACAAAAATTTATTCTCTCACAGTTCTGGAGGCTAGAAATCCAAAATCAAGGTGTTGGCGGGGCTGTGCTTCCTCTGAAGGCTCTCAGAAGAATCCTTGCTTGCATCTCCACCTCTTGCTGGCTCCAGACGCTCCTTGGCTTGTGACTGCATACCTCAGTCTCTGCCTCTGCCTGCAGGTGGCCTTCTCCTCCATGTGTCTCTCCCCGGGATGGCTCTTCTAAGGATGCTTGTCATTGGATTTAGGACCCACCCAAATAATCCAGGATGATCTCAAGATTCTTAATTACATCCGCAGAGACCCTGTTTCCACAAAAGGATTCACAGGTTCTGGGGATTAGGACATGTCCCTATGGTAGTCCCCACTCAACCCACTGCATGTACAATCCCTATTCATATTTCCTCTTCCTGAAATATAGGTTCATGATTTTTTTCCATTTTTCTATCTAATCTCTGCCTGTTTTTCTTTTCTTTTTTTTTTCTTTTTTTGAGATGAAATCTCTATCGCCCAGGAAGGAGTACAGTGGCACGATCTCGGCTCACTGCAATCTCTGCCTCCCAGGTTCAAGTGATTCTCCTGCCTCAACCTCCCCAGTAGCTGGGATTACAGGCACATGCCACCACGCCCAGCTAATTTTTGCATTTTTAGTAGAGACGGGGTTTCACCATGTCGTCCAGGCTGATCTCGAACTCCTGACCTCAGGTGGTCCGCAGTATTCATACAATAATATAGTATTGCTTGAATAATACAGTATTGTATGAATATTCTCCCAGTCTGTATATTTTCACATTTTAATAGAGGTTCTTAATTTTTATGTAATTGAATTTGTTAATCTTTTCTTTCATTTTAAAAACACTTTGTGTTTTACACAGTAAATCCTTCCATAGTCCCAAATACATTATTTTCTTATATTTTCTTCCAAATCATTTGACAATTGGCCTTACAGCTTTACATTTTAATTCATCAAGAAAATGTTTATGTTTATAGTGTGCAGTAAGGATGCAATTTTTCTTTTTTACGTGAGTGGAGATAACCGATGCCCCTCATCCCGCCCTGATGAATGTCTAGAGCAGCTGTGGTTACCTTGTAATAATGTGACTGCAAGCTTGAGAATAAAGGCATGACTTGACATG
Organism: Homo sapiens; assembly: GCF_000001405.40. Lineage (NCBI taxonomy): Eukaryota > Metazoa > Chordata > Mammalia > Primates > Hominidae > Homo > Homo sapiens. The sequence goes on along the minus strand of NC_000004.12, from coordinate 186,736,651 downwards.
ACTGAGGGATGGGATGCCGTCAACACTGAAGTGACCATTAGCTTTATTACAAAGCACAACTCAACATATATCATTGTATTCCCAGCACTTTGAGAGGCTGAGGCTGGCGGATCACCTGAGGTCAGGAGTTCAAGTCCAACCTGGCCAACATGGTGAAACCCCGTCTCTACTACAAATACAAAAATTAGCTGGGCATGGTGGTGGGTGCCTGTAATACCAGCTACTCAGGAGGCTGAGGCAGGAGAATTGCTTGAACCCAGGAAGTGAAGTTTGCAGTGAGCCAAGATCACAACACTGCACTCCAGCCTCCTGGGTGACAGAGCGACACTCCGTCTCAAAAAAAAAAAAAAAAAAAAAAAAAAAAAAAAAAAAAACCAACTAAAAAGAATAAGCAAATCTAGATCAACCTCCCTACTCTGATAACAGCATGAAATACGTGCTATCCTATAAGCTCTAATACAATTTTGCATACACTGAAGTCTATCTCTAGTCAAGTTTAGCTATAACCACCAGTAACTTAGTGCCATTCAAGCTGTATTTTGTGTTGCATATTTGCCAGATGACATCATTGAATAAATAGAGTGTGGCCAACAAGCCCTCAGGTTTGAAGTCGTTCTCATCCACCAGGTGGATGAATCAGCAGTGCCCGGTGTGGTTAAGGAAACTGGGCACAGTTGCATTGCATGCCTCTTCAATTAATCATGCAAATTAGCCAGTTGGGTGAGACAGTCCACTGAATCCATAATTTCATGTCTGATAAATTGAACATGTACATACAAAGAGAAATCTGAGGTCTCAGAAAACCCAGTTTTACAAAATGCATAGTTCTTTTTTAAACCAGGAAGGAAATAATTGTTCAATGGAACTCAATCCATCACTTCTGGGCCTCATAAATAACACAAGTCTTCCTTTAGAAAAGTCACAATGGGGGAAGAAAACAGGCCCACAAGCTGTATGTGCTGTATTCTCACTGACCAGATTTTGCAAGTCATTTGTTGGCTTAGAAAGTCTCTAGACCTGCTCTGTCCAAAATGGTAGGCGTTAGCCTCATATAACTGTTTAAATTTAAATGAATTAAAATTAAATAAAATTAAAACTTCAGTTCCTCACTTTGCACTAGCCACCTGTCAGGTACTCAGTAGTGCCACCCAGGGCAGCATAGATAGAACATTCCCATCATCACATAGAGTCTTTGGATAGAACTATTCTATACATTTTCTTCCAGTCTATGCACAGGGTTCTAACATTCGTGGTAGTCCTTAATGGTTTACCAAGTGTTTTCTCATCCTCATAACATTATTGGTAGAAAGCCAATAATATTTTATTAATAGCCAATAATAATTTATTCCAAATTTCTTTATCAATTGCTGAGTAGCAGATTCCCTCAAAACATAGCAATTTAAACAACAAACATTTGTTAACTCCCATCATTTCTGATGGTCAGGGGTCTGGGTGTGGTCGGCTGGGTGATGTGGCTCAGGGGCCCTCATGAGGGCACAAGTCAAGATGTCTGCTGGGGCTGCAGTCATCTGAAGGTACAGCTAGGGCTGGGGACCCACTTTCTAGCTCACTCATGTGGCTGTTAGAAGAAGCCTTCCATTCCTCATCACGTGGGCTTCTGGCTTTCCCCAGAGTGAATAACAGGAGAGACTATGAGAGCGAGAGCGAGAGAGAGCCAGGAGAGACCTCGGTGTCTTTTATAGTTGCTGAGGGTTGAATGTGTCCCCCAGAGCTCAGGTGTTGAAAACATGATCCCCAAGGTGGCCGTGTTGGGAGGTGGGGCCTAGGGAGAGGTATTTGGGCATGGCGGCATCACCCTCATGAACAGATTAAGGCTATTATGGAGGGAGTGGGTTCCTTATAAAAACACAAGTTCAATCTCCTCTTGTTCTTTCTCTTGCCTTCTCTCACCCTCTCACCTTCCACCATGGAATGCTGATAAAGAGAAGGCCCTTGCCAGGTGCTGGGCCCTCAGTCTTGGACTTCTCAGCTTCCAAGGGCGTGAGCCAAGCAATTTCTGTTCATTGTAAATTACCCAGTCTGTGCTATTCTATTACAGCAGCACAAAATGGACTAAGACAATAACCTAATCTCAGAAGTGACATCCTGTCCTTTCTGTATTATTCTATTACACAGACCCTGGTGGATAAGAGATGGGGGAGATGACACCAAAGTGTGAGGATCAGGAGTTAGGATCCCTGAGGCTCAGCTTAGCGTCTTCGCTAATCACATTTTAGCTAATCCCCCATTGCCACTTAAGAAGCCAAGTAATTTGCGAAGTTTACACACAGCCCGTAAATGTCAGCCGCAGAACGCTCACCTCAATCCTGACTTTTAGCTCCGTTTCTCTACAGTACTCCACCTTTACCCATCTAGATACCACCCCAACCCCCTTAAACAATTTGGCTTCTAAGAAATCGATGACACAGATGAATAATGTTAACCTGCAAATGTTACAGCTAAGGTTCAAAAGGTCTCAGAAGCTTGATTAATAACAAATGTCCCTCTCCTTTCACTGCTTTTTCAGGACAAAATAATCATAAGACAGTAGGAAAAAAACAGAAAGAGCCTGCTACTGACAAAGATTTTCTCCTGAGCCAAACTTCAGTCGGGCTCTTGCAAGCCCCCCAGGCTGTGACCTTGGTGTCTGTCCTTGTTGCACCTGCACTGACCACTTGCAGCAAGAGTCCTGTGAGTCACTTTAACCAGAACTCCTCTCACTCGTGATGTATCGTTGTAGTTGTTTTCCATCCACAGACCCTCCCCACTTTGCTCCCTGGCTGTAAATCCCCAGTTCTCCTACTTGTGTTTGGAGTTGAGCCCAGTCTCTCTCCCCACCGTAAGACCCCACTGCAGTGCCTTACAGCTGTCTCAGTAGCACTGAACACATAGCCTGCCTTTCCAGCTTCACTCTACTCTGGAACAAATGTCTAGCAGAGGGAAAAAATCAGGGAAAGGTTGTTATTTGTTCTGGGTCTTTCATACACCTAACCACACAGGAGAGGCAATATTTCACAAATTGTTGCATAGAAAAGGATGGGGTGGGGCAGGGACAAACGATGTTCCTTCCTAAACATGCAAAACAACCAAACCCACTTAAAGAATCTTATCCTTAACTCGGCACGGTCTTTTTTATTTTTTTTGGTGGTGGGGGACGGAGTCTCGCTCTGTCGCCCAGGCTGGAGTGCAGTGGCGCGATCCCGGCTCACTGCAAGCTCCACCTCCCAGGTTCAAGCGATTCTCCTGCCTCAGCCTCTCGAGTAGCTGGGACTACAGGTGCAAGCCACCACGCCCAGCTAATTTTTTTTTTTTTTTTTTTTTTGTATTGTTAGTAGAGACGGGGTTTCACCGTGTTAGCTAGGATGGTCTTGGTCTCCTGACCTCGTGATCCACCCACCTCGGCCTCCCAAACTGCTGGGATTACAGGCGTGAGCCACCGCACCCGGCCAATATGGCAAAAGTCGTAATTTTTTTTGAATGATTCTGTTTCAAATAAAGGTCAAAGTGTGAACAAAGTAGGCCATATCACCAAATATAAGCTGACTTCACTTTTCGACTCGAAATTTGATATTGACAGTTACAGGTACAAAGAAATTCAAATTCCAAATGTTCATAGATTTGCTGACAGTCGGTGTTTCCAGCTGACTATTTATCCTCTGGTAAGTATTGGATATCTGAGTTTGGTTAATATTCACTTCCGGGAGTTCGTTTACACAATTGGAAAATATACTAGAAGGTTTTGGGTACTTGAGGAAAGAGCAGTGGGAGCAGAGAAAAATCTTCTGGTTGAACAAATAAAATTTCATGTTCTTATTTTGTCTGCCATTATGATAGAACAATAGTCTGCAAGACTGAATAGTTTTGCATCTGAAAACTTCTTTCTCACTGTTATGGACTGAATCTTTCTTCCATCTCCCCAGTTCATGTGTTGAAGCCCTAACCCTCAATGTGACTGTATTTGGAAACAGGGCCTTTAGGAAGGCAATTAAGGTTAACTGAGGCCATAAGGGTGGGGCCTTAATCCAACAGGACTTGTATCCTTGTAAGAGGAAGACACCAGAGCTTGCTCTCTCTGTAGGCACGGAGCAAGGCCATGTGAGGATACACAGAGAATGTGTCCACCTACAAAGCAGGAAAAGAGGCCACACCAGAAACGACACTGTGGGCACCTTGATCTTGGATTCCTAGCCCTCAGAAACATCAGAAAATACATTTCTATTATTTAAGCCACCCATTCGATGGCATTTTGTTATGGCAGCCCAAGCAGATTGGTATACTCACCATTAAGAGAAAGCTTCAAGAATCCTTCAATCTTATCATTGGAGTTAGGCCCAATTCCTGCTGACCAATGAGCTGAAGTACATCAATTTATTTTTTCTTTAAAATAATTCCTAGGATATTTTAAAAGGGACTGCTTAGCTGAAATACATGATGTCAACTGCAAGTAATGCTAATCCCAACACAACTCAGATTAAACAATATGGAAACCTATGCTCTCCCATTAAAAACAAAACAAAACAAACAAACAAAAAAAACACATCTTTAGTTTGCGTGGCCTACAGGGATGGTTCATTCAATGTCATCAAGGCCCTTCGTCTGCCTTCCTTGGTTTAGGCCTCATCCTCACTAATCAAGATAACTATTGTAGTCCCAACCATGACATCCTTATTTTTGTCTGCCATTATGATAGAACAATAGTCTGCAAGACTGAATCATTTTGTATCTAAAAACTTCTTTCTCAGATAATATCTCTTGTGATTCTTTCTTAGGAGGGAGGAATTTTTTTTCCAGAAACCTCCAAGAAACTTCCTTTAATATCTCACTGACTACCATTGATCAACATGCCCATGACAAGAAATAGAGAACTACCCTGATGGGTTTAGATAGATGATCTGTTAGAGAATGGATGCTGAGAAAATATCACCATACCTCATTAAAGTTTCTATATAAGATTAGCTTTTGTGACTAAAAAATTCTACCAGGAAAAGGGATGAGATTTAATAGTAAAGAAGTATAGATAGAGGGAATATTCCAAGGGTAAAATTACTTGTTGTCATATGTAAAACAGAAATGGAGAGAAAGGAGAATTGGAGAGAGAAAAAAACAAAACACTAGTGGTTCCAGTCCAGGAAAGAGAAAAGCAAGGTCTACATTGAAATGCTGATCATGAAATCATGTGACATAGTCCTTGTCAGAATTCATTGAGAATCATTGGTGTGTATTTTTCTGCTGTTCAGCCTAAACAAGTTAAAAGCCAGACTATAATTTTTGAATTGAAAAGCAATGTGTCTAACAGTATGCATATATATACATGAAAATATGTAATCCAAACAAGTAATGGATGTGTTTTATGTATGTATTCCTGAACACAATCACTGATGTTCTCACTCTGATTAAAGGACCTACTTTTACACAATTATTTATCCAAACTCGTAGCTGCTACAAGAGAGCATTTTCCTGCAGCTATTATTTGATAGTTTTTTGCTCCCCTCCTAGGCCAATTCTTAAACCACAACACTGCTGACCTTTAGTGTAAAACTGTCATGGTTCCTGAAGGGTGCAAATGAGGTGCAGGCTATGAGGAGCTAGTGCACTATAGCAGGCAAGAGTGTTTGCTCTGGAGGCAGCCAGCCTTAGGGTTCAGTCTGAAAGGTGACCCAGTGTGTTATTTAATCTACCTCAAACCTCAGTTTTCATCTGTAAAATCGGGGTAGGGCATTAATTGCTAATGCTTCCCAGGATTTTGTAAGAATGACATGAGATAATGCATATAAAGAAGGTGGAACCAAGTCCGGAGCATAACTGGCAGTAAATACATGTTACTGGCCATTGGTTCTACAGAGCTTCATAGCTGAGATAGGAGTGGCAGGGTGAGACACAGTAGGTAAATTTGAGGAGACTAATGATATTGTAGTTACAATTATTCTTTTTTTTTTTCAGATGGAGTTTCGCTCTGGTCGCCCAGGCTGGAGAGCAATGGCGCAATCTCAGCTCACTGCAACCTCTGCCTCCTGGGTTCAAGTGATTCTCCTGCCTCAGCTTCCTGAGTAGCTGGGATTATAGGCACACACCACCATGCCCAGCTAATTTTTGTGTTTTTAGTAGAGACGGGGTTTTGCCACGTTGGCCAGGCTGGTCTGGAACTCCTGACCTCAGGTGATCCACACGCCTCGGCCTCCCAAAGTGCTGGGATTACAGGTGCAAGCCACTGTGCTTGGCCACAATTATTCTTTACTGGTATCTCTCACAACCAGTGAGGGAGATTTTGTGTGTGTGTGTCCATTTTAGAGATCTATCTTTATAGAGGAAAGTGAGATTCCCAAAATTCAGTTATAACCAAATAAATTCAAACTATATATGTCAAAGACAAGATTCAAAACAGGTCAAAACAGGTCTTCTAACCTCAAGTGTAATGCTCTTTCTACTGCATACTTCTATTGAGAAAGTAGCTTCAATAGTAAGTTGCCAGATGACTTGTTGCCTACTGTTCAAAAGGTTAGAATCTTTCAATCACTGAGCTGGTAAAGCATCACAAAAATTATATTTATCTTGCAATATCTGTTCCCAAACCACCTGGGGATGTTTATCTTATATTTGAGGGACAGAATGTCTACGGCCACCCTACTCCACTATGGGTGTGTCTTTAAAATGAAAGTATACTTTGTACCTTTTTTTTTTAATGGTTAGCCATTAGTAGGTGATTTGTAATACCTCCAAATACTTTCCCAAGTGACTGGTTATGGCATCAGAAATTTCATGTTTTAACTATAGCTTTAAGAAAGCCCTTGCTATAAGGCACTGGGAAGGGTGGAAGGATATTATTATAACATACTCATACCCATAGTTAACCAGCACTGATTCCCATCAGATTGACTAGGTGTCTAATGTTCTTTTTTTTTGAGATGGAGTCTCGCTCTGTCACCAGGCTGGAGTGCAATGGCGCCATCTCAGCTCACTGCAACCTCTGCCTCCCGGGTTCAAGTGATTCTCCTGCCTCAGCCTCCCGAGTAGCTGGGATTACAGGCACCCGCCACCATGCCCAGCTAATTTTTGTATTTTTAGTAGAGACGGGGTTTCACCATATTAGCCAGGCTGGTATCAAACCCTTTCCCTCAGGTGATCCACCCGCCTCAGACTACCAAAGTGTTGGGATTACAGGCATGAGCCACCGTGCCCAGCCAGGTGTCTAATGTTCTAATGGCTCCCTCTGAGAGTACAAGCTGATTCCGGAGAAGAGCTGTATTTGAATGCAAAGGGTAAAATAATTCCAAGGTGCAGGGGAAGTGGAGAGGGCTGATATTTCCTCTCACCTCCAGGAAGGGGAGGCCGCAATGGGCACACAGGCAGATGAGAAAGCAGTGAAAGCAGCAGAGAGGGTGGGATGCCAGGAGTCAGTCAAGCCTACTTAGAAGTATTTGGTCCTAGGGCTATTCCAAAAAATGTCTCAGAATTGTTTCCTGCTTTAAATCTATGATTTCCCCTGGTTTTATGAGTCAGCAAAGACGGAAAACAACTAAAAGGCCATGTTAATATTTCTTAATCACTAAACACACCTACCTCATTAAATCTTGGGTCTTACATATTTTCACCCAGCATATTGTTGGTACTTGATAAATATTTGCTGAATGAATGAATCCTTCCATGATTCTGGGTCCTCCCTTATACTTCAGAGGTGACTCAGTATTGGACACACTGAAATTTTAATGCTTGATGTAGCCTTCCATAAAATAGCAGTGTTTTTAAAGGTCTAGACCAAGGTGTCCAGTGGAACTCTGTCATGACGAAAATGTTCTTTGATCTGCTGCGATCAATACAATTGTCACTAGCCACACATGGTCACTGAAACTCGGAATGCAGCTGGTGAGACTCAGGAAGTGCCTTTTAATTTAGTTTAACTGGAAGTAGCCACAGGGGGCAAGTGGCTGCCCACTACATTAGCACAGCTCTAGAGGTTCTGTTAAAAGTTTTCTGCCCATCTCACTTTGAAAACCAGCTATTTTGACTAATATCATCAATTGTTATTCATAAGTTCCTGTCATTTGTGATTTTTATCTTTTTTAAGTAATTTGGTTTATTTATTACAACTTTAAAGTGAGTATAGCAAACCAAATGGACTTCAGCGAGAAGCCTCTCGGGGTGAATTTATTGTGAATCATTTTGAGGACTTGCAATATGTGGTCAATTTCTAATTTCAACTATTGACACAAAAGGAGAGAGCCTGTGTAGTTGAAACAGGGAAGCAGGAGAAGTCCGCTGGGCACTGACAGACTGGCCTCTCAAGCCAGCCTCCTCCCTCCTTAGGAATCTGGCACCCTCTAGCTGCCCTCGGGGTCTGCAGGAGCTCTAAAATCCCTTCCTATATCCCTCCGTGTCCTAGCTCCCTGGATCCTCTCCTCCCTTCCAAATCAAAATGTACCTTGAGGGAGAGGCTTGGGCAGGAGGATCTCTTGAGCCCAGGAGACCTGACTTGAGTCTGGAGACCTGCCTGGCAGAATCTCCAATCAGTGGTGATGATGCTGATTTTATGGATTAAAAACTGAGACACTGCCAAGAAGTGAGGGAAGGGAGCGGGGGAGGGCAGGAAAACTAATATTGTTTAAGTACCTACTATGTGCGTGCTAGACACTTCATATGATGCTCAGTAAAAATGCTTTGCCTGCATGAATAACTGTTATCTCCCTGGCAAGTAGAGTGCAGTATGTTTTTTTTTTGAATGGATAAACACATGAATACATTTTTACCACATGAAGCAGATATTAGTCCCATATCACAGATGAGGACACTGACATTTAGACAAGTTATGACTTCAAGGCTAAACACACACAACATTCCAATCACCTAATCTTGTTCTCTCCTTACTGTTTAGCTCCCTGCCCAGTTTCCTCTGTGCTCAGAATTTTGCTCTTGACCTTTGTAAAAGAACGACCAGCTAAACTGATCAACATATTTATACCAACGGATGCAAATATGATAGAACCGCCCCCAGCCCCCTTTTGCAAGGATCTTGAATGTTAATGACAATCTTCTGGGGACAATGTCAACTCACAGAAATGGCTCCCTCGGAATTTCACGCTGTTCGGGGAGGTATTTTGGTACTTTAGTGGCATTAAAAATATATTCCACAGCAGATATTTTCCTGGAGGCTGGACACTTACATAAAGACGACGCATTCTTTATAAATTAAACCTCAACAGTGTTTGCATTTATCTAAATGGATATTATTTCGAGGAGGAGACAGTGATTTGCGTATTAGCCCCTATCACTAGGGATGACTTGTAAGACACATTAGGAACTGGCTCCTCCCCTATCCCTTCGCCCCCTCCTCTCAGAACCTTATAAGCTTCAGAGTACGGTCAAGACAAGAGGAGCATTGGGAAAGAATTTGAAAATAAAAATACAGCTCCGTGATTTTCAACACAAAGACCACGAAGAGCATAATAATAAGTCGTGAAAAAAAATTCACATCCAGAAGTTGGAGGGCCACAAAGTACAAGTCGTCCAGGCCAGTCTGCAGAGACTGTTCATGCTTCCGCCCAGCAAAAATCTGGCAGGCGACACATCGCGACGAATTTCGGCTGCAGAAGAGGAAGAGCATCACCTGCAGTCCGCGGCGTGGGAAACGCCGCCGGAGGGGCTCCGCGAGCCGGGGAAGTGCGCGCAGCGGGGCTCCAGGCGGCTCCAGGCGCTGAGTGCGAGGAACGCCCGCGCTCGCCGGCGCCCGGGAGACGCAGCCGAAGGAGGAGGGCGGGCGTTTCACCCGCGCCACAGCTGCGGCCGGCCAGAGAGACCGCAGAGGCCGGGACCCCCGCAGCCTCCACGGCCGCTGCTGCCACTGTCGGGGTGGCGCGCCCAGCCGGAGAATCCCGTCCGCGCCCGGGGCGGGGGGCGAGGCGGGGCGCTGACGTCACCTCCCCTCCCCCACCGCCTCCAAGGGGGAGGGAGTGGGGAAAGAGGCAGCGAGTCGCCGCAGCCGGCGGCCGCAACTCCTCAACTCGGCGGCTGGCTGCCTGGGCACGTCCTGACAAACTTGGCTGCTCCCGGGCCCTCGTTCCGGCCCCGCGCACTCTCTTTTCGCCTGCGTTTGGTGCTTAAGTTTGCCCTGGTCGGAAGCCTCCGGAGATGCGGCCGCCTGGGTCCCGGCGGCACGGACGTTGGCACTCTGGTTAGGGACATGCTGAAGATCCCGGGGAGGCAAAGTTGGTACTTCAAACCCGGCTCTTAACACATATCTACACCGCGAGGGGATCACGGAGCTGCCGAGGACTTTAGAGCCCAGGGCCGAGGACTCGGCTAGACTGGTGAGTTCTTTGTTCAAATCGTGCATGCCTTTTGGCATTTAAGTTTAAACGTTAATGAAATTACGTGGGGTGTGTGGCTCTAAGCGAGTGCGGGGAAGCGTGTGCGCCCTACGGGTTCTCGGCTCCAGGAGCTGCGCATCCCTCTGGCTTTGTGCGGATCGGCGATGAAAGATTCGTATGCATAGCTTTGGGAGTTCATAAAATACATATAGAGCACTGTTAAAAAGAACTTGAGAGGCGATGCTGTTTGTGCATTATTTTGAATGTAACTTATTATAGCAATGGTGCCTAGGGAGGGCGCATCGGGGCCGCGAGATTTGCAGGGGCGCAGCGCCCTCTAGTCCGGGCACCTGGCGAGGCGCGCTCCTTGCAGGGTTCTGTGCGGAGGCGAACCTGGACCTCCCCGGCGCTCGGCGACGTGGGCGCTTGCTCACCCCAGTCTTCACTGACCACCCACCCGGGCCCATTCTTTATATGAGTTACAAAAATCAGCTTGGGTGGACTGGATGTAGAGGCCGTGCTGGAGGAAAGCGTTTTGTTTCTGGAACCGTCTCCCCAACCCCCTCCCTAATTTCCACGAGCCTTTGGGGACAGGGTTAGGGAGGGTCGATTATTTAAAGGACAAATGTGGAACTTGAACCACATTTCTCTCTCTCATATAAAATAATTCGATTTGTGGTAGCTAATAGGCATGTCCATTTCGTTCTGTTGGCGCTTAAGGATCAGTAGAATCGTGGCAGAGTCCTAAGTCTGAAATCTCCATCCCTGGCTCTCGGCGGCTCCTGTGGCGACGAAGTGCAACTTCTTCCAGGCAGATAGATTTCTCAGGGAGCCTGGAAAATCGGGATTCCCAGACAGATGTAAAACATCTAGTAAGCCCTAGGAAGCGTTATTACTTATTAATTAATGGTAATCTTCTCCAGGAATTCTCTTGTGCCATTTAAAAAAAATCCCGTGATTTTACGTCAGGGAATGGTATCTTTGTACTTTTTTTACTGTTCTTCTTTTCCCCTTTTAGCATTACTCCCGCTTCCTCGCTCCCAGGAAACGGCTGGAGTTCCGGTGTGTTTGGGTTTTGCTGAGATTTACAATTCGGCAAGCGGCACAAGCCGGTTGGGCTTGGAGATCAGGTCACCCACTTTCGAGGTGTTCCATGTATGAAATTGACCTGTAAGCACTTGGAGCAATTATGGCCGGGACAAACACGTCTTTGGATGATGGAGTTTGCATTTGCTGGATGTGTGAATCTATGTGTATTCCAACTGGTGGGCAGGGAATATAGGGCTACGAATCGGCACACTCATCTTGCAGGCATTATTTTTCCTTCCCAGCCACAACCTGCTAGACACCTTTATTATTATTATTTTTTCCGGTCACCTCTAAGATGGCTTATAAGGTGACTGCGTTAACTTTGAACCCAGGAAATTCTCTTTCACACTTGACTGCCCTGCCGTTCCCCTCCCCGCCAAGCTCCCCTCACCAGTCCCAGGGAAATCGGATCTCTTTGTCTTCCCAGTGTTAAAATGCCTGAGTCCCACAAACTTTCCGAGATCAAGTCCGCCCTCTTGTCCGGGCTGCGTCCCAGCGCCTCCGGCCCTCCGGGCTTCGGCCGAGTCCGCCCTGCGCCGAGCCTGCGGCTGGAGCCCTGCCCGCACCGGGGATGGGCTCCGCGCCCGGGACGCTCAGGCTGGGCGCCCGGCGCGGGGAGTTCTCGGAGCGGGCTTCTCGGCGCTGGGGCTTCCCCTCTGCCTAGGAACTTGCAGTTGTCGGCCTGGGGTCACGCTTTGGGGCCCCTGGGGCCGACTCCCGGGCTAGGAAGCCCGCGGGACGCCGCGACTGCCTTTTGTCCCACAGGCCTGGGCGTCCGGGGTGTCAGCGGGGGAGGCCAGGCGCCCGCGGCGGGGAGGGCCTGGGGTCTAACTCGGCAGAAAAAGGTCGCGGGGGAAGCGTTTCCATTTTCTGGGGATTGAAGGAGGAAGTAGATTCCGACCTAGCTGCATTCCTTTGGAGACCTGAAGGACGACTTCAGCCCACCAAACCTTCGCGGACCCAGAGCCGCGCCATTCAAATGCAGATTCAGGGGCTCCCAGAAGGCTATGGAAAAGCTAAAGGGATGCCTCTGGGAAGCTTTCTCATTAGGCCCCAGCCTTTTTTTTTTTTTTTTTTTTTTAGCTAAGCTAACGTTTCCCTTTCTTGGCAGGGAGCTTTCCCCAATTCCTTGCACAGCGCCTGTGGCTGGCCGTAACTAACCTCGGCATCACAAGCCTCGCCCTGCCCCTCGGAGCCGCGCTAGACCCCGCTGGGCGCCTTCTCGTCTCCCAGCACGGACCTGGTGTTCGCAGGGACTGGGGCTCTTTGGGTCCGGGCGGGACTGCGTGGCCGAGCCCGCGGTCCCAGAGCCGGCAGCCGGGGAAAGTGGGCTCGAGTTTCCGCGCCCGAGAAATGAGCGCCGGCGCCGGCGGGCGGGGCCGGGGCGGAGGGATCTCCTGCGCTCGGGGAGCGTGAGGCGCCGGCGCCGAGCTGGGCGGCCGGGCGCGGGGAGAGGGCGCGGGAGCGGCTCGTGCGGCAGGTACCATGCGGACGCGCGAGCCCGGCGAGGGCCCCGGCAGGCCCGGTCCCTGCTCGGGGGCGCGCTGAGACGGCGGGTGAGCTCCACGAGAGCGCCGTCGCCACTTCGGGCCAACTTTGCGGTTAGTTCGCTGGGGCGCGGGCCGGCGGGCGGGGGCGAGAGCGTGCAGCGCGCTGCGGTGCGGACTCTGTGGGTGTCCGCCCGGTCCCCGGCTCGGGCTCCGGCGCTGCCGAAAACGGATGAGCGCGCGACTTCCCGGAGGGTGGAGTGACTCGGTCCTTCCCAGTTGGGAAATTCAGCACTGGCTAGGGGGGTCCCGGCGGCGGAGCGGGAAAAGGAGGCGACCGCGCGGGACCGATCCGGGGCCATTGCTGGGGTCCGATCCTTTCTGACACGCCGCCTTCCCTCCGGGAGCTCGCCGGGCTGCGCCGGCCTCGCGGTCTCCTGGGGCATCCCGCCGTCTGCGAAAGACCCGCTCGCTGAGCGGTGCACGCGGGAGGCCTGCGCGGGGCTGCCGGGTCCCTGGGTCTCTGGGTGTTTGCGCCCTGCAGGAGCGCTGCCCGGAGGTGCAGATGCAACCGGTGGACTGCGGAGTGAAGGGCTGCGAGGCTGCATTTCGGGGCTGAACATCTGCACAATGTGCGGTTTGTCAGTGTTTTCTGTCTTCTCTGGAGGAGGAACTTCTAAGATCTTTTTAAAAGAAAGAGTTTTTGGTCCTTCATTGCCTTTAAAAAAAAATGCTTTCTTTTAGAGAGCCAGCTTTCTGCTGTGTGTTAGATTTTTTTGTTCCCGCTGATGTGAATTGCAAGGCTTTGGAAACAAGGACGCAATTGTATGAGTTAGGAAAGTAAACTCATAAATATTTTCTATGCAGTTAAGTTTTTTTTTTTGTCTGAACTGTGGTTTCATTAAGTGGCTTTTGTTAAGCAATTCCCGGGTGCCTGATAGAGGCGATTTTTTAAAAGTGGATATTAACAGTGATTATTAGTATGAGAAAAGATTGAAAAGAAAATGACCTTCAGATATTCATTTCCTTTTCAAAAGCAGATTCTTAATGCTTCGTATATTCAGATACAGGTTTCGATAGTTTAAGAAGGTATCTGTGTGTGAGAACTAGGTAATGGTGATGTTTTTCACACTATTCTTAATGAGTTTGGTTATGCTGTCCAACACATCCAGTTGTTACAGGGACGTTTGAAAAGGTGTTTCTCCAGTTAATAGTTAATTGTGATATTTGTCTTTGTCTTTTTGTCTTAGGAAGACAGCTCTGATTCCACAGTTAGAATTATTCCTTTGTATTTAAGATGTAAAAATACTTAAAGCACTATGTAATTTTTTAAAACAACAATTGGTATAAGCCTTGAGTGATGCTAAACATGGCATTTAACAAGCTCAAGGTAAGGTTTGATTTGAATGAAGTTTGCATTTGTATAACCATTTTTTGAAAAATGAACACCTTAAATGAGCCAAATTCTTTGGCACTCTGGAAAGAAGTGTGGTTGTTAGAGGACTTTATAAAATCATTTCGGGCCACCTGTATATTCATTTGTCTCTTTTGAAGTATCCCCGTTGGGTTCTCATCATGTTAGTAGATCATTTAAATCCATGGTCCGGACAGGTGCCAACAGAAAAATGTTTAAAAATTATGGCCGGGCGTAGTGCCTCACGCCTGTAAACCCAGCCCTATGGGAGGTCGAGGCGGGCGGATCACCGGAGGTCGGGGGTCCGAGACCAACCTGACCAACATGGAGAAACCCCGTCTCTACTAAAAATACAAAATTAGCGGAGTGTGGTGGTGCATGCCTGTAATCCCAGCTACTTGGGAGGCTGAGGCAGGAGAATCGCTTCAACCCGGGAGGCGGAGGTTGTGGTAAGCCGAGATCGTGCCATTGCAATTCAGCCTGGGGAAAAAAAAGAAAAGAAAAAGAAGAGAAGAAAAATCTTTAAAAATTATGCACAAACTAATTCTGTTTTCATTCCCCTGATCATCCTCTACCTTTCCATTGCCTTTAGACTTTGCTTTGAGGTCCCTTTGAAGCAGTCGTTTCTTTGAATGTTAGAGGTGGATAGGATCTTAGAGATTATGTTTTAACACTTTACCCGCTTGCTTTCCACCCAAGTTTGGCTGATTTTACGTAGAATCAATCAGCCAAATCAAATTAGTACATTATTATTGCATTAGATTCTGTCTCAGTGGCATAATTTGTAGCCTAAAGGACCTGATTTAATAGCAGGGAGCCGTAAGGCTGGATGTGCTGTTTAATCTTTATGAGTGGGATTTGCGCTAGATAATTGTTCTTTTGACCAAATTATGTAGAAGTTGAAGCCAAACTCTATCTTTTGGTCTCACTTAATTGTTCAGTTTGCAAGTGCTTATTTATCCTTAGACACTGGAGAAGAGTTTTTGAAATGAGTGATATACATCAGTTAAGATCAGGAAGTTGCCATTTTCTCATACCTGAGGGGAACTTTTCATTTCAAAAATATATTCTGATGAGGAATCTGCATATTTCACTCTTTTAAGTTTTTTAAGTCATCTTTTACTGTAAGTCCCAGATTTAAATACATTGCCTGAATTCTTGCTTAATTCCAAGGGTTCATTATGTATGTGAAGATAAGTCTATAAAGTAAAAATAATAAAGGCTTCTATACACTGCTTAGGAAATATTAGTCATGATTTAATCTGTATCCTTCATAGAATATTAAGGTTAGAGCTTTGTGATAATCTGCAACACAGACACTGATCTGGCATTATCTATAGCCAATTTTGAGGCAGCGTAAGGTGGGTGGTGACCTCTTTCTGAGCTATTGGAAATGAGTCCTCTACAGAGCAGCCACCTGCAGTGTTGTTACCAGCCTCGTGGTTGTGCCTGGATTTTCTGTTAATTTGAGAAGGATGGATGTTTTATTTTCCTATGTTATCCCTCTCTATATCCCCTCCCCAACACAGTCCTGCCTCACATTTCTCACTCTTAACGCTTTATTCATCTGTCCATTTACCAATCCAACAATAGTGGACCTCCTCTGTGTCAAACATTGGGCCAGACACAACATCTAGTGCTGAACAAATCGTGTTTCCTGCCCTCAAGCAGCTCGTAGTCTGATAAGGGAGAGGACAAGTACACAGTCTCTTATAGACCAGTGTGATAAGAGATCCATTCAGGTCAAGGTGGTCCATAGCAGCACCTCAGTGAGCTGGGGGATCTGGGGCAGGTGGATTTAGGATAATGTGAGTTCTGAGGGAAGTGTGAATCAGAGGGGAACAATTCAAGCAGAGGAAATGATGTGTGCAAAGCAAGTTATAGAAAGCATAGTGTGGCTTGTGGTGTGATGAGTGGAGAGAAATTCTGAAGACCTCACCGTACCATGTTATCTTAGGAAAAGGATTGGCTTCTTTTTTTTGTCTAGGTAGAACATAGAGAATCTTGACTATGACTTAAATAATCTTATTAAAAAAGGGAGGATTGTTTTTATGAGGCAGAGGTTAAGGAGAGAGAAAAAGAAAGAAACGTTGAAGAGAAAGGTGAAAACAAATAAGCTGTATGTGAGGAGTGGAGGGCAGGAAACAAAGAAAATAGTAATGTTTGCATTATCTTTCGGAAGGGAAGAGGTCAAGATGTTACATTACTTTAGAGCCTTCACCACTAGGTGGTGTTATTGGCTCAAGACAGCTTGGTTACTGAACTTGTTGCAAGTCTGGGAAGTATGCCTTTTTGTTTTGAAATAAGAAGTAGTGTTGGGAAATTAGGAAATTAGTTAGAGGTTAGATTATCAAAGGTCTTTAATGCAAGGTTAAGAATCATATACTTAGCAGGCTAAGGGGAAATACTGAATATTTTCAAGCTAAAGAATAATATCACAAAGAAGTTTGAATAGGTTGACTGGGATTGGGGGCAGAAAGCAGGAATACCAAAAGACTGTAGGAATACTCTGCATGAACAAAATACCCATTCTAACTAGGTGGTAGCAGCAGAAATGCAAAGGGAACCATTTTGAGAAATTGAGAAAGAAATGTCAAGTTTGGATAACTTTTGAGAAATGAAGGTTTGAGAGCCAGGAGGCTGTAAAGATTTTAGTCCATCCTTCAATTTCTCGAATACATAGAGTCGAAAGGATTAAGCAAGTTCCTTGAATTCACACAGTTGATTAGTGACAAAGCTGGAGCTAGGTTCCACATTTGATGTTCTCCCAACCCCTTCCTTTTTGTTTGATTTGTTAGTTTGCAAACTTGGTTGATTTGGGAAGTGGTGAGATTGGAAAATAACTGGAAGAGCTGTTATTTTGCAATGGCGAAAGGGTGAAAAGTCTATATAGTTGTCCCTTGGTCTCTAAGGGAGGTTTGGGATTTTATACCCAAATCTGAGAATGCTCAAGTCCCTGATATAAAATGGGGTACTATTTATATTTTTACTGTTTTATTGTTTATTTTAAAGACGTTCTCAACCTGAGGTTGGTTGGATCCATGGATGCAGAACTCTTATATAGTGAAGGCCAATCGTATAACTTAGGTTTGATGGTATTTTAGGAGGAATGTTACGAGGTGTTTGAGAGAGGTTAGAGCTGAAATTGCAGATTTGGTGCACTGATCCTTCATGATTTGAGGCAGAGTAGATGAGATCTTTAAGGGTGGTAATAAATGCATGTGGAGGAAGAGTTGGAAGACAAGTTTGTAATGCCAGAGTTGTAGGTGAGTCAGTGTAGAGTATAAAAGAGTATGGAAGAGAATCAGGAGAATGTTGTCATTCATTTTTCATACCTGTGGATTGCCTCTTTGTTTTGGGGGACTCTGTGACCGAATGAAGGATCAGGAGTGTTGGGGAGGGGAGTGAGTGGTGTCAAAGGTGTCATGAAATCAAGGAGGATGAGCACTGAGAAAAGGTCATTGGTTTGACATTAGCTTGTGATGCGGGAACGGCTGTTCTGCCAGGGTGGACCTGCAGGATCTCTGTGGAGCAGCGTTTGGCGGAGAGGGAGTTCTAAGGAAGCCAGGGCGGTGCTGTGAAACTCCTTTTCTTGCGATCTTTGCCAGTATAAAAAAAGAGAAGAATAAGAGTGTTTGTTTGAAAGAAGCAAAGGTTTGAATGAAGTTTATTTTATTTTATTTTATTTTATTTTTTTGAGACGGAGTCTGGCTCTGTCGCCCAGGCTGGAGTGCAGTGGCGCAATCTCGGCTCACTGCAAGCTCCGCCTCCCGGGTTCAAGCGATTCTCCTGCTTCAGCCTCCTGAGTAGCTGGGACTACAGGTGCATGCCACCACGCCCGGCTAATTTTTGTATTTTTAGTAGAGACGGGGTTTCACCATGTTGGCCAGGATGGTCTCAATCTCTTGACCTCATGATCTGCCCACCTCAGCCTCCCAAAGTACTGGGATTACAGGCATGAGCCACCGTGTCTGGCCAAGCTTATTTTTTAAGTAGGAGAAGAACCTGTGTGTGTGTATGGATTCTGCACAAGGTGTCAGGAGTGGGAGGAGCTGTAGAAGAGGCAGGATTTTGTGGTATCAGAGTATCTTTATTTGCAGCTAGGGTGGGTGGCATCTCTTCTGAGGTGTAAGAAGAGAGAACAGGTGAAGAGAACATTTTAAGAGGAGGAGGGAAGATGGACTTTTCTCCCTGAAGATTTCCGTTTTCTTGCTGTACATGGAACATTCACTTTCCTGGTCTGTCATTTAGTGAAGGGTTGACCGAATCTAATTATACAGGGAGCCCAATTCAACGTATAAAATAAAGTCTTACTTACCAACTTGGGAGTGGAAGAAGTGGCCATTGTTGATTATTGGCTACTCTGCCAAGATGTCATTTAAATTACTTCTGTTTGTGGAGAAAAATACATTAGATGAGATGATCTCCATTCACAAGAGGTCAACAGTCCATTGAGCTTCTCCTTGGGCAAAGTTTGTCCTGGAATGTGGATGAGGAGAAAGTGGTTGGAGGATAAGGAATATATAGAGAGGGGAAAGAAGAGAATAGCACAGGAATGCCTCACCCTGCCAGAAATAGACACACAGCCGCTGCCTACCTGTCCTGTCTTGTCGTTCCCAGGAGCACAGAACAACTAGAACCCGTCATCTTCGTAATGCCAACAGACATGTTTTATAGGTTCATGTAGATAACTAGGTTTTATATAGAGGCTGTTTGAAAAATAGGACATCTGTTTATCTTTCTTAAGGGCAGGAACACTTCAGGAATCTATTTTGGATTGATTAAATCATGTACATGGTGAAGTTTTCTGAAAAAGCCAGATTGTAGTTCCACACTGTCATTGTCAGTAAAGACCATTCTCAGGGTTAAATTGGAACCGGTGGTTGATCATGTGAAGGCAATATTTAAAGTATGTCTTGCTAGAGTTACCAGATTATTGCAGCCCCAGTCAAAGATAACAACATATAAATGGAGTTAGCAGAAGTGATTAAATGACATATACCAAGCCTAAGGCTGCTGCTCAATTTCTAGGGTCACAGCTTCCTCCGTTCATGCTGAAAATCATATGAAGATGGGTTGAAAAGAATTAGTGTACACCCAGAAAATAAACAGGATCTACTCATTAGTATTTCAGTGTAAGGATGAAAGCTTTTAAAAGTACCGACATGGCTATGATAATTGAACTAGAAAAATAGAGAGTTTTTTTTTTCCTGTTGTAAATTTTATTTGGAATGTCTGAAATTTTAGAAATCATTCAACATTCTTTTTAATATACAGTATTTTTAAAAAGCCATTTACGCTGGGTGCGGTGGCTCATGCCTGTAATCCCAGCACTTTGGGAGGCTGAGGTGGGTGGATGACTTGCAGCCAGGAATTCGAGATTAGCCTGGCCGTCTCTACTAAAATACAAAAGTTAGCTGGTCATGGTGGTGCATGCCTGTATTCCTAGCTACTCAGGAGGCTGAGGCATGAGAATCGCTTGAACCCAGAAGGCAGAGGTTGCAGTGAGCCACGATTGCACCGCTGTGCTCCAGTCTAGGTGACAGAACAAGACTGTCTCCAAAACAAACAAACAAACAAAAAAACTCGTTTACAATTCATAATCTCTTGACAACTTCATGATCCTGCTTTGAAAATGTGTTTGCCGGCCAGGCCCAGTGGCTCACAACTGTAATCCCAACATTTTGGGAGGTCCAGGCAGGTCGATCAGTTGAGCTCAGGAGTTCGAGACCAGCCTGGGCAACATGGTGAAACCCCATCTCTACAAAAATACAAAAAATTAGCTGGGCATGGTGGTACGCCCAGGTACCCCGGAGGCGGAGGCGGGAGGATCACTTGAGCCTGGAAGGTTGGTGCTGCAGTGAGCTATGATGGTGCCACTGCTCTCCAGCCTGGGAGATAGAGCAAGACCCTGTCTCGGGGGAAGAAAGATGCTTGCAATTTAGAGATCTCTTAAAAATACTTTAAAAATGTGACACTGAACTGAACTCGAAATTCCAAATTTTAATCATGAGTTAAATTCTACTGACGCTTTCACTATGTTGATAGAAAATGAGAGTGGAGAAGAGCACAGTGAGGGAGAACACAGAGTTCTCAACTTAATAATTTTGTGTTTTTATCATAACATGTGAAATGAAAAGTTTAATAATGTCCTGTTCCATAAAGGCTAGAATGACTACTTGTGCTTGTAAGAATTGTGACCGCTCAGTAATAAATATGCGGCGTTTAACAGAATTGGTGCATTGTGTGATGCTGTGTCTCACCTAATGTCCTGTCTCTGTGGCGTGTGAAACCCTTCGAAGACTTGAGCTTGAGGTCATCTAAACACTTGAATATATGCAGTTAGGTTTTCAGCACAGGGGCTGTGTTCTGTTTTGTGAAGAATGTGCAGTCACAGTAATTGATGGAAGCATTTTACATGAAGGTCTCCCTAATGAAGAAATATGAAGATATTAATATCTGATTTTTACTGCAAAAGTTATTTTTCTGCCGTATTTATAGATTTTCAGAGATCTATGCTAAAGATATTTAAGCTTTAGACTGGGAGCCCTTCTCCTTCAAGGCTAGACTAAGTAAACACTCTTTGTTTTGGCTTCGGAAAATGCATTTTAGAAATCCCAAATTGCAGTGAGTTTAAGTAGTGTGATCACCTTCTAAATATCAAAGTATAGCCCTTGGCTCAGATGGTCTTTGGAGTTTAATTTCCATAAGCAAAGGAGTCTAGGCGATAAGGTCCTTTTTAGATGAAATGGTGTTGGAGTCTCTCCCCGCTTCAGCTTTACTGTTTGTTTTGCATGAGAGCCACAGCCATTGTTTTGATCAGGGTGGTTTTTATAGTGAAACCTGAATTCGTGGTTCTTGGTTACATTACTGCACGGTTAACAATGTCTTCCAAAAAGTGTATTTTTTCATTTAATAATTTATTCTACTCACAGTAGCATTCTGTTAGCCAAGTTTGCAGAGTACATTCAGGTTTTTCAAAGATTTCAGTTAGGAATGTGGTCCACAAGTCCGTCCCAGCTGTATTGTGTCCCGTGAGAACTGCTGAGTAGGATGTGGAAGGTAATTGCATGTTTGGGAATCCAGTTGGGGATGAGTGGGTGGTGGTGGGGGCTGTGGTGGGACTGAGCACCTGGGACAGCATGGGGAGAGAACAGCCAAAGCAGTCTGACGTGTTGGCCATGGTCTGTGTGTCTTAGGGGATGGAACAGTGCCAGAGCCTTCTGGTGGGGGGATGGAGGGGGAAGCAGCGTGGCGCATCAGCAAGTACTTTTTTTTTTGTTTTTGAGACAGAGTCTTGCTCTGTCACCTAGGCTGGAGTGCAGTGGTGCGATCTCAGCTCAGTGCAACCTCCGTCTCCCTTGTTCACGCGATTCTCCTGCCTCTGCCTCCCAAGTAGCTGGGACTACAGGCGCACACCACCGCACCCAGCTACTTTTTGTATTTTTAGTAGAGACAGGGTTTCACCATGTTGGCCAGGATGGTCTCGGTCTCTTGACCTCGTGATCCGCCTGCCTCGGCCTCCCGAAGTGCTGGGATTACAGGCGTGAGCCACCGCGCCCAGCTGGATTAGTGAGTATTTATATTATATAGAACTCCAAGTTCTAATGTTAGGCTTCAGCTGTAGAAAAATCTTTATTTACTCACTGTTTCTTATCACACCACTATGCTGTGGTTCCCTTTCCTCCCTCAGTGGCCGACATCTCCCCTGTCAGGGCCTCCCGTTTGGACCCTTCAAATCTTGGGGTTCTGCTCTTGGATTTTTTTTTTCTTCTGCCTGCTCTCTTCCTTGGTGATCTCATTCAGTTCTGTGGTTTTAAATACCGTCTTTCATATTTAGACAACTCTCAAATTTCTATCTGCCGGCTGGAGTCTCCCACATATCTGCTGCCCACTCACAATCTTTACTTGGATAGCCCGTAGCTGTTCCCATCTTACCCTGTCCAAAACTGACCTCCCGATCTGCTCCCTGAGGCTGCTTCTCCTCCTGTCTCCCTCTCGGTTCCTGGCCCCCTTGTTCTCTACGCTGAGCAGTCTTTGGCATCTTCTCTGGTACTGTTCTCTCCTCCTTTCCCTCCCTCTCCCCACTCCAGCATCAGGCAACCTTGAAATAGATTCACAATCTGCCCCCCACCCCCGTTGTGCCCCAGCCCACACGCGCTCCACCTGTGTTGTGGCTGCAGCCTCTGACTGCTCTGGTCGCCCTCCAGCTTCTGCCCTGGCTGCCCACAGGTTTTTCCATTTTACTGAGACCGTGGCACTCCTCGGTTCAGAATCCGCTGGGGGACTTCTCATTTGATTCATACTAAACTCTAAAGTCCTAAAAATTGTCCTTTATCCATGAGTCCAGACGGATCTTGAGAAAAAAAAAGATTCAGGTTGGATGCAGTGGCTCACACCTGTAATCCTAGCAGTTCGGGAGGCCGAGTTGGGCAGATCGCTTGAGCCTGGGTGTTTGAGACCAGCCTGGGCAACGTGGTGAAACCCCGTCTCTATAAAAAATACAAACATGAGCCAGGCGTGCTGGTGGTTCCTGAGTATGTAAAATTCTGTCAGTCTAAATCTACAGACGCACCTATAGTCCCAGCTACTCAGGAGGCTGAGACGGGGGCCCGGAAAGCTCAAAGCTTCAGTGAGCCGTGATCGCGCCACTGCACTCCAGCCTGGGTGAGAGAGCGAGACTCTGTCTAAAAAAGAAAAAAAATTGAATAAATAAATGGAGGAAGATAGACAAATCAGTTTCTAGAAGAATTATAAATATTTTGAGTAGCGAAACTCTCTGTCTCTTAAGAATGGGCTACATGCAGTGACTTCCTTACCAAGAATACAGTACAGGGAGGGGTGAAAGTAACCTGACTGTGAGGAAACCTGGCAGATACTACCTCAGTCACGTGGTCAGGAGCAGCGTCAACATCGATAAATCGTGTTGATTTTACCCGCTTGCTACGGTGTGGTGGAAACGACTCTACCTCTGTGGCTTTTCTCCCCAAAACAGAACCCCAATCTAATCAGGAGAGAAACGTCAGATTCCAGTTGAGGGACATCCTACAAAATACCTGACTAGTACTTCTGGAAACTGTCCAGATCATTAAAAGCAAGGAAAATCTGAGAAACGTACATTCCAGAGGAGCCTTAGGAGACATGACAGCTAAATGTAAGGTGGTGTCTTGGAAGGGATTCTAGGATGGAGAGAAGGCCTTGGGTAAAATGAGCAAATTTGAGTGAAGTATGGACTGTAGTTGATGATGTGTCAGTACTGGTTTGTTAGTTGTATCTAGTATAATGTACTAAAGTGAGATGTTAACAGTAGGGGAAGCTCTCTTTGCAACTTTTCTGTAAGTCTAAAAGCATTCTAAAATAAGGTTTATTTTTAAAAAGAACCCCCTTCATGATAGGTTCTCTCCCAGGATGTGCCCCGGCCTTACCGCTGTCCCTCAACCGCTGTGCTCCAGCCACGTGGTCTCTTTCTGGCTTCCCTAATCTAGTGCTTCTCTGCGGGGTGTGACTTTCTGCCCTAGAGGGTGTTTGGCAATGTCTCGAGATAGAGGTATTTTTAGTCATCACAGCTGGGTGATGAGGGGGATGCCACAGGCTTCATGCTGGTGGGGACCAGGAATCATATTGAACACTCTACGTTTCCCCAAAGAATCTAAGAGTTGCCCAGCATGTCACTAGTGTAAGCCCTGACCCTTTGGATTTAGGGTTCCCTCTTTTCCTTCAGGTTCCTGACCCTGGTCTCTCTTTGCCCTGCTTTAGTTTTCTCCTTAGCACTTAATTATCAGCATCGGATATACTCTGTTTACTTGTCTGTCTGTGTCTGGCCAGGAAATGTATCTTCCATCAGGACTTGTTGGTAATTTGGTTCACTTTTGAATCCCCAGCGTCTAGAACTGCACCTGATACATAGTAGATGCTCATTAAACCTATGTAAAAGGAATTAAATAATTAATGAAAGGGGTGAGTGGATGATAAAGACAACACATACTCATGCTAAAAAAAAACCACAGTAGAGAAAAATGCCACAGTAATCATTCCCTCAGCTACCTGTTTCTCTACCGGTTCTCCAGAAGTTACCACTGTTAACAGTTGCTTGTCTGCCTAGACTTTTCTGTCCATTTTAAAGTATATCCGTGGGTACATTGTATCTACCCCCCTTCTCCTCTCTTTTAAATAAACATAAATAGGATCAGCTTCGTTTTTCCAGTTTATATAGCTAGACATATGTCAACATACAGAGTGCTATCTTTTAATGGCTGCATGATAACTTTATACGTAGAATTAAGCAAAAATACTTCTAGTACTTGCAATAGAATCCTGGTATAATATTTTGTTGTACAATGGATGATGGTAAAAATGTCTCCTAAAACATAATGTGACTCCTAAAACAAAAGACACTGCTTGCTAAACATCATCCAAGTGTTTCTGGTTTTGTTTTTTTGTTTTTGAGACAGAGTCTAGCTCTGTTGCCCAGGCTGGAGTGCAGTGGCGCGATCTCGGCTCACTGCAATCTCTGCCTCCCGGGTTCAAGTGATTCTCCTGCCTCAGCCTCTGGAGTAACTGAGATTACAGGCTTGCTCCACCATATCCTGCTAATTTTTGTATTTTTAGTAGAGATGGGGTTTCACCATGTTTTGGCCAGGCTGGTCTCGAACTCCTGAGCTCAAGGGATCCGGCTGCATTGGCCTCCCAAAGTTCTGGGATTACAGGTGTGAGCCACCGTGACCAGCCTCTTTATATGTATTTTTATTTCTAGTTTGTAAATCCCTTGGGATTGGGATCTTTGTCTTTTATTCCTTAACACCATGCAAGGTTCTGTCTGATAAGGTCCTCCATACCTGTAGGTTGAACTTTTTATTTGTTTTGATAAAATTACAAGATTATTTTATAATATTCAAATTTCCCTGAGTATTAGAACTGTTGACTAAATGGAGATACTTAAAGAGATAGTTTTGGGAGAAAATTGTTTTCTTATTTTGTTTAAATGATAATTGTTCTCCTAGAAGCCAAAAATCTGTCTAATTTCTGACTTTATCTGGAGAGGAGAAGGCATCATAGCTAAAGAACAAGTTAGGGTGGCCAACTTGAACGTGGTTCAATATCAATTAAGCTTTAATTGCTTTAAGCACATCAGGTCTTTTTTTCCCCCTAAGGCAATGACTTATGGGGCAGAGTTGGCAGTAGCTAAGTTAAGATACTATAAATTAATGTTGTCGTACCAATTTCAACTGGGCTGTCAAACCCACCCTCCAGTTTGCTCTTCATTTACCTCTGGTAGCATTCACATTTTGTGAATATTAATTTGAGAGTCACTTTGCAAGATGACAGTGCTGTCCTTTGTGAAGCTGTGTTGATTTACAAGATGAATTTGTTGGCAAAGGGGAACAGTTGATCTGAAAATAACTGTCCTGCTTCCCTGGCCAGACCTCAGCCCAGTGGACTTCGCCCACCTTCCCATTTGTCATTGTTAAAGGCAACGTTTTCTTCATTTCTTCAGTTTCTCTCTTTTCTCCGCCAGTCACCCAGGGACTGTCCTGCAGAGTCTGCCACCATGTATTAATAGACTGATTTGACCCTTGACGTGTGTTAGCTTAGAAGATTTAGCTTTTGTGTGTGTGTGTCATCTTCTCATGGAGGGGCCCAGGGTGACAGGTTGTTCGATGCCCTGAAGATAGGAGACATTCTGTGAACAACTGGTTGTTGACAGCAGTGGTGATAAAACATTGATATAGTTGGTAAAGTTTGCTTCACTGACTTAGAGAGGAAAAATGCTGTTTGACATCAGGCTGCTGAATTCTGGTTTTTCTTTTGTAAATTGCCTTTCTTTGGGGCTTATGTTGCTGATAAGTATTATACTTGATATAATTATTTTAATACTTTTAAGTAGTTACATAGAGCGAAATGAGACAATAAACCCTTACATTATGTAGGGAGTGAACTTAACCATTCTTATACAGAAATAATATAATTTCAGGATACATTTTGAAATGAGATTACAAGCTGTTCTTATGGAGCGCCATGTAAAACCACTGCTGGTTTTTGTTTTTTTCTGAATTAGTTGTCAGAAGCTTTGCATTCTCACAATACTGTAGGGGCATTATGTTTGCCAGCTTTTGATCATTTAATTCATTGTATGTAAGTAAATGTAAACAATGTTCATTAATTTTTAACAGTTGCTTATATTTGCCTTAACGATTTAAATATAAAAATATAACTTAGTTGTTACAGTTAGTAGCCTTTCATTTGATACTCATGAAGATTTTTGAGTCGTTTAAATATGAAAGAGAGGACCTTGTCGTTCAAAAATGAAAAGGAAGTTTTTGTTAAGCTTAATAATTCTAGACATGTTACAAGAATGTTGATACTTATATTGGAAAACATGAAAAACATCCCAAACCGTTGCATTTATTTATATTCCATGTGTATGGAAAATATTTTTTTAATGAGAAGTTTAAAACAATGTACACACTTTTGCTTGTTTTATTTCCCCAAGGTAACGATTCTGATTTCTTCTGTTTCAGATTCCCGACAGTTAAGCAATGGGGAGACATTTGGCTTTGCTCCTGCTTCTGCTCCTTCTCTTCCAACATTTTGGAGACAGTGATGGCAGCCAACGACTTGAACAGACTCCTCTGCAGTTTACACACCTCGAGTACAACGTCACCGTGCAGGAGAACTCTGCAGCTAAGACTTATGTGGGGCATCCTGTCAAGATGGGTGTTTACATTACACATCCAGCGTGGGAAGTAAGGTACAAAATTGTTTCCGGAGACAGTGAAAACCTGTTCAAAGCTGAAGAGTACATTCTCGGAGACTTTTGCTTTCTAAGAATAAGGACCAAAGGAGGAAATACAGCTATTCTTAATAGAGAAGTGAAGGATCACTACACATTGATAGTGAAAGCACTTGAAAAAAATACTAATGTGGAGGCGCGAACAAAGGTCAGGGTGCAGGTGCTGGATACAAATGACTTGAGACCGTTATTCTCACCCACCTCATACAGCGTTTCTTTACCTGAAAACACAGCTATAAGGACCAGTATCGCAAGAGTCAGCGCCACGGATGCAGACATAGGAACCAACGGGGAATTTTACTACAGTTTTAAAGATCGAACAGATATGTTTGCTATTCACCCAACCAGTGGTGTGATAGTGTTAACTGGTAGACTTGATTACCTAGAGACCAAGCTCTATGAGATGGAAATCCTCGCTGCGGACCGTGGCATGAAGTTGTATGGGAGCAGTGGCATCAGCAGCATGGCCAAGCTAACGGTGCACATCGAACAGGCCAATGAATGTGCTCCGGTGATAACAGCAGTGACATTGTCACCATCAGAACTGGACAGGGACCCAGCATATGCAATTGTGACAGTGGATGACTGCGATCAGGGTGCCAATGGTGACATAGCATCTTTAAGCATCGTGGCAGGTGACCTTCTCCAGCAGTTTAGAACAGTGAGGTCCTTTCCAGGGAGTAAGGAGTATAAAGTCAAAGCCATCGGTGGCATTGATTGGGACAGTCATCCTTTCGGCTACAATCTCACACTACAGGCTAAAGATAAAGGAACTCCGCCCCAGTTCTCTTCTGTTAAAGTCATTCACGTGACTTCTCCACAGTTCAAAGCCGGGCCAGTCAAGTTTGAAAAGGATGTTTACAGAGCAGAAATAAGTGAATTTGCTCCTCCCAACACACCTGTGGTCATGGTAAAGGCCATTCCTGCTTATTCCCATTTGAGGTATGTTTTTAAAAGTACACCTGGAAAAGCTAAATTCAGTTTAAATTACAACACTGGTCTCATTTCTATTTTAGAACCAGTTAAAAGACAGCAGGCAGCCCATTTTGAACTTGAAGTAACAACAAGTGACAGAAAAGCGTCCACCAAGGTCTTGGTGAAAGTCTTAGGTGCAAATAGCAATCCCCCTGAATTTACCCAGACAGCGTACAAAGCTGCTTTTGATGAGAACGTGCCCATTGGTACTACTGTCATGAGCCTGAGTGCCGTAGACCCTGATGAGGGTGAGAACGGGTACGTGACATACAGTATCGCAAATTTAAATCATGTGCCGTTTGCGATTGACCATTTCACTGGTGCCGTGAGTACGTCAGAAAACCTGGACTACGAACTGATGCCTCGGGTTTATACTCTGAGGATTCGTGCATCAGACTGGGGCTTGCCGTACCGCCGGGAAGTCGAAGTCCTTGCTACAATTACTCTCAATAACTTGAATGACAACACACCTTTGTTTGAGAAAATAAATTGTGAAGGGACAATTCCCAGAGATCTAGGCGTGGGAGAGCAAATAACCACTGTTTCTGCTATTGATGCAGATGAACTTCAGTTGGTACAGTATCAGATTGAAGCTGGAAATGAACTGGATTTCTTTAGTTTAAACCCCAACTCGGGGGTATTGTCATTAAAGCGATCGCTAATGGATGGCTTAGGTGCAAAGGTGTCTTTCCACAGTCTGAGAATCACAGCTACAGATGGAGAAAATTTTGCCACACCATTATATATCAACATAACAGTGGCTGCCAGTCACAAGCTGGTAAACTTGCAGTGTGAAGAGACTGGTGTTGCCAAAATGCTGGCAGAGAAGCTCCTGCAGGCAAATAAATTACACAACCAGGGAGAGGTGGAGGATATTTTCTTCGATTCTCACTCTGTCAATGCTCACATACCGCAGTTTAGAAGCACTCTTCCGACTGGTATTCAGGTAAAGGAAAACCAGCCTGTGGGTTCCAGTGTAATTTTCATGAACTCCACTGACCTTGACACTGGCTTCAATGGAAAACTGGTCTATGCTGTTTCTGGAGGAAATGAGGATAGTTGCTTCATGATTGATATGGAAACAGGAATGCTGAAAATTTTATCTCCTCTTGACCGTGAAACAACAGACAAATACACCCTGAATATTACCGTCTATGACCTTGGGATACCCCAGAAGGCTGCGTGGCGTCTTCTACATGTCGTGGTTGTCGATGCCAATGATAATCCACCCGAGTTTTTACAGGAGAGCTATTTTGTGGAAGTGAGTGAAGACAAGGAGGTACATAGTGAAATCATCCAGGTTGAAGCCACAGATAAAGACCTGGGGCCCAACGGACACGTGACGTACTCAATTGTTACAGACACAGACACATTTTCAATTGACAGCGTGACGGGTGTTGTTAACATCGCACGCCCTCTGGATCGAGAGCTGCAGCATGAGCACTCCTTAAAGATTGAGGCCAGGGACCAAGCCAGAGAAGAGCCTCAGCTGTTCTCCACTGTCGTTGTGAAAGTATCACTAGAAGATGTTAATGACAACCCACCTACATTTATTCCACCTAATTATCGTGTGAAAGTCCGAGAGGATCTTCCAGAAGGAACCGTCATCATGTGGTTAGAAGCCCACGATCCTGATTTAGGTCAGTCTGGTCAGGTGAGATACAGCCTTCTGGACCACGGAGAAGGAAACTTCGATGTGGATAAACTCAGTGGAGCAGTTAGGATCGTCCAGCAGTTGGACTTTGAGAAGAAGCAAGTGTATAATCTCACTGTGAGGGCCAAAGACAAGGGAAAGCCAGTTTCTCTGTCTTCTACTTGCTATGTTGAAGTTGAGGTGGTTGATGTGAATGAGAACCTGCACCCACCCGTGTTTTCCAGCTTTGTGGAAAAGGGGACAGTGAAAGAAGATGCACCTGTTGGTTCATTGGTAATGACGGTGTCGGCTCATGATGAGGACGCCAGAAGAGATGGGGAGATCCGATACTCCATTAGAGATGGCTCTGGCGTTGGTGTTTTCAAAATAGGTGAAGAGACAGGTAAATATGTTTTTATTGCTCTCATTTGATGCCCTTTTCCATTTTTTTTTTTTTTTTAACCATCTGCCCTGTGGCAGCTTCTTCAAAATTCCCTGTTGCTCTTTGGGCTCGGTATAGAAGTGCGTGTGAATATTTTTTTTGGCCCGGCTGCTGTATTGTAGATGTGTTTATTCGTAGTAAGCCATGAAGATGGAAACAAAAGGGCCTGAGTGATTTAAGTGGCGTAAAGTGAGTAAAAGACCAGGGATACATTGAAATTGTTATCACTGATACTGATCTCCAAACTCTATTTTGAACTCTATTATCAAAAGCATCATTATGGTTTTGTTCTGACTTTGAGAAGTCTTTCCAACTTTTTTCAGTCAGTGTATTTGCAGGCTCATACTTAGAACAACTACTGCTACCATCTGGCGTGCCATTCAGAGGTTGTTGCACACCGGCAAAGTTACCCAGTGCAGAGATGATGTGCCAAAACTTCTCTAATGTGGTCTTCACTTAGTACCTCGTCTAGGTTTTGGTCGAGAGGCAGAGGCGGGGTAGTGGCATGCTGAACTGAGAAGACCTGGCTTGGAATCCTGGCTCTTCTAGTTGGTAATTGGTGATCCTGGACAAGCAAATGACTTCTTAGAACTAACTTTTTCCTCTTCTACATGGGGACACTTAGAAATACCGGAAGGTTTAAGTGAGAGTAAAGTGAAATAACACGGGAAAACTCCTGACGTGTGGTAGGTTTATTCATGGTAGCAGTGCTTTGTTGTAATACTGAAGGTTCTGAAACCGGGACCTCCAAGGCAGCAGTCCAAGCTAGAAAGTGCGTGTGTTGCACTTTGTACATACCTCAGTCTTGCTGCGCAGATATTGTAGTTATATGTCAATATGTCCTGGTGGAGTGTGAGCCTTTCGGGGCAGGCTTTTAGCCCCTGCATCTTCTGTGTTTAGCACCTAGCAAAAAGTGCCTGGCACATAGAAGCTGGTCAATCAGTGTTAAAAGACTGCAGGAGTAAATGAGCGAATGTGTTGGCTTTTCATGTCCTGCCCTCTGAGAATGATAGTGGAAATAGAAAAGGGGTGATCATAGCACTCATCAGCAATAGGTGGGGCTCAATTTGTTTACTAATCTCACCCATGTGTACTTTATAAATCTGTGCATTTTAAAAGGGACCTTTTTAAAATTACCTTTAAACTTTATATATTCAGTAATACCACACACACAAAAAAACAAGAGAGTCTTCAGTCAACACCCACCCTGGGATCCATGCCATCTGATAGGTGTGTAGCACATGAAAAATGTAACTGCTGTTTAGAAAAACATTATTTTGGGCTGGGTGCGATGGCTCACGCCTGTAATCGCAGCACTTTGGGAGGCGCAGGTGGGAGGATTGCTTGAGGCCAGGAGTTCAAGACCAGCCTGGGTAACAGCAAAACCTCGTTCCTACCAAAAAAAAAAAAAAAAAAATGCTGGGGTGGTGGTACACCTGTAGTCCCAGCTACTTGGGAGGCTGAGGTGGGAGGATGGCTTGAGTCCAGGAGGTCGAGGCTGGAGTGAGCTGTGATTGTGCCGTTGCACTCCAGCCTGGGCAACAGAGCCAGACTATCTCAAAAAAAAAAAAAAAAAAAAAGTTATTTTGGAAGTTGTAATATATTTTTTGTGCTTCTATTAATGCAAGGAATTCTTTCTCTGTTGGTTATGTGCCACTAGCATATGGCCTATGTATTAAGTCTACAGACTATATATCACTATCTAAAATACCCATAATTAGTTTATTTCAAGAGAAACTAGCATAATCAACAGCATTTGATAATCCTCTGAAGAGTAGAATGTCTTTTTTATCATTTTATCTGTCCAGTATAAGTTAGAATTTTCAAATACTGTTTCAACATAGAAAAATACCCCAAATTTAACAACTGAAGCTGAGTCAAACTGTTTTTGTAAAATTTTTGAAGAACAGTTATTCCTACTTTTTTTCCTTCTCCAAAGTAGGTTTCAAAAGCCTATAAAGAACTGTTAAAAGTTAAAGTTGAGACAAAATGGAACCAAAACCTTAATTTAAATTCTCTTCATGACTTTGTATGAACACTGCCTTTTGGGTTTTTTCTTTCAAGTGAAGAAGAGTATTTTTATTGTTGCTTTTTAAGGAATCATTTCGAAACTAGTATTTTTCACCTACACATTTAAGAGATTGGGATATTTTTACTACCAAGAAAAAAAAAATAAGGAAACAACCAGCCAAACGAGGTGGTGTCCCAAAATAGATTTATGGTATTTTCCAGAAAGGGCAGTGCCAGACTTTTCCAGTAGTAATTTAGTGGGAGGCGGGGAGGTGTTGGGATTGTGGGCAGTGTGGTTGGTAAGTATATAAGAAACTGTGTGTAAATATTGAGATTTAAAGGTGAGAGAGAAGCTGGAAATTTGTAGGTCATTTATTCTGTGGTCCTTGCTTTACAGAGAAAGTAAGTAGTGTACAGTAGACTTACGTTTATATGCTTTTGGAAATGAACAAAAGTGATAGAATAATATTTACACATTGGACCTCGTATTCATTACAAGATACATTTTTTGGCAGAAGAATTATCAGCCCAAGTTATTTCTTCAGAGATTCCTGGCAGGACAATTGGTATCACAGTGTAGAAACTCCTTTAGGAAAAATCAGTATATTTTGTTGGCTAAAATTAGGCATGCTAATTATTCACTTGGAGTGTGTCTTAACTAATTTCTAGGGCATGAAGGAAGTGTGGAAAGATGCGTGTCAGGTGAAGAGATGGAGGGGCAGTTGAGGAACACCCGTGGGGGCTGCCAGAGACTGCACTACAGCTTGGTGTGCCTTGGCGTGCACCCGGCCCAGGCCAGGCTGGTGCTTGCTGGAACTTCGCTCCTTGCCCATTGCCCATGTCCACCAGGGTCTTCTTTGCCTAACTCGGGGGCATTTAATATTGCGCTAATTAATATGAGCCTGTGCAGGAGTGCTGTGGCTCTGGGGACCAACAACCTGTCCACGTAACTGTTTGCTTCTTGTCTTTGACTTAAAGCTACTAGTGTTGGTTGAGTATTATAACCAAATTTTTGTCATATTTTACCTATTTCAACCTAGTCAAATATGTGTATCATTTATATACTTTTCACAGAACAGAGAACCTATCCAGCAAGCTGAATGAAGTTCTATTTTAAGATCTTTCCTTTTCTTCTCTTTAAATCTGCTTAAATTGGAAACATCCTCTGAAACGTAGTTTTCTGTTTTTGTAGAAGTAGAAATTCTATGGACTACCTAAAAATCTGTCACCAAACGGACAGTCCTGTTAGCTCTGTGTTCTTAGCTCCGTGGTTTGTACATGTTCTGCAAATGGCTTTGCAGCGAGAGAAAGCGTAGTGGCAGAGTGGGGATGGCGGGCGTGGACTCTGCAGGTCTCACGGTATCATCTGCCCTTCCTGGAGAGGCCTCTGGATGTTGGTGAACTGTTCTGACAGATCCATGCCACGTGACTGCCCTTCCATGTGAGGTCTGGAAGGGGAGAGGGCCATGTGAACAATTATTTGGAAAGTCGGTCTCGTTAGAGAGCCAGTTTCCAGAGCTCTAATTAAGATTCTCCTCCTCAGATTGCTATCTGTAAGGTCTACAGTGAGGATTATAAAGTAGATTTAACAAAGATGTTTAGCGGAGTAAAGATCTTTGAAGCATGTGTAATCCCACATTCAGGGTTCGGTCTGCCTGCCATGCGTCTCAGCATCCAACCCCCTCTTCTACTTCAGATCCATTCTCTGTTGCTTTGTTGTAAGCTTCAACAGGTTTTCCTGTAATTTAAGCAGAATAAAATCTGGAGCATCCCTCTTGTGGGTGTGTGGAATAAATTTGGTGTAGTGTTCTTAGCTGATGTGTACTTAGCAAGTTAATTATTACTTGAGCACCAATGAAATGCTGCAGCTTTTTGTTCATTTTTAAAACTAAGGGAATGTCTAGAAAAATGCCTGGCCAGAAGATTTTGTAGAAATTGTGAATAGAAGTTGGTGTTGAAGCAGTGTTGGGTTGAGGTCTGTTCCCTGATGTGTGTATTGCGTACAGGACGCCCTGGAATGTGTTTGACCTTCAGTCTAGAGTAGTTTGGTTCTCTTTTTGGCTGTTAATGTTAGTATACAAAGCAGCCCAGGACGAGTGTTTCCCCTTCTGACTCTACTTATTTGGGGAGCCCGTGTTTTTCATTAAGATAAGAGCAGATCTCTAAACATATTACTGCTGTGTTACTTTTAGCATCCCAATCCTGGTTTCAGGATTGAAATTTACGTTTTGATGAAAAGACTGGGAATGAATTAATATGGAAGTACAGCCGTTGTCACAACTTAAGTCAGCATTCATGAAATACAGGAAGGGAAATGAGGACATTTTTCTTAAGAGAAAATGGCTGCATTCACACGATGGAGAGTGTTGGAGCACCATCCCTGTGTCACCTGTGTGGAGGCCGGCTCCTGGCCTCATGTCTGTGTCACCTGTGTGGAGGTCGGCTCCTGGCCTCATCCCTGTGTCACCTGTGTGGGGGTCGGCTCCTGGCCTCATGTCTGTGTCACCTGTGTGGGGGTCGGCTCCTGGCCTCATCCCTGTGTCACCTGTGTGGGGTCGGCTCCTGGCCGCCCGGCTTAGGTGCACACAGGTGAGTGCGTTTCTACAGTGGGAACGGAACGGAATTCCGGCCCAGGCTAACCTGATTGTTGACCTCAGTCAGGGAAAATGTTTCTGGAGCTTCTGTCTGGTTCTGCAGAACTCTGAATGTTTCAGCTATTTATTATTCATTCAAGTTAGAAACCCTTTTCCTCATATAAAGTAGGATATTTTACTTACATCCTGGGATCCCTGCTCCTGCTGCACGTCCTCCTGTGACAGGAGAAGGAATGTGGAGGAGGCTGACGGGCCCCGGATCCTGACTAAAGGGTCTGCAAGTGGCTGAGAGCTGGGTGGCTGCTGGAAGCCTGGCCTGCTGTGGTGGGACCTGATGCCCTGTGGGAGCTGGGGCTAGAATTCCTGGCAGCAGGAACTTGATTAGAGACGGGTGGGAGGCCCGGCAGAGAGTTAAAAAATGTGCTGGTGAAAGGGCTTTTGTGTTGCTGGCTCCTCCCTGAAGTGGCAGCAGCTGCTGTCCTCTTGGCTCTTTATGTTCTCCTCCTAGGAAAGCTTAAGAGAAAAGAAGCTCGTTTCCCAGCCACAGGGAGACTGGAAGTTGTGTCTTGGCAGAAATGATGTTACCACAGTGTGTTGTTGCTGTGTTCTGGGATAAAAATCTTGTGTGTGTGTGATTCTGAGTCAAGCAGGGCGTGGTAACAATTTCTACCAGGGGAAGGGTCCTTCTTTGAAGCAGGAAGATGTTAAGGTGAAAATAGGATCTAGTCGAAATCCTAAGGAAGTTCCATTTTCTTACTAAAAACAACAGAGATTCAGCTTTTCTTTAGTTATTTGTATGATGTTTACCACGTTGATGCGTTACTGACTGAACAAGTCTAGCCTGGAAAGGCTGTGGATGGGAACTCGGGGGACCGTGACTCAGGGCCGTCCCACGTTGTGGAGCAGCACGCAGTGACGCTTACCGTGCTGTGATGTAATTCTCAGAGTGTGCAGGGGCCGGGACCTGGAGGTGTGGGGTGGAAACAGCTTACGTCAGACAGGCCGGCTTTGTCCTCATGCTGTCAGTGGTAATGACACTGGTGGTGAGCACCAGTCTAGTAATAACCACGACACTGAGTGTCACAGCCGGGCACTGGGCCCGGCATTCTGTGTGTGCCAGTCCATTTAATTCTCACAACCACCGGGTGGACTCTGTTATCCCTACATTACAGGATGAAACGTCAATGAGAGGTTAAGTAACTTGCCCAAGACTTCTTGGGTGCTAAGTGCCAGAACCGCATTTTACTCCTCTTACTCTTTGAAGAATGATCTACGGATGCTGCGAGGGAGCCTGTTCAAAAACGACTAGTGAAGTGGGTTTCTGTGCTAAGCTGGGTTAGGCCAGGTTGCAGCCTTGAATCCTAGATTCGATGCTTGGTCCTGAAGGAGTCTTGAATGTAAGAATCTTCCAGCATTTTTACTCTGAATGACATATTGCTATCTAGCACAATTAGGAGGACAGGAGTTTGAATTCCGTCGCGGTGGCAGTCAGCAAGTCAAGATCAGGCCAGCGAAGGCGTGGGTGAATCCAGGTGAGTGCCTGTAGCTTCCCTTGTCTCATTGGCCATTGAAGAGATGGACAGGTGTCATATTTGTGTTTGCAGTTGTAAAAGTGTGATTTAATCGGTAAAAATGCTGCCCATCTGAACTGGACAGGACGTTAATTGTTGGAAGGCTTTTCTTGTGGAAACCATGTTTAAGATGGTGGTTAGGTCCCAGCTTTCAGGCCTGCACGCCAAAGCTAACGTGATTTGTACCTCCCTCTGCATCGAGTTACATGAGGCCATCGTTCTCTTGCCTTGTCCTCCTTGGTGCCTTGGCATCAGCAGCTGTCCTCTTGGCCATCTAGTACGGGGCAAGAAAGCCAGAGTAAGCTTACTCACCGTCCCCCTTGCCAGGGAACTGTTTTTTGTCCTAAGGATGTTTAAGGATTGGGTGTTCGTAATTTGTTGAGTGACCTGTGTGTGTAGAGGTTTAATGTTCACTTAATACCTGGTCTGTTCTTTCCGTATTACCTACCGTGTACAACTATGAAAATTGAAAAGATTTTAAGCTTTAGGTGTTAGTTTAAATGTTGGAGATTTTCTTACCATTTAGTTCCCATTGTTTTTACTTTTTGGATTATTTTAGTTCGTAGGGCTGGATTTGTCACGTTTTTATTTATTAGTGTGTGTTTTGTGTACTGTTATTTTGCAGTTGCCTTTCTGGCATTTTTTTTTTTTTTTCAAACAGCAGACCATGCTGCTTATAAATAGTGCATGCTCCATACAAGACATAGTGCCACAAAGCGCAATCTTTTCTGTCTTTGTTACTAGGAATAAATGGACTTGGAAAGATTGCCGTTCAAGGGCACATGCCTGTACTTGTTGAATTGGCAGTTCTCCAGTTTCACAGCAGTGACAGTAAGTCTAGGAAACTATTCACATATATACTTCAAGGGCCAGTCTTATCAATTAACTTGCCTTGCCAGTTCAACAGTACCATATCTCCTCGAATATCTGATACCATGTTGAACTCGGTCCATTGCTAGGCCTCCGAGTGGCTCAACCTGTTGAATGGGATTCTTTAGAATGTCTTACTCATTTCATGTTGGGGAGAGTCTACTAATACAGTCTTTTTAGTTTTAAATCAATTGGTTTTTTGTTTTTTTTTAATAAAAGTTACTCAGCTATTTATGTAGTTTCTGAAGACTGCTTTCTGGTTTGTGATAATTTAACCATATTCTTATCACAGGTAAGCTTTTTCTTCTTAATCATCATCAGCATGTAATTATAGTTAACGTTTAGTGAGTACTTGCCGTGTACAGGCCCTATTTTATGGTCTTTCCATAGACTGTCTCACTAGATTGTCACAATTAGTGAGTAAAATTACGTGGTGTTATACTCTGCTCATGGAGTTCATGTCTGTGCCAAATTATAAAAACACGACAAATGATGGAAATATGATGCACGTCGACTTAGTGCCATTGAATTTTGAAATATTCTGTTGCATTTTTTAAAGGAAAGTAGCGCGTGCCAGTTGATGTAGTTTATGGTGTGATGCGTTAGGAGGCATTCTGACAATACAGACGTGATTCTTGAGCTGAGGTGTTCATCTGTCACGGAATCCTCCTTAACCCGTTTCACTGTCTCCCATCGCACGGGGTCCAGTCTCTCCGTGGCGGAGCCGCATTGCCCTAACAGGCCTCCCTGCTCTCCCATTTAACATCACCCGTGCTTCCCTCACTGGCTCCTGTGCAGCCCTGGTCCCTCAGCCCCTGCCCTGTGCAGCCCTCTACCCCTCTGTGCCTCGCCGTTTTCTGTCTCCCTGCCTTTGGGCATACAGTGGTCAGCTCGTATTATCTCATAACTCTACTTAATAAAGCTTTCTTGACAGCCCTCTTCGTTACGTGGAGCTGTTTCTTATCTTTTATGTACTTAAACATATGACTGCAGTATCACTCTAGTGTAATTGTTTATTTACACGCGCCTTTCCTCTAGATTGTCAGCTCTTTGTGGGCGCACGTAAGTCTTTGAATGCTTGGTGTATATAACAGGCACTCAATGCATAATGGTTAGGCTGGCCTGGTAAGCCATCGTGGGGTCTCCGGGGAAACCTTTCCTTCAAGCCAGGTAGCCTTTGCTTCTCTTCGCTGCGGGGGCACTTCCTGTGTGTTCCTCTGTTGTAGTGTATGACTCAGTGCGCGGCCTGTCTGTGACTTCAGTCCGTCTCCATGAACTCAAGGACACAGTCCAGCGTAATCATCTGTCTACCCTCTTCTAAGCACAGTGGCTGATAGAGCAGTAAGTAGCCCTCATTTGTTTTGTGAGCAAATAGATTGTAACACACAGTAATTGCAGTTGTGAAGGTTGAGCGAAGCTTCTTTTCTGCCACCCTGGACGCCTATTTGTAGGCTCCAAAACTGTGGTTCTTGATGGTTTTGGCGTCACAGAAACTTTGAGAATCTGTGGAAAGCTGTATATTCTTTCTTCAGAGAGACAGTGATTTGATTCAATACCAAGGGGCTCAGTGAAGTGCCGAACCTGTGTTCATGCACTGACCGTCTTCTTGGAATCCTGGTTTTGAGATCCTCTGTTCTGGAGGTTCCAGGGTTGTCAGTCCTCACAAATTCTCATAAAGGAGGACCAGCGGGTAAGGATAATGGTGATGATGATGATGGCAGTGATGACAGTGACAGTGACAAGCATTTTTATAATGCCTTACAACCTGCAAGTATTTCTACATACATTATATGGTGCTTAATGTAATAGAGAAATAAAACCTGTATAAAAATTATAAATGAGCTAGATAAACCTTAACAATGGACAGGTCACTTTTCTATATATTTGTACATGTGCCTGAAATGATTTAGGAGAAACCGTCATTCAAGGCTGTTTCCAAGTGAAATAAGAACCTGTAGTTCTTTATACACCTGTTTCATCAGATGTTCTGTCTCCCCATTGAGGCATACGGCACAAATAAAACAGATATAATGAACAGTGTGCATCATCCCTCGGAGAGCATGGGGATCGGTTTCTGGACCGTCCGCGCACACCCACATCTGTGCGTTCTGAGGTCCCGCAGCCGGCCCTCCACAGACGCTGCGCTTTCGCGTGCTGTGAGTACTGTGTTTTTGATTTGCCTTCAGTTGAAAAGAGTTCATGTGTAAATGGGCCTGTGCAGTTCAAACTCGTGTTGTCCAAGGGTCATTGATACCTCGTTTAAGTTAAGCAGCTTTCTAGGCCAGGCTTTGGTCTTTAGTTTTGCCAGCTCACCATGGAAAACCCTTAATGCCACACCACTAGTATTCCTTTACTTATTAAGGCAATCTGTCAGGAAACTCAGGCCTCTAATGATAAAGTTAGCTCCCTTGGCAGACAGAATTAATTAATTAATTAATTAATTATTTTCTAAGACAGAGTCTTGCTTTGTTGCCAAGGCCAGAGTCGAGTTGCAGTGGCTCAATCTCTGCCTGCTGCAGCCTGCACCTCCAAGTTGAAGTGATTCTCCTGCCTCAGCCTCCCAAGTAGCTGGGATTACAGGTGTGCACCACCACACCCAGCTAATTTTTCTGTTTTTACTAGAGACGAGTTTTTGCTGTGTTGGCCAGGCTGGTCTCGAACTCCTGATCTCAAGTGATCTGCCCACCTTGGCTTCCCAAAGTGTTGGAATTACAGGCGTGAGCCACTGTGCCCAGTCCAGAATTTTTATTTAAATGGACTTGCCGTATGTTCTTTGACCTCTATGGAAAATAGCCCTGCCATAAGTTCTTAGTTAAAAGATTCTCCAAAATGCATTTGTGGGTCCTGGTTTGCTTTTAGCTTTCTATTAATTTTTTTACTTGCCTCTTTATTCTTAGGGCTGCTTGACATTACTCTGTCTCAGACGTCCGTGTTCCTCTTATCACAGTGCTTGGCACAGGGCTGGTACCGAGTAGCTGCCTGCTCAGGGGGTGTTCATCTTTTCATAGATCCTGTGCATGTTTGTCCCATGATCCTCTTCTTTCGATTTGTTGCCCAGCTGAAGGTGTTTACATATTTAAGTGAAAAAAGGCGGGTTTGTCATGTAAATACCAAGTTAGTCTGTTGGTTGAGGCAACAAAATGGAAATCAGTTATTTTTTAAGGATCTAAAAAATTTTAAAAGGAAGTGCTTTTTCTTAATAGTGTGGCAAGCTCATTTAGAAGATGGAAACTGATTAGGAAAGTATGAACATGAGTAATATCCATATGTGGTTTTAATTGGCAGAATGTTGATTTCAGAAAGAAGTCACACGAAGTTTCATATCTACAAAGTATCAAGATTAGAGTTTAAGGTCAGTAATTTTTAAAATAAGTGTTCTAGGGCCTATGGCCGGGCGCTGTGGCTCCCGCCTGTAATCCCAACACTTTGGGAGGTGAAGGCGGGCGGATCATCTGAGGTCAGGAGTTCAAGATCAGCCTGGCCAACATGGTGAAACCCTGTCTCTACTAAAAATACAAAATTAGCTGGGCCTAGTGGCGCACACCTGTAGTCTCAGCTGCTCCAGAGGCTGAGGCAGGAGAATTGCTTGAATCTGGGAGCTGGAGGTTGCAGTGAGTCGAGATTGTGCCACTGCCCTTCAGCCTGGGGGACAAGAGTGAAACTCCGTCTCAAAAATGTGTGTGTGTGTGTGTGTGTGTGTGTGTGTGTGTGTGTGTGTTTTATATATAATACATATTAAAAATTATTTTAGCATGTTTAAAAAATCTGCTTTTGTCATTTGACTTCCACCAGAATATAAGGCTGAAACTGGACTCTGTCCGTGTCTGTATCA
This sequence comes from Homo sapiens, assembly GCF_000001405.40. Classification (NCBI taxonomy): domain Eukaryota; kingdom Metazoa; phylum Chordata; class Mammalia; order Primates; family Hominidae; genus Homo; species Homo sapiens. The sequence continues at coordinate 186,695,646 of NC_000004.12, read as the reverse complement.
CTTACTTAGGAACTGACTGGCATCTAGGCATCCAGCCAATACTGGTTGAATGCGTAAAATTTAAAATGGAAATAGATTGTAACAAAATACTAAAGGGAAACGCTTATCTAAATAACTATTGTTGAGAAAGCCCTTTTAAATTTGTCCTTTTTAATATAGTTAAGGCTGCTCTTCCACTTGAGACACCCTGTCTCCCATACCTTCCAAAATTACAAGAATAAGAACAACAAAGCAGTTTAGTAGCAATGCGGGTTCCTCTTTGTTTCTGCTTTGCTTACCTAGGAGCAGCCTCCTTTGTGAGATTGAGTATCTAGATTCTGAGGCTGGCCTTCCAGGTGAATATACCTGAGTTACGTGTTGTGTCCTTGGGCTGTAGAGTAGTGCTATTGCCTGTATCATCCTCTGGATTGAAAAGTATTTCTTTTGTTTTAAGTATAAAAGATGAGTATCCATTGCCATTGCACATTATTCAGCAAAAACTTGAACTCTAAAAAACGTTCAGATTAGTAGGATCTATTTTTGTTAGTATCATTATTGATGAATTTCTTAAAACTTAAGAAAATAGTTACTTCTAGAGATTCACAGATTATTTTTGAAACTGTTGGTTTTCTGGATTAAATTGAGCTCACCCAACTATCCTTTGAAAAAGCTGTTTTGTATTTTTGTTTTGTTTTGTTTTTGTTTTGAGATGGAGTCTCGCTCTGTTGCCCAGGCTGGAGTGCAGTGGCACGATCTTGGCTCCCTGCAACCTCTGCCTCCTGGGTTCAAGCGATTCTTCTGCTTCAGCCTCCCAAGTAGCTGGGATTACAGGCACCCGCCATCATGCCTGGCTAATTTTTGTATTTTTTGTAGAGACGGGGTTTCACCATGTTGGCTAGCTGATCATGAACTCCTGACCTCAGGTGATCTGCCTTCCTCAGCCTCCTGAAATGCTGGGATTACTGGTGTGAACCACTGTACCCAGCCTGTTTTGTATTTTAAGTGTCTTGGTTACTTCTGTGGAGAGGTGCAATTTACTTAAAACCAAACACTTTCTTTTAAAGGGTGGTTGAATAATGGGGGGAAATTTAGTTAGTTACCAGACTCTTTTAAGAAAAATAATATGTATGTAAACTAAAAGTAGTTTTCTTATTTTAGTAACTACATCTAAGTAAAAGTTTTTTAAAAACTCATTTGTTCTTTGTCAACTCTTCTTGCTACTTAGGAACTCTGATTCTAAACCTTCCACTCATATAAATAGAAAATTATCAGTAGCTAGTTCAGTTAACTTCATTATTCTATTTAAAAGTAACTCTTTAGGATGATTAAAGGAAGGAAAGGAAACCGTTGTGGAAGTTGTTCACTGTGTATTTGAGTAGAAATCTGTTCATAGCAAGTTGCATTTGAGAGAGGTTGAGCGTTATGAGAAATGGGGAGATGGTGGTTAGGTTAGGTGAGAGGCAGGTTGAGTTTGGGAGATGTTGAGTTTCGTTAGAAATAGGAAGATGGTGGTTGGATTAGTAGATGAGAGGCAGGTTGAGTCTGGGAGAGGTTGAGTGTTGTGAGAAATAGGAAGATGGTGGATGGGTTAGATGAGAGGCAGGTCGAGCTTGTGAGATGTTGAGTTTTGTGAGAAATAGGAAGATGGTGGTTGGATTAGTAGATGAGAGGCAGGTTGAGTTTGGGAGAGGTTGAGTGTTGTGAAGAGTGGGGAGATGGTGGTTGGGTTAGATGAGAGGCAGGTTGAGTCTGGGAGAGGTTGAATCTTGTGAGGAATGTGGAGATGGCTGTTAGGTTAGATGAAATACATGAGAAACTCAAGTGGAATAAGTGTAGGCAAATCCAGAGCTGAACTGAAACGTTTTATTGTCTTTGGGCCAATATTAAGTATTGTGAAGGAAATTACAGAGAATGGCATTTAGCCTTTTGTTGGGAAACAAACCATCCCAAAACCTCATAGCTTAGAACAGCCTCCACTCATTTGGGTCACCGTTCTGTGGGTGGGCGATTTGGGCTGGGCTCAGCTGGGTGTTTCCTTGGCTGTTTTCCACGGGCTGACTCATGTTTGATCAGTTGCTGTTGAGCTCGAGGGCCCTGCTCCCAGGAGGTGGCTGGGTGTTCGCTGCAGGCAGCAGCTCCTAGGCCCTGTGTCTGTGATCATCCCGCAGCCTGTCCTGGACCCGTTTACATGGTGGTCTCGGGGTTCTGGGTGCTCGAGGAAAGCAGCAAATCCGCTGGGCCAAGGCTCAGAACTCCTCCACTGTCATCTCCCACGTGCTGTGACACAGTTCGTTCATCCAGCCACAGGTAGGGAGGTAGGCTAACCTTGCTGAGAGGAGCTGCCGAGTACTGTGTTCATGTTCCTACTTCCAGAGGCACTTTTACCCGATTGCGTTTCCCTTTGAGGGAATCCCTTCTGAATGTTAAATGTGCATTACTATATAAAGGCTTGTGAAAATTGTGAAAATATCAATATGGTCTTAAAACTTTTCTGTCTTACATAACGATACTTTAAGTTTGTCATACTGTTCAAACATGTAATGGCATTACAGTATATCTTCAAGTTATTTTTAGCACATTTCCATTTAAACTAGAACGTAAGCAGAGATACCAGGGGGATGCTTGAAGTCTGAAGATACCAAAGCAATGCTCCTCCATCGTCTTCCTACTTCATTTTCTATCACAAAGATCTCTGAAGTTTCTTACCCCCAAAGGAATTGGAGAATTCCAGTTATCGTGTTTCTAAAGTGAAAGGCGGAGAGATGGAGTGTCTGGTAAAGGGCAGCAAGGGGTTCTTCACGATAGACTTTGGCCTGCAGATGTTCGTTTTTCTCATTAGCACCACTTCCTGCTAATTAATTTGTCACAAACTATCTCATTGATTTATTGCTGTCCCGTAGAGAATGGAATACTTGGGGAAATGGAATTGGAAGTCCATGGAAGACTGGGGGGCGTGGAAATAGACACCGAAATGAGGAGAGAATATAGGAGTGTTGATTTGGTATCTTTAGGTTTCATGCAGCCCTCTGACATCTCTGCTTAAGTTTCAGCTTAAATGGAAAAGTTTTAAAAATAACCTAAGATTCCCAGCACTTTGGGAGGCCGAGGCGGGCGGATCACGAGGTCAGGAGATCGAGACCATCCTGGCTAACACGGTGAAACCCCGTCTCTACTAAAAATACAAAAAATTAGCCGGGCGTGGTGGCGGGCGCCTGTAGTCCCAGCTACTCGGGAGGCTGAGGCAGGAGAATGGCGTGAACCCGGGAGGCGGAGCTTGCAGTGAACCGAGATTGCGCCACTGCACTCCAGCCTGGGCGACAGAGCGAGACTCCGTCTCAAAAAAATAAATAAATAAATAAATAACCTAAGATGTATTTTAATACCACTTAGTATTTTGCTAATTTTAGCTTATATTAGAGTTGTTTGTTACGGGACGTATGTGCAACAGTTAATAGGAAAGTGCTCTGTGGTAAGTTGAAATAGAAATCTTAGGATTTGAAATAGAAACGTGTAACTGTATTGACTCACTAAGCATTTTGACATTATTTCTGTTTGGAAATTTTGGGAGTGGATGTCTTTGAACACATTGACATATACATGGGGGGGAAGAAAAACAAACTTGTGGCCTTCTTTAACAGAGATTTTTAGAGAAGTAGTAAGTCCCAGCTGCCATTCTTCTCCTCAAAGAGATTAGAAAAAGAACCACATAAAAATAATCATTATTATAGGTAAAAAAAAATAGTAGCCACAGTAAAGCATACATGTTTATTGTTTACTGCTTGTAGAAAGGTTCAGTGATCATTAAATGTCAGAACGAATCGTCTTGTTTCTGTTTTTTTTAATATTTTATTTTGTTTTTATTTAGAGATGGGATCTCACTTTCTCAGACTGGAGTACAGTGGCACAATCAGGGCTTACTGCAGCCTTGAACTCCGGGGCTCAAGCAATCCTCCCACCACAGCCTCCTGAGTAGCTGGGACTACAGGCATATGCCACCATGCCCGGCTAATTTTTTTTACTTTTTTTGCAGAGGTGGGGTCTTGCTATGTTGCCCAGGCTGGTCTCGAACTCCTCAGCTCAAGTGATCCATCCTACTACCTTGGCCTCCCAAAGCGCTGACATTACAGATGTGAGCCAACATGCCTGTCACGCCTGGCTCAGTGGCCTTGTTTCTAACAAAAAATTTTCTCATGAAATGAAATGAAGATTCTGTAACAAGTTAGTTGACAAACTTTGTTAGAAACCTAATGTAGAGATGGTGACTTAAAATGTGATATTCTCATAAACAGTAAGTCTTGGATATAGTATATAGAAGATCATGTTAGCGAAGAGAATAAAAGTCTTAAATTGTTTCTTTTGGTGTTAGAGATGAATCTGCACTAGAGGCACCTAATCAGCACGGTGTACTCTGTATAAGCTAAAACAAAACACAACAGTGATTCATGTCCCAGAGTAGACCATGAAACCACTTATTAGAAATATTCCAAAGTTTACTGTTTTTAGATACAGGTGCTCATATGTGAAAGGTGAACTGATTTTTACAATTTATATTAACAAAATTGTGCAAATTCTGCCACTTTTTACCGTTACTCGTTATTTTTTAAATCAAATGAATTAGTATAACAGGTCAAAAGCAGCACTGCCCAATAGTACTGTCTTTATTTGTAATTTTATATATTTTAGTAGCCACAATAAAAAAGAATATAACAGATGAAATTTTAATAATATATTTTATTTAGTCCAACATATCAAAAAGTACAATTACAGCATGTGATTAGCGTAAGTATTAATGAGACCTTTAACATTCATTTTTTCCTATGAAGTCTTTAAATCAGTGTATATTCCACCCTTACAGCAAATTTCAGTTTCGACTAGCCCCATTTCAAATGCAAGTTTAGAGACTTATGTAGAGTTCAACTGCCTTAAAGATATTTGTGACTTTAAATTTGGATAGTGGGCTACTAGATTTTTTTTTTTTGAGGCAGAGTCTCACTCTGTCGCCCAGGCTGGAGTGCAGTAGCGTGATCTCTGCTCACTGCAACTCCTGGGTTCAAGTGATTCTCCTACCTCAGTCTCCCAAGTAGCTGGGATTACAGGTGTGAGCCACCACACCTAGCTAAATTTTTGTATTTTTATTAGAGACGGAGTTTTACCATGTTGGTTAGGCTGGTCACCAACTCTGGACCTCAGATGATCTGCCTGCCTCGGCCTCCAGGTGCTGGGATTACAGACGTGAGCCACCGTGCAGGCTATTAGATTTTCTTCTGTGAATGACGTACACGAAATAAGTGACCTAGAGCTACGTCTCTGATCATTCACTTTGGTTATAATTTTTTTGCAAATTACCTATGCTGGAATCTTTTGGGGTTGGTGGGAATGGTTTTGTTTCTGATTGTTTTTACTTCCTCAACTGTCCTAAGATTACCAGCATTCTAATGAATAGTAAACTTGAGATAACGGCTTCATGCCTAACAAGTATAATTTATCTCTGTAGTCTCAAGTGTTTGCTCTTCTTTTTAAAATGTTTCTTTTTAGAGAAATACAGCTTTGAATTCTACTACACTTTTCTGTAACGCAATGCAGTAACATGTTTTTTGTTTATTTGTAGCTATCCTATAGGGATAGGGAAAATGTAATTGAATAGTAACTGAGGAAGGGGCTACTAAAACCTGAGAAAAAATGATAGGAAAGTTACTCTTTCCCTTCATTTGGGTGATGGGAAAAAGTAGGTATGAGATCTTCTAATGGGCTTGTGAGTGCGGTAGTCTTTTTAAAGAGTCACATGGTGTGTTAATTTTCCTCTGGATATTAAGAGATCACCACCAACAAAGCAAGGCTTGATCGCCCAGGTGAGGTGGTGTGCGGAGTCGAGTCGTGTGGCGGGTGTGCATGCCCTTGTGGGAAAGGAAGTGGAAGAGTTAAGTAGTTCTGCCTGTTGAATTAGCCTGGTGTGGGTGGGTGCCAGATACCCTGGGCTAAGGACATTCAATGAGGATGTTAAAAGCCTATTACACTGGTGTTGCTGAAAATTTATTTGTTGAAGAGGCTGGTGGCCTAGATCCTGGCATGGCTTTAAAAATATTACAGTGAAGCAATTCTTGTGATGTTAAGCGAGTGTGTGAGCTCATTTTGGAGTCTTTTGACTTGGACTCTCTCTCGCTTTGGTTAATGAGTGTGGAAAAACAGCCCAGAAGTTAATTTAAAATCAGACTTTGTTTTCAATTAAAAATTGTCCATGATGGGTCATTGGATGTGAATGCAAAAAGAAAAAAAATGTCCAGTGATAGCTTTTGTAAAATTCCGAGTAAATCATGTGTCTTTTTGAGGATAAACATTTGTTATTGAAGTTCCCTCATTTAAATAGCTTTTTGGGGGGCATAATTTGGATTTGTAGCATAATTCTAATTTGATTTGACGTACAAGATACAAATCTTCTTTATGTGAAAGTATATGACATCTTAAAGTGATATTTTTACAGAGTGATTTTCCAAAAGATTTATTTAGACCAGGTCCATCATTTCCAAGTGAAGTGAAATCTTTATTCATTAACTGTAAAGTTTCTGTGGGCTTCCACAATTGCTAACATGTATAATTAATTCAAAACCCATGCTTTTCACACTTCTTTTTGAAAAGTAGTTGCTTTCTGTAAACTTGACCTTTCTGTTGTTTCAATGGCCTGTTTATTCTTTTCAGAGTTAAAAAGGTCATTTTCAGGTTTATGGAATTTTCCATGTAAATTTTGGGATCTGCATGCTGGGGTGATTTTCTGCTTTATATTTATTGCGGTACTTTTTGTGTCCTTGGGTTTAAACGAATACAGGTTATGAAAACCTACCCTGCCACATTGTGGCTGCTGCCTTTGTATCTCACAGATACACCTGTTTCATTTGGGCTTCATCAGTTTCACGTCAAGAGTTGTGACTGAAGCTTAAGTAAATATGTTTATTTTGTGCCGGCTGCTGGCTGGAAAGTCTACTGTAGCAGCTGAAGGGTGTGTGTTTTTTTGGGGGGGGGCGGGGGGGGTACTCTTGCTGGGTGAACCATCATTGTGACAGGTAAATGGAATTCGTCAATAAAGCTTGAATTGCGTCCCCCTTCATTTCTTCCGAGCTGTTGAATGTAGGGATTGTCTTGCTTGGAACCCTATTGATTAGGTCACAGCCTGGTCTGCAGAAAACAGAGCTGCCCAGGGGCCATCTCACTGCAGGGGATTTGCCGAAGCCCCTGTGAAAGGACCACATGGGGTCCGCGATTACCTTATGAACAGGAATCAGTTCAGGGAGCAGATACATATTAAGGACCTATTAACTTCTACAGGCTTCTCTTTGACTTGAGAAGCACTGGAGAGTGAAGATTCCTTCACACATAATGAAAGGAAATTATTGCCAAAGCCACCGAAGGTGCATCTTGCCATATCTCTGTGGGTGCCTCTGTTGAGTTGCAAATTTATTTCCTGCTGGGGCATCTGCTTAGCTTTAGAAGTCCCATTTAAGGTCATGAAAAGGGAATTTGGAAATGATTACATAGTGTTGGCTTTTTTTTTTTTTTTTTTTCAGCTTTGAGTCTCCATAGCATTTGGACAGAATTAGCGAACTCCCCTCATTAAAAAAATGATCTTTATTTCCAATAAAAAGGCAGTATATAGTCATTGTAGAAGCCTGGGAAAATGTAAACTACTGGAAAGGAGAAAACATGACTAAAATTTTACTACCTAGAACCCTGGTGAACTTTTCCCCTAACTCATATGTACCTGCACAAAGATGCCTTTCCAGTGCCAGGTGCGGGATTTGTAAAAATGATGAACAGAAAACATTTACTGAACGTGTAGTTTTGTTGACTGCCTTCTGCTATATCCAGAACATTTTCTGGTTGGTAGGTATTCTTAAAGAATGTGATTTTTAGAATATAGAGTGCCAGCACAGAGACAGACTAATAGAAGTTGAGCATCTTTATCTGAAATACTTGGGACTAGAAGTGTTTTGGATTTATTTGGATTTTGAGATATACGCATTATACCAGTTGACATCCCACATCCAGAAATCTGAAATCCACAATGCCCAGCGCACCATGTTGGTGCTCCAAAGTTTCAGATTTTGCAGCATTTCAGATTTTTTGATTTGGGACACTCATCCTGTTTGTATAGTAATACTCAATTTTTGAATATGTAAGTTCCTTGTTTGTGTGTATCTCTGTTGCCTTAGCGTAAATAACAGGAAGTGAAATTGCTGGGTGAAAGGTAATGAAATTTTTAAAAGCTGTTCTTTTTTTTTGTTTGTTTGTTTTTATGAGAACTAGACATCCCATCAGCAGTTTGTGAGTGCCCATTTCTCTGCATTCTTGCTGCCACTGAATATTTGGATTTAGAAACAGAAATCAAAATGATGGCAGATTTATGAGTGGAAAATACTAATTCAGTCAGGGAACTATCATAATTGAAACAGTGGTTGTTAGTTTTGTGGCTGTGGTTCTGGTTGTGTGTTTAAAAATTCTGATTTTTATAACCCAACTTTTTGGGATCATATTCTCTGATTTAACTTACCTTTTCTCGATCTTTGTCCCCAGTGCATATTGAGGCTTATTTCTTCACATTAATTAATTGTTTAAAAAGCGTCTCTTGTATGCCAGATAAAGGCTAATGAGGGATGGACAGACTGTAAAACATGCTTTCACTCTTCATTTCATTGGCCAGATGCTACTTCGTAAAATCAGAAGTAGTTGAATTTTTCGTTTTCGCTGCTATCAGGCTTGTCAAATTAAATTTAAAAATGTAATTTTGCTGTTGAAATCAAGAATATAAGTTCTCTTTTCCTTCCCAAGTATCCCTATGAGTTAATTCACTCACCTGTGTCCATAGTGTATAATCAGCAGTGTAGTGATTGGATCCAAACAGATAGACTGTTTCATGGGATCATCTGAGAACACATTATCAAGGATGTGATACTAGGCAATAAGCAGTTCCTTGGCAGCTATTAATTCATGTTAAGAACTTGGAAAAGAGTATGAGGCGGATAAAAGGCACAGGGTTCTGTTCACAATGCAGTTGGGAAAAGAACAGCTTAAAAAAAACAGCGCTAAGCAAACCAGTTTAAAGTTGCTGACTTTAGGCAATAGATTCAATAATTAAATATTAAAATGAGATTTGTATTGAGGCAGAGGGTTGCATTTCAACAGAGCAGGCCCAGATGTTGAGATTACTATATTGATTTAATTATGCCAAGATGCTTTCATTGAGCCCTTGGAAAAAAGAACACTCATTCAAAAATTGACACATATTTTATTCTTCATTAGCTTAGTGTTGCATACTTACATAATTCTGGTATCTCATAAAAACTGCAATATAGAGTCTGATTTACCAATAAAATGATGAATGTGGAGGAAGAATGCAGGAAAAAAATCGCTACATGTTTTCTTCAGAATGTCGGGGGGGGGTGAAAATTCTCAAATAATTATGGTGCACAAACTTTCTGCCTTCCTGCACCATGGGGAACTCTTCTAAAGGCAGCAGTACCAAATGAATGCATCTTTAATCATCTGGAAGTAAGAAATCCATTATTTTTCTAAACCAGACAGTAGTTGTCTGTTTTAATGGAACAGTTGGTTGATTACAGCTCTTCAGGCCTTTATTTGCTGACTGCCCATAGATATTTGAGTTCCAGCTTCCAGGATTGTCATAAGTGAGTCAGAGTCCAAGAATTTAGAGTAGGAATCTGAGGTTGATGAATTTACTTTGGTGTAGAGAGTTTAACTGAGGGAAGTAGATTTCCTTATACAGATTCTCACAACCGGTGTGCTTACAGCTTGCTGGCTGCTTAGAGACGGACTCATCTACAAATGCAACCTACCAGATAGAGCAAAGCTCAGGACCTGCCAGTATTCTCTTTTTTAGTAGAGAGAGCAATGCTCACCTCAGTTGAAGGGAATACGAGTCTCTTACAGATGTCTTGACTGTCTTTTACAGTAACCAAATGTATGTTGGTTTTATAGAAATCAGAGTTATGTTTTAATTGTAGAATACCATATGTAGAAAGCATTATGCAGGTTGAAAATAACCACTGGTTAAGTGCTTTGAAAAGTTAAAGGAACCTCTGAGATGCAGTCAAAGGAAAAGTTAACCAGAGTCAAAAAATACTGACTGCGTAATCCTTACCTAAGGAATATAATCAGAAACACTAAAGCAACCCCAGGCCACATATGCTGGTTAGAAACTCTGCTGTGAATTTTAGAAAATCTTAGTGAAGATGTTTCATTTGAGATAGGAATTTTTAACCTTCATATATTTTATGGTGTTACTGAAAAATAGAGGGGTTTGGCTAAGTTGCTCTTATTGTGGTGGTGGTTTAACGTTCTCTACGGTTCCGTATCCTATCAGCTATTGGACATTTTATTTAAGGATATAGAAATGTTTCGTTACAGCTTATTCATTCATGAAATGTAAGACTTATTCTTCCTTTCCCTGTGAGAAGAGCCTTTGCCTTTCTGGAATGCTTTGTTTGATCTCAGTGTAATGCCCTTGGAGTGCCCTTCCTGTCATGAAAGAAAGGTGAGGTGAATCAAAGTAACGCCAGATAAGGCAGGAATGTGCGCTCCTGGTTACTCCTGTGTCACTCTGGCTTTGAGACTGTGGCTGTATACTTTACCTTTCTTGCCCAAGGGATTAGCGAGGGCACTGGCTGACTTTCTTCCCTTTAGATAATGTTTCATGCACAAATCAGACTTGCCTGCTTCCTTCCTGAATTCATGACTTGGTTGTGGCATAAAAGGAGTTGCCGAAATAAGAAGAGATGAGCATTTCCAGTTAGTCAAAACTAAACAGAGTAGCAAATGAAAACCACGCCTCCTCTGTTTAATATGTTACGCCCTATCCAGAGGTGACCGTTTTTGTTTAAATTTGTTAAATTAAAACAATTGTTACCCTGTTTGTATTACGTGTCTGAAAGTGTTTCACTGTGCTGCGTTAATACTGGTGGGGTAAAGGGAGTTTGGGTTTTTTTTTTTTTCCCTCTTATCCCCCAAGTTAGTGATTAACATCCAGTCATTCACTTGTGAGAGGAATGTTAGTTGCTTTAGAAAATACATGGTAATTATTTAAAGTGTCCTAAAGAAATGTGGTAGCTGTTTCATTCTGTTGAAAACGGGCCGAGCGTCAGTTCCATTTTCTGTGCATGGCAGTGTTCGGGCGGAGGCAGGTGCATCCCGGGGAGGAGCACAGTTCATGGTCCTACGTCTCCTACGAGAGCCGACAGGAAATCTGCAAGAGTACCTTCAGCCCCTCGCAGATACTGTCCTGGCCCTTCTAAAGCATCCCCTTCCCAGGGTCCAGCACGGAAGCACTCCTATAACTGTGCAGTGAGACCTTCATCTGGGATTGGATATAGTTATAATTGGAGAGGAGATTCAGTCTAGATGAGACGATTAAACAACAAGAGAATGTAGTTTAATATTGTCAAATACCCATAGTTCATAATGACCTGAGTTGGCAGTTAAGACTCCTATGTAATGAAGAATTTCTTACAGATTTAATACATTCTTAAATACAGTAAACAAGAAAAATCCTGGCTTATTTTATTCAGTAGGTAAGCATATGTTTATAGTTCTATTTAAACTGTTAATTTACTTATTCAATTATTTGGATAAGTGAATTATGTAATGCCTGTGTGTTGGCTCGGTGGATTTAATGAAGTAGCAATCTTACTGTTTTGTAGCTATTGAAAAACAGCTGAAAAACTCAGTTTTGTTAACTATTACATGCAATGTTTTGTGATTAAAAAAAAATTCCCTCTGAATCTTTTTGGAAGGATCACTGAGGGAATTTAACCACTTTTACATTTTTCATAGGGATCTCTGATACCCAAAAGGATTAATAATAACTCCAGAGGGAGCAGAATGAAGCTCTCCATTCTGGTGATCCTTGATGGGTCCATGACCACAGGGAGAAGTCGTGTATTGGACTAGTCTAGAACCCTAGGAGGAGGTTGTGGGGAAATGAGAGTGGGAGGGAGAAGAGTGGCAAGTGTGCCTGCTCCAGGGGCCGCAGGTCAGCAGCTGCAAGTCCTGCTGTAGGTCCTGGAAGGAAAAAGGCTTTGGAGAAATCACGAGTGGCCTTTGAAAGCAAAACTTTCGGAAAATTTCACAGAGGCAAGATTTGAGAGGGTGAAAGAAGGCTTGGGTGAATGCCCTTCCATGCATTCATTCATCTGGTAGTTGACGTTTATTGACCGCCTCTAGAATGCCAGAACCTGCTCTAGGTGCCCAGGACTCCACAGTTTGCAAGGTAGACGGTGCTGTGCCCTTCTTGGAGCCCAGGACTCCACAGTTTGCAAGGTGGATGGTGCTGTGCCCTTCTTGGAGCTATTCTTCTGGAGAGAGGAGACACGAGTCAACACAGAGATGAGGAGAAAAGAACGCACAGTTTCAGCTGAGCGGTGCTGTGGAGGAAAACAGGGCATGTGTTAAGGATTTTTGCAGGGTGTGCATGGCCTCCTTAGATGGAGTGGTCACCTGAATGACAAGAACGAAGAGCCAACTATTTGAAGACAATTTTTAATCAGAGGGAATAATAGCCCTGAAACACAAGCTTGTATGGTGGAAGGTCTGGGATGAGGTAGTTAAGGTAGGTGCGTGGCCAGGACATGAGGCTGTGGTCTGTGGCTGAAGGGAATGGTAGGAATACCAGGGCAGTCAGTCCAGGGCCCCTTACACGGGAGTGACCCTGCCTTACCACAGGAGAGGACTCCGTTTTGTGGCACACACTCTTCCTTTTTCCTGCTGCTGACTGTCCTGCTGTCCTGGAGTCCCATCGCTAGGTTTTATCCCAGTCCAGGCTTTCTGCCTGGTTCCCCCTTGGGGCCCTCAGTGGTGTTTGTAGTCACTGATGACATGGAGAAAAGAAGGAAAATCCTCCTCTGATCTGCCGGGCTGCCTCTTTAAGTGGCCATGTCCTGCCAGACCCAGTGTCCTCTTTGCTAACAGACTTTCTTTTGGATGTAAACCCTTGAAATAAGATTGCTGTTTTAACTACTTTAAAAACAAATCATTAAAAGTTGTTTTCTTTCAGAAGCATGTTTTTAGTTCAAAAAGTCTGTCTTCATGCATACGCATCATGTTAGAAACATTTACAACTTTCTTTTTTTTTTTTTTTTTTGAGACAGAGTCTCGCTCTTTCACTCAGGCTGGAGTGCGGTGGTGTGATCTTAGCTCACTGCAACCTCCACCTCCCGAGTTCAAGGAATCCTCCTGCCTCAGCCTCCCGAGTAGCTGGGATTACAGGCACATGCCAGCACACCTGGCTAATTTTTGTATTTTTAGTAGAGATGGGGTTTCCCCATGTTGACCAGGCTGTTCTCGAACTCCTGACCTCAGGTGATCCACCCGCCTTAGTCTCCCAAAGTGCTAGGATTACAGGCGTGAGCCACCGCGCCCGGCTAACATTTACAACTTTTAGCAATTCAGAAGATAAGTAATAATATTTTGAAAGAAATCTTAGGAGGTGCCTGATTCCTAGTCCTGAATCTGGGTGGCAACCTAGGTTTTCTTCCCAGCTGTTAGATAAGGAGATCATCCAACGTCCCTTATCGCCTCCATATGACAACTAATAATTTTATATATTTGGTGACTAAACACGAACTATTATGCTTTACTTTTATTTTGGTAATCATGATATCTTCTAGCAATGACTTCTTTTGAACTTGGTTAGTCTTTACTTATAGATCCGTAACCAGTTCTGAGAAAGTAGTTGTGACAAAATGTAACGAAAATAAGTGGGGAAAGATAGTTATGGAGGCAAAGGTGGACTAATGTTCCTTTCTGTGTCCCAGAAATTCCTAATTTGACTTTTCCTGGTTTTTATTGTCCTTTCATGTTTGAAATGAAACTTTGAAACGTTTTATAAAAGTAGCTCTTCATTTGGGGCTGGAGGGAAAGTTTGTGGCAGACCTCACTGCCACTTCAGCGGTATTGATGCATACTGTTTCAGGTTAAAAATGCTTTACGCTGTCAGTTGAAATAACTCATCGATGTGTCTCAGTGAACAACGTTGCTGTGGATTCTGACTTTCTTCTGTGCTGCACGTATGTGTGTATTTCACTTTAGAGCACTGCTAATGCCGGTCCCTTGTCTTGATAAGGAATGTCACCTGGGCTCTACAATAAGTGATTCTAAGTTCTCTTCCGAACACCGCTTCCATCATCGTGTGATTTCTGTTAGTAGCCAGTTTCTGTCTTGAATAATAGCATCCTTGGAAATACAGAGGTTAGGGATTAAGGTGTCATACCTCTTTAAGAATCTTCTTAAATCTTGGTTTTGCTTTAGTTTCTCAAACATCAAAATAGATTCAATAGATTAAATACCTTTATTTTTATAGTAATTCTTATAACCCATATATCTCCCACTTTTAAATAAGAGGAATAATAAATATTGATATAAATAGTAAATATAGAGAGGTATAATAAATTGCCAAAGTCACACATTTATTAAAATGCTGAGTTGGGACAGTTAACAGGCATGCTGTAAGGATGGTTGATTATAAGGCCAATACTTTGAAGTAACAGACTGAGAATAAAACCTACATTCACTCTTGTTTCCCTCTCCAATTCCGAAATAATTCGGTGATACTCTTGACCAGTGATTGAGATGTGTGCCTAGGTCAAAGTCACTGATACCATGTTAAGGTAAGGCCGATTATTTTTTAAGCTTTCTTAGGGTTTGGTTGGCAGATCATTAACTCTGAGATAGTATCATTGACTTTTGCTTTTCCTAATGTGAGCCATTTCCCTCACCAATCAGAAAAGCCGATTTCAGTCTTATGAGATTTGTGTTAATGCAAGCGTGCACCTCTCTACTAGGTGCCACTCTCGAACGTAGACTGAGATTTCAAGAGATTTGGGTTCCAGTTATGGCTTTGATTCAAGCTCTGCAACCTAGTAACTTGTGAAGTCATTTATTCCCTGGACTTCCTTGTCTGTAAAATTAGAGGGTTGCACTAGATGATCTTTACTGCTCTCTTTTAACTCTTGTTCTTTGCTGATTCGTTGGTTTGATTATTTAAGATAACCAAACACCATGCTTTAGAACTTACGGTGGTCTTGGAGCTTTATGAGGTAGTGTTCATGTAAGAGGTCGGCTGCCCACCACATGTGCCTTTGTAAAGGTATTTGGGAGTGTTTTTCTTCCCTTCCAGAGGGGCAGGGGAGGAGTGGTGCCTGAAGAGAGAAATGTTACAGAAACGGTCGTGTGTAATTAAAGCCTATTCAGTGTTTTCACAGTGGTGTCACCAACAATGATAAACTCAGTCATAGTCAGATTTCATGTTTGTGTTATATGCTATATTACTGGAATTTGTTAGTTTTATCTTATTGAAGAACATAATAGGATGGCTTAGCCTTTGCTTCTCAACACTGGTACCCCTTTGCGTGTCTCTTTTGAACAGATTGTGTTAGTCTGTTGAGTTGTATTTCTTTTTTAAGGACAATAATTAAAGCCAGGGATATGCCAGCATTATTTCAAAATAGGCTTATCAAGGGAGCATCTGTCAAATGTCTTCAGTATTAGGTTAAATTAATCGAGGCTTTAAATTTGCAGTCGTGTTGGGATATTTGGGATATTTCCCTGTTCCAATTAGGTAATGAAAGCATTGGAAGACACTCATGGTCTTCTATTAATGGGTACAGTTAGCAGTAAACAGGTTAGTTTACTGGGCCTGTGAATTATGGTTGATTGAGAATTTATAAAATTATGAAGTAGTTCTTTAGATGGCACGTTATAAAAAATTCTTGAGTTTCAGATTTTAACAAATAGCCTGCTACAGCAAACCAACCAATGTAGTAAAATAAGTGGGAAAAAATATACGATTGCTTCACCACCTCTTTCATAAATTGCTGAATGAAAAGGCAATCTCAATCCAAGAGTTTAGCA
Organism: Homo sapiens; assembly: GCF_000001405.40. Taxonomy (NCBI): domain Eukaryota; kingdom Metazoa; phylum Chordata; class Mammalia; order Primates; family Hominidae; genus Homo; species Homo sapiens. The sequence goes on along the minus strand of NC_000004.12, from coordinate 186,679,758 downwards.
CAAAGTCATTTTTCAAAAATCATCTTCTAAACTGTAGACTTGATAACATGCTTTTCCTTTTGAACCCATATATCTGATACTGTCATGAGCTGGAAATATTTGAGCTTTAGGAATGGCAACAGTGTTGTAAGTACTATGCTATGTTTTTTTTTTTCCCATGTTGAATTTGTATTTAGGTTTTGGAAAAAGCAGACAGTTTTCTAAATAAGATGTGAGATACTTCCTGCTTATGGATAGAAAACAAACTCAGTTTCCTGAATTAGACTCTCAGAACATGCTTCTGACACCAGATGTGTGGGGTTCCCCCAACCCCCATTTTTTTTTTTTTTTTTTTTTTTTTTTGAGACAGAGTCTCACTCTGTCACCCAGGCTGGAGTGCAGTGGTGCGATCTCAGCTCACTGCAAGCTCCGCCTCCCAGGTTCACGCCATTCTCCTGCCTCAGCCTCCCGAGTAGCTGGGACTACAGGCTCCCGCCACCACGCCCGGGTAATTTTTTTGTATTTTTAGTGTTATTTGTTTAGTGTTAGTGTTTTTTTGTATTTTTAGTGTTTTTGTATTTCTGTGTTTGCCAGGATGGTCTCGATCTCCTGACCTCGTGATCCACCCGCCTCGGCCTCCCATAGTGCTGGGATTACAGGCGTGAGCCACCGTGCCCAGCCCAGCCTAAATATTTTTTTAAACAAAAGGTACTTTTACTGTTCCAATCACTGAAGAAATTACAGGGCACATGTAATTCCTTTTTGTGACTGCCCAGTATTCCATCGAGTATGTGTACCACATTTTCTTTATCTAGTCTATCACTGATGGGCATTTGAATTGGTTCCATGTCTTTGCTATTGTAAATAGTGCTGCAGTAAACATATATGTGCATGTGTCTTTATAGTAGAATAATTAATATTCCTTTGGGTATATACCAAGTAATGGGATTGCTGGGTCAAATTGTATTTCTGGTTCTAGATCCTTAAGGAATCGCCACACTGTCTTTCCCAATGGTTGAACTAATTTACATTCCCTTCAACAGTGTAAAAGCGTTCCTGTTTCTCCGCAGCCTTGCCATTCCCCTGTAATTTCTTATATGCAGGCCTATGTATATATATTTATGTATGTAATATGTATATAAAAGTAATAATATATTAATAACATATATAATACATAATATCAATAATATACAATAATTGATATTAATGACAATATATGTAATATATTTACATAGCTATACATGTATAAAATAAAGTGATAATAGAATATATTTGTCTATAATGACATTGTATAATGTTCTATTACATTAATTTACAATAATAAATATTTATTTATTATTATATTATAATAAATTAATACAGTAGGCCAGGCTGGCCTCCACCTCCTGGGCTCAAGGATCCTACTAGATTGGCCTTACAAAGTGCTGGGATTACCAGCATGAGCCACTGCGCCTAGCTATTTATTTATATTTTTATCTTCTCCGATACGTATATTTTAGTAACCACCCTGCTACTTAATTACAACTAGTGTGTTATAATGAACACTTGTGTGTTTTTGAATTTGTTTTTTCTAGTGGTTAGTTTGAATATATGCTTTTCAAATACCATCAACTGCTTGATATCCCTGTGATGTTTATTTTCATATTCTACATCTTCTGTTATCACTTTATTTTATTAATGGTTAGTATTAAAGAAGAAAATGTCACTTTAAAATGAAATGTTTATTATTACTTTGTTAAAGAACAGCTCTCTTAATGAACAACTTTGCTCTCAGAGAAAGTTAAGGACAGAGATAATATAAGAACTACTGCAGTTATTCTCTATTTTTCATTTTTTCTTGTTTCAGTTCTGTGCTTTAATTTTTAGTAATGTAGATACATGACAGTTATTTGAGACTTGCCAATCTATTCTTATATAGTCTTTTAATGTCTCCAGCAAGATTTGTCTTCATAGTCTCTAAAGTGATGAATTAGCAGTAATCCGTTTTCCTCCTGTTTTAATTCTCTTTCAAAGTACTTTATGAGATTTGTTTCCTGTTTGCATAAAATAGTGCATATTAAATACTTCATTTGTCTGCCCCACAGTTACCACTAAGAAATCTTGGTTAAGATTGTTCAGTTTCTGAGCATATACTGGGTATTGTAGGAGGTTTGTTGAGTTTTGATTGCTTACCTCTCAATTTTAGAATCCTGATACATACAGGTGTGCCCTCTTTTGTGATTTCAAAACATATATAAAATTAGAAATCTTCCGTTATATGATACACCGTTCTTCATTAAAAAAAAAAACCCTGAATTTAGAAAACGGGAGTTATGGGATTAATATGCATTTACAAATTGATGTTTTGCCTTAACGAAGATTCTTAGCCAGGTTTAACATCAAATCTTGCAGTGCATTTAGATTATTAGATAGGGCTGTTTGATTTAATATGAAGCGTTAGCATAAAAGGACATATCTGAAGTTTCTCCTAGGTTATCAGTGTCCGTGAATCACTTCCTGATTAGGTTAGCTTGACCTAACTTAAGCTTCTGAGTTCTTACAGGTATTGGTTTTGGCAACAAATTGGGTATTAGAAGTAGCTGAACACTGCTTGTAAGTAGTTCGTCTTCAGTTTGCAATTTTTAAAGTTTAAAGATTTGAATTAAAATTTAAGAACTGCTTTGTAATTGAAATAAAATTTAATAGAAAAAGAAGTTTCTAAAAATTTGATAAAAGTGGAGGCTGGAGTAAAGGAAAATGCTACTTGGGAATGGATGGGCAGGGGGGCAGCTTATACATACAGTCCATGACCACAGGGACCAAAAAGTCAATGGGACTTTTATTTGCTTCAGTCAGCATTCAGTTCATGTAAAACACACCTTCCTTTTTGTAGAACTGAATTGCATATGATTCTTAGGGTTTATTTTGAGAGCAATAGTTGCGGTTTTCTGTATTTATAATCTGTTTACAGGTGCCTAAACAAACCTTAGAAACAGGAAAACTGGCCCTTCCACCAGCTGTGTGCATTCTAGGACTCCAGAGACAACTGTCTCTTTGGAGAGAGTTCTGTTTATACAGAGACCAATGTAGTGCTTGACTGTAACAGGAGGAATCTCATTCCATTCCTTCTTTAGCAAGGGAGTGCTTTAAGGAGTTTGGCATGAGGCTTAGTCATTTCAACTGACATTTTAATCATTGAATAGTGCCTTGTCTTCTTGCTGGAACACACTTTGCAGTACAAGAGCTTTAGGCAGTTGTTATTCAGCCTATGAAAACCTGTAAGTCACTCTTAACTTTTAAAGGTTGCTTTTACATTTCTGAAATTCCTTAAGTTCTCCTTATATGCTTCAGATTAACCCTTTATACACGTTGGTTTAAAAAATATTTTTATATAATACATGTATATTTCTTCTAGAAACATTAGAAAATATTAACAGGAAGAAGATAAAATTAACTCATCCGTATAACTCGCCATTTTTCTTGCATATCCTCTTCTCCCTGTTTTTTTTTGTTTTTTTTTTTCACAAAATGAATTGACATTTATTTTTTTAAAATCACTTTATTACATGTTGCATTATAAAATTCAAGCAGGAACTCATAACTGAAGAAAGGATTTGTTTGGTCTTTGTGTAAAAGATACTTATACAATAAATGGAAAATAATTATTAAAGTACCTAGTTGTTAAAATGCTGTTTCCCTTCTCAAACAGGTGCCCTTCTTTTCCTCTCTCTCTGCTGGTCCAAGGAATAAGTTACTCTTTTATTTAACTGTCTTCTCATAGGACCTCATTTTGCTCTTCTTTTTGTTTCTTTTGCACCTTGTAGCATACCTGGCATGTGGTAGGAACTCATTCTGTGTTGAATGAATTAAAACAGGTGTAAATCAATAAAGCCAGGTTCCAGATTAAGATCCAAGCCAGTACAAACAACATTAAGTCCCTTGTTGAAAAATAAGGTACAGCTTTTAAAAATTAATTGTGTGTGTGTGTGTGTGTGTGTGTGTGTGTGTGTGTGTGTGTTTTAGACAGGGTCGTGTGTATGTGTGGGTGTGTGTGTGTTTTAGACAGGGTCTCACTCTGTCACCTGGGCTGGAATGCAGTGGTGTGGTCATGGTTCACTGCAGCCTCTGTGATCCTCCCACCTCAGCCTGGAGCTACAGGTGTGTGCCACCATGCTTGGCAAATTTTTTGTATTTTTAGTAGAGACAGGGTTTTGCCATGTTGCCCAGCCTGGTCTAGAACTCCTGGGCTCAAGTAATCCTCCCACGTCAGCCTCCCAGAGTGCAAAGTGGAGAAATTACAGGCATGAGCCACTACATCTGGCTGGTTTTTCTTTCTTTTTTTCTTTTTATTTATTGCCCAGGATGGAGTGCGGTGGCGCAATCTCAACTCACTGCAACCTCCGCCTCCTGGGTTCAAGCGATTCTCCTGCCTCAGCCTCCTGAGTAACTGGTACTACAGGGCACACCACCATGCTGAGGCTAGTTTTTTTTTTTTCTTAATGAGATTTCTTTCCTAAAGAGGGTTTTTCCTTAAAACGTTTCTGTTGATCTGCCACAAAACTTTTACAGCTGATTTACACTTCAGAGCTCTACATCTGCCACCCACCACTCTAGTTTTTTTATAGTTAATAACAGTATTCAAGACTCAGTTATAATATTCTCGTAGTTAGATTCAGTATTGTTAGTATAATGCCATATACCTACTTACACCTAGTATATTTCAGTTAATTTAGCCTATGCAGGTTTTTTGTTTTTGTTTTTGTTTTTGAGACAAGGTCTCACTCTGTTGCCCAGGCTTGAGTACAGCAGCATGATCTCGGCTCACTGCAACCTTGACCTACCAGGCTCAAGCGATGCCCCTGCCTCAGGCACCCAAGTAGCTGGGACTACAGGTGCCTGCCACCATGCTTGGCTAATTTTTGTATTTTTTGTAAAGACGAGGTTTCGCCATGTTGTCCAGGCTGTACTCGAACTCTTGGGCTCAAGTGATCCACCCACCTCAGCCTTCCAAAGTGTTGGGATTACAGGTGTGAACCACTGTACCTGGCCGCCTTTTAATACATAAAGAAGATATGATAAACACAGTAACTTCCTAAATAGAGAGCAGTGTTGGATTTTTTTTAATATCCTTTTTTCTTTTTTATCCTAAATGGGCCTGGTCACACGGAGTTCTTGAACTCTATACAGGGATCTGTTTGGCCTTCCTTTAGTTGTTATAACTTAAGTTCCATCGCTCCTCCCACCACAGGCAAGTGCTGGTCCACCTTGGTGGATGTGTTGCCTGTTTTTCCACTAACAGTGATTGATTGATGAGAGTCAGACCTGGCTGTTGAATCACAACTCTGCATCTCATGGAGATAGTACCCTCTGGTTTTATGTGTGGACTCTGGAGCCAGTCAGCCAGGTTTGGGGTTCTGGCTTCTCTGCTACCAAAGTTGGATAACTGAGGATGACTTCCTTAACTTTTCAGGCTAAGTTGTTAGATGTAAAGCTCTAAGATGACTAACTGGTAAGGTAATCCATTAATTCATTGGTTACTTTATTACGGAGTAAATAACTTCAGACCAGTGACTTTTGAGCCTTAAGCCTCTGCTTCTGAATATGGAAAATGGGGAGAGACCACTGGGCTAATTGTGAAGATTAAACAATATGGCATATTAAAGCTTTTACTAAGTCTGCATCCAGTCCGTATAAGGGGAGAAGAGTAATCAACACTGAAATTGCGTATCTTCTGAAATTTGAAACAAACTTCCAGAAGCATTGCCATTGGTAGGTAAAATATATTCTCTGTATCTTAATGCTTCTGAAGGCTGTCTTGTGGATGTAGTTTTATCCAATTAACAGGTGTCCAGATGATAAGTTTTGATACCCAAGGGTGATCCTCTTTAACAGTAGAGCTTATCCACAAAAGCCGTCATTGACAATATCAGTGATTCTGACAGGGAAGTCAGAACTTGGAATCATTCCTCAACAAAGCGGGACAACATGGTTTAGCAGAGCTTACCCTGGGAATGACTCTTTGCAGAGCTAAAGAAATCCCTGGGCTTGAAACATGATGCTTAAAATCTGATTATGTACTTAATTAATACTACGTTTTAGTAAGTTTGCAAGTCAGAAAGCTTCCTCAGCTAATTTTGAAGTTATTGCAGCAATTTTAATTAAAAGAATTGATAGGTATATGTTTTAATTAAAATGATTTAAATAGGCAATCTAAATAATGCAAACAGTGACAGTTGTGTTTTTGCTTTTCCTTTTGTCATTGACTTATGATCTCATTCTGGGCAATGTGATTATAGAATTTCCTAGACCTAAAGCTTTGTGTAAGTAGTTACCTACATAAATACTTCAGTGTTAGTTATCGAAGCTGCCAGAATATCCATTGTCATATATCTACTCAAATGAAACAGAAATACTTAAAAATGAAAGTACATCTAAGACATAGACAGAAAAATAAAACAGGGAGGTTCTGTACATAAAACCTTCTGATACTGGGCTGCAGGTATTGTTTTAATTGACTTTTATTGTATACATTTTAAATATAGATTTTTAAATCCATGGTTACAGAAATTTACAGATTAAAAAAGTTTCTGTTCACTGGATGGATTTATCTGCTGATCACCTTGTTTATTTCAGACCTTTTTTCTCTGCACATATAATTGTGTATGTGTGTTTAAAAAATTTTTCTGAACAGCAGTAGCATCATATTTTATATACTTTTATACGTTTATATTTTTCTCTCAATTTCTGTATCACTGACATTCTTCTGTGTAATTAATATGCATGTCTTCTTTTTTGAAGCTGTGTATGTACCATCATATAATAAGTCCATTCCTTTTCCCTCCCGATACAATGAAATTCGCTTTAGCCCAGATTTTCAAATGTTGGGAAAACGGCATCTGGCAGCTACATTTCTGGATTGCATTCAAGTCACAACTTCTCTGGTGAAATTTGCAGGTTGTGTTCAGTTGCCCCTTAATCTTCCCTCCAATTGAAGGACAGGCAGGGACTCCAAACATTTAGCACGATTGTCTGGAACCTGACTTTTAGGGTTGAATCCCAGTTCCCCACTAATGGACTGTGTGACTTCTGGCAGGTTGCTTGTACTGTCTGTTTCCTTTCTGTGAAATAGGATATGATAACGTTACCTACTTCTTAGGGTTGCTGTAAGGAGTAAATGAGCTGATGTATAAGAAGTTCTTCTCTGCTATATCTTGAGTCCATGTATGCTGTTATGTTGCCATCCCTGTCAGTCATCATCAGGCCACTGAGTTTGCTCAAAATACAAATGGCTTCTCACAAAATGGCACTCATGGCACATCACTGGTTTTGAAAGATTGGGTCATGGTGGTCAGTGTCATGGCTTCAGTTAAACTGGAGAGAAAGAAATTATACATGATTTACTGTATTTTTATCTGTAAGGGGGCAGAGAGGCACCTGTACGGTACACTAGTATACTGCCTAGCAGTTTGATTGGCCCACGAGGGATGCTTCTTGGTTGACTTACTTTCTTTTACTTATTTTGACTTTCTTTTATTATCAAAAACATAAAATATTTATAGAAGTGGTCTCTAGCAATTAAAATTTTATTTATTAATATATGTATACACACATAATAGAACATTGTTTTTAAAAGTACTAGAACTTGTTTTTTTCCTTCTTCTGCAAAATAAACCATTAAACATTGGTCTTTACATATTCCTTATGTTTTATGATTAGCAACACCAGTGAAGTAAATAGTAATATCTTATAAACTTCAGGTGAAAGGAAAGTAACAAATGTTGATTTTAGTTCTGAGAGCATTTCCTGTGTCATTCCCTGAGAAAGTAGACTGAATAGCCATTTTAGAATCTTAAATGCCTTCAGCCCAATAGACTCCTCCTTTTTCATTTCTTGTTCTATTTTAGTCCACAGTAGTAAATAACATAAATTTGCCAACTGATGGCAGAAGCAAGAACATTAAATGTATATTTACACACACACACACCACACACACACACGATCTACTGTATTGTTTCTAAAAGAATTCAAAGGTTTCGATTTATGAGATAATACTGCATGTCAAACTAGTATCGTTATTTTTATTTTTATTTTTATTTTTTTTTGAGACGGAGTTTCGCTCTTGTTGCCCAGGCTGCAGTGCAATGACACGTCTTGGCTCACCGCAACCTCCACCTCCTGGGTTCAAGTGATTCTCCTACCTCAGCCTCCCAAGTAGCTGGGATTACAGGCGCCTGCCACCACGCCCAGCTCATTTTTTGTATTTTTAGTAGAGACGGGGTTTCAACATGTTGGGCAGGCTGGTCTTTAACTCCTGACCTCAGGTGATCTGCCAGCCTCGGCCTCCCAAAGTGCTGGGATTACAGGCATGAGCCACCATGCCCGGCCCAGTTATTTTAAAGAAAGGCTAAATTGCAGAAATTTTGCTTTTTATATTAAACTCGTTTTACAGCTTTTCTTTGTATATAATAGGCAAAACAAGTAATATTTTTTTATTATTTTACAGTAAATTATATTTTGAATTAGATTGTTATTTAAATCTTTAGCCTTTAACATGTAAAGTTTCTTATACACACATTAGGCTCTCAAGGTATCATCAAGATGTGGAAATATTAACATCAGTCTAAATCTAGTATTTAATGAAAACGAGATTAAAAACAGGTAAGTTCAAAAAAGTTTTTAATTGAAGGAAGGAAACAATCTACATATTATGAGCTCTCATAGACAACTTTTTAAAAAAATAAAACATTTGCAGAAAAATGGAGCAGAAAGTAGAATGCTCACATAACTCCCTGCTCCCTGCCCCAGCTTCTCACGTTGTTGACATCTTACATGAGTATGTAAGATGTTACAATTAAAGAATCAGTATTGGTACATTGTTACTAACTGAAGTCCATAATAGATGCAGATTTTCTGAGTTCTTACCTAAGGTGCCTTCTGTGGTCCAAGCTCCCACATGACATTTAGTTACGTCTCTCTGGTCTCCTCTTGCCTGCGACTGTTTCTCCTCCTTTGCTTGTCTGTAATGGATATCATTTTTTATAAGCACTCACTATTGACCCGGCCTTGAACCAAACACGTAACAATTCTTTGTCCTTAAAAAGTTTGCATTCTAATAGGAAGCTTACAATCTACTTTTAAAATTTAATTTTAAGGAAGAATTGATGTTTTTAGTGATTAACATTTAATATGACAATTCTGAGATGTTTAGTCTTTGCATAATTAGCAGGAAAAATTGAATAACCGTTTATAGATTAATTGCAGCAACAGAGATATTGGCTCTCTAGTGTGTTGATGGTATGTCTCTTCTTTTTCCGTGAGTATTGTTTTCATATTTGGGAAAATGCTTATTTTCAAAAGAGTTACCCTGTTTACGCTGAGGGTATTGAATTGGAGAAAAGAGTTTCTGTCTGTTGTTGCCTGTAGGGAAAATATCGTTAAAATTATATCTCACATTTAAGTTTTTCTTGTGATTGAACAAAGCAGCTTTTAATACAATTGCTGCCTTAAGCAGTTGTATGAAAAGTTTAAAACATTAAGTATGTGACATATCAGAAAGGAGGGTAGCGTTTGCAAATTTGTGTTGCTGGGTTGTTGCTGATGATAGGTATTTCTGAGAGTCAGAAGTAACGAGGCTTTGTTGAAAGCCTTGGCATTAAGGCTTGATTGGGGGCCAAGACCTGTTAAAATAGGAAAATTCTAGGAGGAAAGGTGTTCTGTGGCCATGGGAATTTGAATCAGTTAAATTATTTTTGGCAAACATCATAGCTATAACTTTATTTTTGCCTTAAAGATTACTGTGTTGCAAGAGTCCTGTTCCACCTGTGTCAGCGGGAGGGAATGCTGGCCTTTCCTGATCAAGGACTATTCCTTAACAGCAGCAGGGGCCAGCAGTGGCGGGGAGTAGGAGTTATTATTGGAAACTGTGATTTACTTTTGAACCGTTTATTGGAGCAACCCTATAACCTTTGAATAATCAGGCTGTGGAAAGACAACGTCAGTATCCGTTTAGTTAAGTAAGTGGACATTAATGAATCCTTCCATACAGAAATTTTGCTGTGAGCTCTATTTTCAACTATCTTGGTTAAGCTCTTTTAGAAATTACATTTTTCCCCCTTCAGTCTCGTTCTCCACTGGATGCATATTTAAAGTGAGTTTCCATAGTGACATCTGGTGGTGGTTTTGAAATCCTGGAGAGTATGTTTGGAATGATAAATATTCTTACTTAATAACTCCAAATTTCCGGCTTCTTTCGGATTTTTCAGGTTATTAACAACTTCACTGTATTCTCGAGGTTGGAAAGCTAGGCTTTCATTCCTTCCGTAATGCTTCATTCAGGTAAAGCCGTGATTTCTGATGGCACTGCTGAGTGGCACACGTAACAAGCGTGTCTCAACCTGTCTCCTGTGCTCCAAATCTGCGTCATAGCATCACGCAGCAGCATCACGACCGCTCTCACTGCGTGTGCACGGCAACCTCCTGACGGGAGTGGCGACAGAGTTTCCCTGTCACCCCTCTCACGGCTCTGTTGCTCCCGGCATCTGGCTGGAGGGAATCCTGCGGAAGGCCTGGGCTGCAGCCCTCCCTCCTCACAGCCTGGGCGCAGGCACCTTCTGGCCGCATGCTGTGTTTGCTTTCAGAAAGGTAGAAGGAGGGGAGCGCAGAGGGGAGGAGATGCCGAAGACAGGAGGGAGACCGCAGAGAAGAGTTTGGGGGTGGATATACATAGGTGCCCAAAAAGGTGAGGTCGTGAATATGTGTAAATAGAAAGATACCTGTAAAAACTATAGTTTTTGTTGGTTCCTTTTGTCTCCAGGGTGAGTTTATAACCCACTATATAAAAAAGTACTTATTGAAAGTTGATAGGTAGACATTCATGGATAAAGAGAAATAGACAGGGATAGAGGTTTGAGAGTGACCACAGTTTGATTCACATCCAGTGATGACTGGATGTCTTTAGTTTTATTTTTGTTTTTCTCTGTGTTAAAGGCACTAATTAGAAGTCTTCCCAATGGAAATGTGAAAATTTGTTTCTCTCTATGGAATTGAGGTAACTGCTAAAGTTACAGAAGAAATCAATCTGTAATCTGTAAATGCCAGTCGTGGCTTTAGGAAGGACTGGTGAAAGCATGATGAAGTGTAGGAACAAGAACTGCTAATGACTTAATGAGTAAAGGCAGCTTCGGTCATACTTGGAGACAGCTGGTGTGTCACTCCCTGCAGAAACCAGGACTCCCTTAAAGAATGGTTTGGATCGTGATGAACCCCTGATTAAGGAAGTCCTTCACTCTGGATTCTGAACTACACCTGTTTAGCTTCTTGGAGTTGGACAAATCATTTCAACGTTCTTTAAGAACAAGGGAGTTGCACTGGAGGGTTTTGAAGGCGTTCCCAGTCTAATGCTTGATTTTGAGATGGCGAAGGCTAGCTCTACCCCTGGTCTTTCTTTGCACATTATCTAGACTCTCACTCAGCCATCCTGGACCTTCGTCTTGCCTCTGATTCAAGATGGGAAGCTTCGGGGTTTTGACCTAGAGATCTCGGGCTAGTGCCATAGGTCCACTTTGGAAGTTTCTGCCCAGGGTTCTTGAGGAGTGTATCATGCAACTGGGCTGACAGATTAAAAAGCGGAAAACAAAATAACTTGGCACGCTTAAGGCTTCCTTCCACCCACTTTGTGCAGTGCCTATAATAGCGCCTAGGTACTGAACCCCAAAACTCTGAGCGGAATCCTCAGATCGTCTCCCGTCTGTTGTCCTGCATGCATGAGGAAGACCCTTCCTTCCACACTGGGAAACTCCTTGTGGCCTTTCCTCATGGTTATAGCCCCACCAGGTCCCCAGCACCTTTGGTGTCCGACAGTGTTGCTGTTGATTGATAGTGGCAACAGCCCACCGCTCAGTGGAGAAGACCCTGAGGCCTGGAGTCAGACTGTCCGGCTCAGCTCCGGATCCCACCAGTTAGCTGTTGACCCTGGCCTTGTTTCCTCATCACTCCAGGGCTTAAGCAAGTTTCTTAATGGATCTAAGCTTCTCTTTCCTCATGTGTAAAGCTGGGATGAAAATCATGCAACTTCCATGTTCTTTCAATGATTTAATGCACATAAAGCATCTAGTGACGTGATTGGTGGACATGAGGGATCTGAGGATTTTGGTTAGAAGATAAGATTCTTCGGTGTGCCCTCCTCTCCCTTTGGCAGTTGAAATTTACTTTATAGTTCTCCGTAAGTTGTATTCAGTGATTTTTTATCTTACAAAGAGGTAATAATTAAAATGCATCGAAGCAGAAGCTTATCTCAGCAATCACGATAGGCATTATAAAAGTACACAGTCATGAATTCATGAAATAGGAACATCCAGCATCTCACTCATTCATACTTACTATTTTAATTGCGAATTACACAATCTCCGATATTTGAATAGAGTCGCTTTGTTGCCTCAGTCTTAACCTTTAGTAATATCCGTAGATTACCGGGGAGGCCGACAATCCCCTCCTGATGGACATGACTGTCCCCCACCCCCTGGTTGTACAGCTGATGGGTCGGTGGGGACCAGCAGATGCCATCTCAGAATTGCACACTGCAGTCTGGACGCTTACGGCCCGAACTAGAAATAAGGCACGACGGAAAAATCATAGCTGTTTCTATCTGTAATTGCAAACCTCAGATGTGAGGGTGATATACTTCCATTTCATAATTCTTTTTTCCCTTGAGATTAGAGAAAGCTATTGTGTATGAGTGAACATTTAATACATTCCTGCTGAATACTGACATGTAGAACAGGTGGATGAAATAGGAAGTTTGACTCATCTTTCCCAAATTACCACATTAAGTTTTGTTTACTCTTTTGTCATAACAGCCGTAGGACTGACAAGGATATTGCTGGCGCTGAAGATGAGATTTGTGGTATTCACACTCCAGCTCTGCCATTCACTGTGGCCCTGGGAAAGTGCCTCATTTCTCTCAATCTGAGTTTTTCGTTAGTGAAATGGAGTTAATAGCATCACATATCTAGGCAGGTTGGATGTAAAGATTATATAAGATAATGCATGTAAGACACTTATCACAGGGCCTGGCATTTAGTAAACACTGAGCAAATTGTTTCTGTAATTATCACTGTTTGTAAATGCCTCTAGTCACATTTAGAGGGGCACATTTTAAAACAGTAGATGGAAGCATGAATTGTTGGAGGATTAGAACTCAAAAGAGGTAGATAAAAGCACCACGTACCTGTCTTCTTGAGATTTTCTAATAATACTTCACCTGTCAAGTGAATTTTATTGCATTTTAATGAAGTAGCAGCACACAGGAGGAGTTGTGTACATTTTGTTAATGTGTAATCCTCCCGGAGAGAACATTCTGTTATCCCCTGACGTCTTTGTATCTGTGGATAGATGTGATGAATCAGAGGAACTGGGAAAGGTTATTATTTGAGCCTACAGACAGATATAATTTTGCTAATTTAGCAGACCAGTTGAGTGTGTGTGCATTATGCTTGGGTTAGAGAACAGGGAAGCATGTTTGAGTTCATCTTCAGTTGTCTGCTGTACGGAGGAACCAGTTAGCTCATTTTTATTTGGTTCTGAGGTTTATTTTATTTTATTTCATTTTTTTTTTTTTACTATCCTTTAAGTTCTAGGGTACATGTGCACAATGTGCAGGTTTGTTACATATGTATACATGTGCCATGTTGGTGTGCTTTACCCATTAACTCATCATTTACATTAGGTATATCTCCTAATGCTATCCCTCCCCCCTCCCCCCACCCCACGACAGGCCCCGGTGTGTGATGTTCCCCACCCTGTGTCCATGTGTTCTCATTGTTCAATTCCCACCTGTGAGTGAGAACATGCAGTATTTGGTTTTTTGTCCTTGCGATAGTTTGCTGAGAACGATGGTTTCCAGCTTCATCCATGTCTCTACAAAGGACATGAACTCATCCTTTTTTATGGCTGCCTAGTATTCCATGGTGTGTAGGTGCCACATTTTCTTAATCCGGTCTATCACTGATGGACATTTGGGTTGGTTCCAAGTCTTTGCTATTGTGAATAGTGCCGCAATAAACCAAAAGCAATGGCAACAAAAGCCAAAATTGACAAATGGGATCTAATTAAACTAAAGAGCTTCTGCACAGCAAAAGAAACTACCATCAGAGTGAAGAGGCAACCTACAGAATGGGAGAAAATTTTTGCCATCTACTCATCTGACCAAGGGCTAATATCCAGAATCTACAAAGAACTCAAACAAATTTACAAGAAAAAAACAACCCCATCAAAAAGTGGCTGAAGGATATGAACAGACACTTCTCAAAAGAAGACATTTATGCAGCCAACAGACACATGAAAAAATGCTCATCATCACTGGCCATCAGAGAAATGCAAATCAAAACCACAATGAGATACCATCTCACACCAGTTAGAATGGTGATCATTAAAAAGTCAGGAAACAACAGGTGCTGGAGAGGATGTGGAGAAATAGGAACACTTTAACACTGTTGGTGGGACTGTAAACTAGTTCAACCATTGTGGAAGACAGTGTGGCGATTCCTCAGGGATCTAGAACTAGAAATACCATTTGGTTCTGAGGTTTCTTCCATGTTTCTAGAAGCAGTATTATACCCCCTTTCTGAAGGTTCAGTATGAAATAATGAAGCAATAACAAATCATTGTAATGCTTCTGAATGGCAATAAAGATTCATTTTATGATAATTTCACATTTTATTTAGCTAAGTTTTCTATTTTCAAGTTGTGAGTCCTTTTGGGAGTATTAGATATAATTATCATTCATTCAAAAAATGAGTTTTTCTGATATTAACCTCGAATAAGTTAATATTTAATTTCGTGTGATCAAAATTACGAATTGCAACAGTGTATTTTTCTCAACCAAATGTTTCATTGCTGAGCATAGGTAAAATTGGTAATTGGTTATTTTTCTCACAGTAGTTTGCGTTTAACGGGAAACTTCAGTGATTCTAGAGCTTCAGCATTTCCAGAGTCCAGCCTGTACCATGGTGTAGAAGAACACTGAAAGTATCTTTAGTCCCGAGTGATCAATCCATGAGAAAAAGTGCAGTGATATGTTTTTGGTAGACAAAGGGCGAGATTGCACCATTGAATAAAAAGGTGGGACTTGCCAAAGAGAAATGGATATTTCTACTTCTTATCCCCAGAGGAGGTAAATCCTGGCTTGAAGTTAAGTTTTGACTGGTTTCAGTGGCTGGACCAAAACATTACAGATACTCTAACCCTCTTCTTTGTAATCATATAATTTCATCTCTTGCTAGTTGACTTACTAAGAAATGTATCCTAGTTTGGGTCCCAGTTGAGGACTTTTCTATACCAACCCTGATTAAGATACTTAGATATTTCACTTGTGTATTTAATACGTTATTGTGCTTTGTGTAAGGTGCTGCGGATACTGGTATTTAAGAATGATGTGGCCTCTGCCCTTTTGGAGTTTATAGTGTAGTTTATATTTTTATAGCATGCTGGTTGTCTTCCCATTTGTTTGAGGCGATTGAAAGAAATAAAAGGACCTCAACACTCAGGAGATCTGAGCAGCCCCTTATTGTGGACTTTGAAGGTTGCAGTTTCTTTCCTTAGCCACTGTGAGAAGGGGTGTGTGTGCAGACCGAGCTTTCTGGAGGATGCTGCTCCTGCCTTTTTCCTTAGACAGTGGCCGCCACAGGGATGCAGTGTGGGGAGCGGGGGTGCTGGACTGTGGGGTCTCAGATCTGGGCCATGGCTCTGGTGTTGTCCCTGTCTTCCTGAGTAGCCTCCAGGAAAGTCAGCACGTCTCTCAACCAACTATAAACTTTACCTATGGAAAAATGAAGTGTTGGGCCATTAGATGATCTCTTAGTGCTCACCTATTTTGAGACTTCAGTGAGATAATATTTTTAAAGTGCTCCATTTAGTGCCTGACACCTGATTCTAATAACAAATACTTTTATAGCCTATATTATGTGCCAAGTGTTCTAATCATTATATGCATGTTAGTTGAATATACTATTATTGTCTCTATTTTAGAAGAAAGGAAGCTGAGTCACAGAAAGGCTGGTTAACCTGCTCAAGGTTATGCACCTAGTAAGAGACATATAAAGCTCTCAGTAAGCCGTAGTTGTTGACACTTTCTGAAGCTGGCAGTTTTGGTCGTTGATGTGCTGCTTTACGCTTTTCTTTTTTCTCTGTAGGTGTCATAGAGACGTCAGATCGACTGGACCGTGAATCGACCTCCCATTATTGGCTAACAGTCTTTGCAACCGATCAGGGTGTCGTGCCTCTTTCATCGTTCATAGAGATCTACATAGAGGTTGAGGATGTCAATGACAATGCACCACAGACATCAGAGCCTGTTTATTACCCAGAAATCATGGAAAATTCTCCTAAAGATGTATCTGTGGTCCAGATCGAGGCATTTGATCCAGATTCGAGCTCTAATGACAAGCTCATGTACAAAATTACAAGTGGAAATCCACAAGGATTCTTTTCAATACATCCTAAAACAGGTATGTGTTAATACTGCTATAGGAAATGTTTATGCTTATGCTTTTCTGTTAGGGGGAAAAGTAAGAATTAGCATTTATCTGTTACATACTTTTGTTTCTTGATAAATTGTTTTCCTTTTGAATTATTCAAAATAAGCCTTTATTTTGGATAAAAATTTAGCATAACCGGGCACAGTGGCTCACGCCTGTAATCCCAGCACTTTGGGAGGCCGAGGCAGGCAGATCACGAGGTCAGGAGATCGAGACCATCCTGGCTAACATGGTGAAACCCCATCTCTAGTAAAAGTACAAAAAATTAGCTGGGCGTGGTGGCGGGCGCCTGTAGTCCCAGCTACTCCAGAGGCTGAGGCAGGAGAATGGCGTGAACCCGGGGGGCGGAGCTTGCAGTGAGCCGAGATGGTGCCACTGCACTCCAGCCTGGGCGACAGAGTGAGACTCCATCTCAAAAAAAAAAAAATTAGCTTAAATGTGCTTTTTAAACTTTGAGTTTGCTTTTATAAAGCTATTTTACGATTATGCTCATTAGTAGGGTTTCACTTTCAGGTTAAAAAGCAAACATTGTTATTTCAGTAATAGCTCCTAAATTAGTGATATATCTTAAACTTACAGCAAATTCTACTGCTGCTAAGAATTTGAATTGTCCTAAGTCGGCTTTTTGTAAAGAGTATTAAAAGAGTTTATTTCACAGTTGGCTAGTTTTTTAATGTTTTAAGTGTTTCCTATAGAGCAGTGCTGTATCTGCAGGTGGTAAGGGATTGGGATTGAACAGTTTTCAGATTGGAAGTGGTTACTTTCCTGAAGTGACACCCCAGGCCTTTTGCTTCTAATATTTTTTTCCATCGATGTCTGTGACTGACTTCCCTGCTTCCAAGAAGATAGCTCCATGACCTCAAAATCCTCCTCCGAAATTTTTATAAACTTCTAATCTTTGTTCCTTTACTGCACAAGTGGTGACTGCGTTCACCCTCCTTGTGAAATAAAGCAAAAGTGAGCTAAGAACTAAGTACTGAAAAATTAAAGGCATTGTCAAACATAAGAGAAAAGTCAGAGGTATATAAGAATTGTGAGGATGAATTTGGAGTCCAGAATGTATGTATGCCTCTCTAGTGGCGGTCCCAGACCTCCAGAGAGAGAAATCTAGAAGTAAAAGCCTTGATTGACACAATGTGAGTGTGAACAAAAACCCTCAAAGAGATGTTTTCCTACCCTCTTCCCAAACCTCAACAATCATCATCACAGAAGACTTCTGGGACCAAGTGTGTGTTTGGGGGGCTGGCCGGGGGGCGGGGGGGAGGATTTCCTACACACCAAGCAGCGGACACCTTGGGAGTCCTCTCATTCAATTCTGACATTTTTTTACCTGGAGACAGCCTCAGATTCTGCAGGTTAAGGGCTCAGTTCCCAAGAGTGTTCACTTCTTCCCACCAGTTGCAAGCCGAGGCCTCTGAAACTCCTGACGGACCAGCTCCAAGCGAGGGTTCCCATAACCTCTCTTCAAGCCCAGGCCTCCGAAACTCCTGACCCACCAGCTCCAAGTGACGGTTCCCATGACCTCTCTTTGGGTTCTGTTACTTTATTGGAGCGGCTCACAGAACCCAGGGAAACACTTAACATTTACCTGTTTATTACAGAGGATATTTTAAAGGATGCAAATAAACAGCCAGATGAAGAGATACACAGGGGCAAAGTCTGCAAGGGTCCCACGCACAGGCATTTCTGTCCCGGTAGAGTCAGGGTGTACCACCCTCCCGGCACCTGGATGAGTTCTTGTTCACCTTCCCGTAGCCTCCACGTGTTCAGCGGTGAGAAACTCTGAACTCTGCTTTCTTGGGCCTTTTATGGAGACTTCATTGCCTAGGCATGATTGACGCACGGACAGCCATGTCAACATGTGGTTGACAAAGGCCTGTCTCTTGAGATTGTTCTTGGCCTCTGTCTGCAGCGTTTCCGCCTCCAGGATATGGAGCGGGACCCTCTCTGGAATGAGGGGCTTATGACACACAGTCAGATTGGAGTCCTGCCTTGGCAGGTGAAAGGAGAGTGGCAGGTGGCCCGGAGAGAGATTCTGTTTCCTGAGGCAAAAAGTGCCACAACATTATAACCAAAGACTAACAGGGGTTCTGGGAGTTAACGAGCCAGGAACCATGGACAGAAACAAATATGTACCCCTCCCCACAACACACGTATATGTCATATCTCAGGTGGCAATTCAAGACCAGAACTACCCCTATAGTAATTTGTTTGATGAATTAGACTAAGCAGTGTTTTCAATTTTCTTGTGTCTTCTGTCTCTCTTTTAGATTAGAGTAAGTCCTCTGTGAAGAGATAGATGAGCAAGCAAGAAATATCCTTTGGGATATCTGAGCACATGGCATAGGTCTGGGCATAATATATGTTTGAGGAGTAGGAGGAGAAAGAAACTGAGGAGATTATATAGCTTAGCATTGCTGTGGGGAGCCTTGAAAACCCTTGGTTCTTCCTGGGACCCCAGAAATGATGATGTGTCTGCTATGGTGTTATGTCTTGTTGTAGAAACATGATTAATATGGCATTGCCTCTCCCTTTTAAATCTCTCTATTCTGACAACTCTAAAGAAAAGGTGTTTGCAGAGATGTCTGTGCTGTTGTCTTCAGAAGGAATAAACCCTCTCCAGGTGTCCACAGCCACACCCCAGCCCCGGCGGGAGCACAGGCACTCCGCTGGCAGGGCGGCAGGAGGAAATTCAGTGCAATGCACACAGAGGCTTTCTTTCCTTATGAGTTGAAGTCAGGTAATAGTGGAGGATACCATAGTTAGTACACAGCAGTATTTGTTGTGAAGTATGTTAAAAACTCTGTGGTTAGTAAAGAAGTCTCAACATTCCACAGATCACCTAAAGTCTCTGAAGATGAAGAACAGTATTTTAGCATGGAATTATTAAATAATATAGTAAATATAGCTTCATTAGATCTGTTTCTAGATGCTTCTCTTCCCCCACCTCAGCAGAAAGTTGGGGTGTGATCCTCAGGGCCTGAAGTACACATGCCTCGTCTTCTTACAACCTTTAAAGCAGACTGTTCCCAGGTAGGTCAGTATCATGGCGGCCTGATTGTGAAGGCTGATGAAAGTCCGTCCGGTAGGAAATAGTGCTTGGGAGTCACTGACCCATCTCGCCACCTGGAGACCCTAAATCGTGTTACTTAATGATTAACGGCTGAGCAAGGAAATCACTGGGCTGGAAATCCAGAGATCCGGACCATAGTGAGGCCTTCCCTCTGGGATCTTGGGGCGAACTGACTTCCAGGTCCTTCGATTTTGTGATTCATGGTGTTTCTGTCCCCTGTTGAGGCTCGTGTGTGTAGAGTGCAGGAGCGCCCAGCGTCGTTCAGGGGACAGGTGCCACAGCCGGCTTGTGTGTGTAGAGTGCAGGAGCACCCAGGGTCGTTCAGGGGACAGGTGCCACAGCCGGCTTGTGTGTGTAGAGTGCAGGAGCACCCAGGGTCGTTCAGGGGACAGGTGCCACAGCCGGATTGTGTGTGTAAAGTGCAGGAGCACCCAGGGTTGTTCAGGGGACAGGTGCCACAGCCGGCTTGTGTGTGTAGAGTGCAGGAGCGCCCAGCGTCGTTCAGGGGACAGGTGCCACAGCCGGCTTGTGTGTGTAGAGTGCAGGAGCGCCCAGGGTTGTTCAGGGGACAAGTGCCACAGCGGGCTTGTGTGTGTAGAGTGCAGGAGCGCCCAGCGTCGTTCAGGGGACAGGTGCCACAGCCGCTTCCTCTTGCGGGTGTTACGGTTGCTCTGTTAATGAATGTCAGACAATCAAGAATCTAGTAGACTGATAAACTTGTGCCTTTGGATAAACACATTTGCTAGAATAAAGTGGGCCCACTTGTTTCTTAGAAACATGAATTTGGGACCCTGGTGATTATCCTAAACGTCCAGCAGCTAGAGAATACCTACAGTTATCATCATTTAAAGCATTTGTTTATGCATCAAGTACAGTCATGGGAGGCTGAATGCCAGGGATGCATTTTGAGAAACGTGTCATCAGGCGATTTTGTCGTTGTGTGGACAACGTAGAGTGTACTTACCCAAACCTAGATGGTCTAGCCTACTACACACCCAGGCTGTATGGGATGGTCTATTCTAGTCTATAGACCTGTATGCCGTGATCCTGTACCGAACACTGCAGGCAGTTGTAACACATTTGTGTATCCAAACATAGCTAAATGTAGAAAAGGTGCAGTAAAAATGTGGTATTAATCTTTCACAACCACGGTCGTATGTGCGGTTCGATCGTATATGCAGCCCGTGGTTAACTGACACGTCGTTATGCAGTGCGTGGCCGTGTTTATTTACCGAACTATGAAATTTTTTTACCAAATCTTTGAAAGTTCGTCATCTACAAAAGTGAAATAACCAAGAAGAACAGATGTGTGCAGCAGTGTGGCACAGGCTCTCACGGGTCCGGTGGAGGCGTGGCAGGGGCCCTCACGGGTCCGGTGGAAGTGGGAAACTGGCAGTGGTTATGTTGGGAAGATGAGCCCCTTGGAACGGGTACTGGGCTGATTGTGAAGATGGTAACAATAGATTGATGGAGAGGAGGTAGGAGATGTTTTCATGTCGGCGACAATTTGAAGGAATGGTGAGTTGGAGACCAAGAAATAAGTGTATGGGAGACGGCTACCCTCAGTGGAAAACCTCGAATGCCAGAATAAGGGTTAAAGAGAATATTTGTTATTTTTATTAATAAAAGTGACCTCTTTTTGAGTCAGTATAAACTGCCTTGCAACATTTTGGATAAACTTAAATAAAAGTCTTTTTGGAAAAGAGGGAGACATCTCCTCAATATCTTTTTCTCCTTCCCCTTTTGTCATAGTGTAACAAAATATTTTAAAAGTCACAACAAGAAAGCTTTCTAGGAGTGGGTTTAGTGAGTGAGCTTATGAATTTTGTGTTCTAAACCACAAGTTTGAGTGAACTTTTTTGAATGTTTTTTCTCTTCAAGGTTTTTGTGCTTAATTATGGTGCCAAGAACTGTCTGTCTGCATTTCAGACATTCTTATTATATTGTTTGCAAGTAGGGGGGCAGTGGGTTTTCATTTTTAGGAGATACAAGTGAAAGACCGCATCCATTCTCTTTTTGTGATATATGCACTTTTGTTGACATTGCTAATTTTTATAACATTTTTTGTTTGACTGTGTCCATCATCAGTTACAGGGTAAATGTGCTTCTTTTAACTTAAGTTGAGCACTTGCTCAAGGTGGAAGAGAGACAGGAGCATAGAACTCAGATTGGAGCCTTGGCAGCTGCAGCGCCTGCAAACAAAAGCATCACAGCTTTGTGGTGTGTCAAGGACAGAGAAGAAAGGGAGTCCCAAACAAAAGAGACTAGTGTGAGCTTCTCATGACTCATTATTCACGAACAACCTCGGGAAATCGACACCACCCTTGCAAAGAGTCTTTTTAGTTAAAGTTATTGCTTTGAACTTGGGGGAGTTGATATGCAACTTACAATTGGCATTTATTAATAATTTTGAAGTGTTACTTTTAGACATGTGTGTCCTTTAGAAGAGACCATGGTCTTGCTCTCTTATCTGTATGTTTGATATTTTTCACGTTTTTGCTACAAACCAAGTATTGATCTTTATTTTTAAAAAGCTTTTTTGAGGTGTAATTCACTTACAGCAAATTGCACATATTTAAAGTCTACAATTTGATAAGCTTTCACATAGCTTTTACACCTGAGAAAACATCACCACTATCAGGCAGTGACCACACCCATCATTCCCAAAGGTCTCCTCACACTTCTCTGTATTCCCCCTCCCAACCCTCCCACCTCCATCTCTAGTCAAATGCTGGTGTGCTTTCTAGCACTAAATAATAGTTTGCATTTCCTGGAATTTTATCTTGGTGAACTCACATGGCATATACTCTTTTTGGTAAGGCTTCTTATACTTCGCATGTTTATTTTGAGACTCATGCATGTTTTGGCGTGTATCAAGACTACGTTTCTTTTCATTGCTGTGTATCCTTTATATAGATAGATTAATATTATAATTTGTTTATCCACTCACCTAGTAATAGGCATTTGTATTGCTGCCAGTTTTTGGCAGTTTGTAAATCCGCTGTGAACATTGAGTACAAGCCTTTCTGTGGACACATACTTCCATTTCTCTTGGACATCACATAGGGGTGCATAGCTGTCTGGAAACTGTCTCAAGGCAGAAAGCTGCTGCGATCGTGGGTGTCCCCTCATCTGTTTCTCTCAGGGATCCTTGTCTTTCTTTGCCTGATGTCTAGTGTCCTTTCAACTGCCAGTGCATTCATTTTGTCTGCTTCTTGGTGGTTTTATGTTAAAGCATAAATCTGATCCCTTACTAGAAGTGGAAGGTCAGCTATTGCTTTTAAATCAGAAAAAGATGCCTTTTTAAGTTTAGAAGTGCCATCAATATGTATGTACTGTAAACACCTCCTTTAATAAACAGTGAATCTTCTTAACCAGGGTTTCTGTGTCTTGGAGTAAAAACTGAATTTCTAGGTTTATTTTAAATCGAAACTTAGCAATATCCTGGTTATGTTTCTGGAGTTTGTGGAAATACAGATATGTATGCACTTTTTGTCCCTCCCAAATTGTGCTGTTGTGTTGTACCCAGTAGCCGGAATGGCACTTCTCAGTCCTCCTTCCCCAGGTACCATTCATCATCAGTTTACCCTGCTCAGCAAGGCCGGAAGGCAGATGTGTGTTTGTGACGTGTGTTTGTGATGTATGTGTATGTGTGGGTAGCACACCTCATAAATTCTATCACTTGTTTTAAATGGGTAATGCAATCACATGGCACAACGTGCAAATAGTACAGGAAGATACCCAGTCAGGTTTTACTTTCACCCAGTTCTCCAGACACTCCGTTCCCTTCCTTAGTATATTAACTCTCTTTTCTTATTTTCTGTATCCTGAATGCTGTGGCATCTGGGCCCTCATTGAGTGGGGAAGGACTGCCCCTTCCAGGACTCGGGATAGCAGATGACTGGTGCAGGACCGTGCTTTTCATATGCAAGCTGACCAGTCCAGAGTCCCACTCCACACCACCATCTGTGTCACGCCCAAGTCATATCAGAGCCAGTGCTAGACAACTGGGGACAGCTATGCCCCAGAGCCTTTGAAATTACTTAAACCAGCCAGTCCTGAGCGTCTCACCTTGCCTTTCTGTGAGATCCTCAGTCAAGCTTTCCCGGTTCCTTCCACCTCCAGACCAACCCTGGCATGGTCCCGTATGGCCCAGCACGGCCTTCGGCCTTTGCCACCTTCAGTGGCGGTGGTATGGCCTCCTCTTGGGGAAGTACCAAACTGCCTTTGCAGGTACTTTCAGGTACTGGCGGTCGTACCTGATCTGTTGCCTCACCATACCTGAATAATAAAATCTACTTAGAGGCAACTAGTGTTTGCATTTTCTTTCACTTGTATATAAGCAAGAAAGAATATGTTGGTTTTTTCCTCATCTTTTTATACAGATAGCATACTGTATACATGGATATGCATCTTGGGTTTTTCCATAACAGTATTGGATGCTGTGCTTTTAAGAGCACCTTGGCTGGGTGTGGTGGCTCGTGCCTGTAATCCCAGCACTTCGGGAGGCTGAGGCTTGTGGATCACTTGAGGTCAGGAGTTCGAGACCAGCTTGGCCAACATGGCAAAACCCCATGTCTGCTAAAAACAAAAATTAGCTGGGTGTGGTGGTGCACACCTGTAATCCCAGCTACTTGGGAGGCTGAGGCATGAGAATAGCTTGAACCCAGGAGGCAGAGGTTGCAGCGAGCCGAGATCACTCCACTGCACTCCAACCTAGGCAACAGTGAGATTGCATCTCAAAAAAAAAAAAAATCACCTTATTGTGGTTACTGATGAACTTGCCACATTATTATAGGAATATATGTGCATATCCATGTACCTTTCACTGTCCATTTCACTGGTCTACTGATTTTATCTAACCAATGTTTACTTTTTACCTCTTCTCATTCATCTTCCTCTTTGAGAACAAATACAGTAAGAAAGAAATTTATTTATGACTAAAAATAAATTTATCAGAAAAGTTTAGTAGTTAATGGTACAGGGCATCCTCTTTGACTATATATGTATGTTTGTGATTTCTGTGTGTCTATATTTGCATCTTAAAAGGTTTTAGGCTCTTTGACAGCTGCTACCTGTATTTCTGTCTTCCTGAGATTTTAAATACATAATGCAATCACATAGTACACAATTCAATATGTATATACCATAAAAACCTCATTTGATAAATAGTGAATCTTCTTAATGGAGGTTTTGTGTTTTGAGTTTGTTTCAGCTTAATGTTTCTTAGGTTTTCCTTCCTCCATCCTGTAGAGTGAAGTTTTTTTTGTTTTTTTTTTTGTTTTTCGAGACAGTGTATCACTCTGTCGTCCAGGCTGGAGTGCAGAGATGCCATCTTGGCTCACTGCAGCCTCAAACTCCTCTGCCCAAGTTCTTCCTTCCTCGGTCTCCTGAATAGCTGGGATCACAGACCTGCACCACCACGACCAGCTAGTTTTTATATTTTTTGTAGAGGCAGGGGTCTCACCGTGTTGCTCAGGCTGGTCTCCAACTTCTGATCTCAAACAATCCTCCCATCTTGGCCTCCCAAAGTGGGATTTTTATAGGCATGAGCCACTGCGCCCAACCTGTAGAGTAAAAATTTCATGTATTTTGGAGAGTGATCCTTACTCAAAATCCCATCTCATTATTGTGGAGCACATTGCACTGTTAGAATCTTGCTGGTCCTGCTGGTCCATCAGCTGTCTCATGCCTGTTCCCTTGGAGAGCTGAGCTTGAAGGAGATAGCCCAAGGGAAACCAGCAAAGCCTAATTTTCCTTGTTTTGCCCCTTTCTGTCTCATTCTCTGAAGTCTTTTTTTATACCACTCTTCCACCCGTCTACTGTGTCTTGCCATCACTTTTGGATAGGGCTGGAACAGAACTTTCGTTA
This sequence comes from Homo sapiens, assembly GCF_000001405.40. Classification (NCBI taxonomy): domain Eukaryota; kingdom Metazoa; phylum Chordata; class Mammalia; order Primates; family Hominidae; genus Homo; species Homo sapiens. Next base: position 186,654,324 of record NC_000004.12, on the reverse strand, counting down.
GGAGTCAGAGGAACATTGACAAGTGTGTCTCATCTATTACGAGCAGCTTCCACAGACTTCATCTTTACAAGAGCCCTGTGAGATGGTGACTACAGATACCAATAGCCTGCTGTGCTCCTTATTTACATTTTCTTCATTTTACAAATAATCTAAGACTTCACAGAGGTCAGAGCTACCAGAGGTCAGGCAATGTGAATTTCCTGGCTGCCGCTTCTCAGTGCATGGTGCCACTCCCAGTCCCTGTGCCTTTGCATTTGGGTGTAAATGTGGTTGTGGAGCCAGTTTTTCTGTCTCTTATCTACTCTTTGCATTGAGGGACTCTGTTTCATATAATAGTTGCTTTTCAGGCTAATCTTATTCCTATGGTGCCATCAGACCAAAAATGGGAAACTTTTAAGTAACACTAGATTTTTAAACTTAGTTTTATGAAGCATGTACCGCAGGGGTCATCAAACTGTTTCTATAAAGGGCCACACGGGGCTTTTGGGTTTGTGGGCCATACAGTCTCTGTCACACCACTCAGCCGTGTCACTGTAGCCCAGAAGCTGCTGTAGATGATACGGAAATGAGTGAGCACCGCTGTGTTCCAGTAAAACTTTGTAAATAAACGAAATAAATTCAATAAAATTTGAATTTTCTGCCCTTTTCATGTATCACAAAAGTTTTTTTCAACCATTTAAAAATGCAAAAGCCATTCTTCACTAGCCAGCCACACAAAAACAAGCTACTGTGCTTTCCTGACTCCTGATGAGTGGACGTATTTACTGGTGGGACTAGTTAAACAATTTCGTTGATTGCTGATTTTTAAAATTATTTTGAAGGGATAGACTTTTATATTTCTGAAGTAAAAATTGAATCCCTCCCGTTGCTCTAAGCAAGAGTGCTTAGAAAGGATGTTTGTATTTCACTTCTCTTGGTTGTTAATAACAAAATTATTCTTTAAATAGAGCAATTAGAGTATCAGTATCAAGGTTGAGATCTCAGATACGATTTTGCAAGTTGGTTAGTAGACTGTTAGATCTCTTCTACATTGGGAAGTAATTGTTTCTCATTAGAAGATAAATTTTCCTAGATTTTGAGGTTTTCCTACTTTTTCTGTGTTGATGTGTCCTGTTAAGTTTTCAGAGCTCCCAATTTCAGCTCAAACAGTTGGCTCTAAGTATACTTAGCAGGTCTTTATCATCTCCCCCATTTTGTTTATTCTCTTATTCTGTGTCGACATGTTATACTCAAATTACTCAGTTTCCATTTCATATGCTTTTTAGAGGACGGCGTTATACAGTGTTCTGTTTTTTATTCGCTTCTTTACATGTAAAATCCTGTATTTAGTATAGAATTATTTTATGTTTACTATAGGAAATGTGATTTGTGATTGCAGACTGGGCAGCGATGTATAGTTTATGTGTGGTAATCCCTAAAGCACGCAGTAAAGTTACAAAATGGTAGAATAGCTGGTAGGTATACTGGGTGCTCATCATGTGTTAGTCCAGTAACACTTTACAACTATTTTTTTCTGAACCAGAGTAAATGGCATTTTATTGTGGCTGGAACGAATACTGAACAAACTGCAATAGGAAATAGCTAAAGCTGCAAACAACTTCCAGGGGTTTCCGGTAACATTTGATAGCTGCAAAGGAAGGAAAGGACGGGCCAGTCGCATTTCAATGGCAGGAATTCATTTAAAAAAAAATTACCTATTTGCAGTCTTTTTACCAAGATACGCAGATATTTTAAGGAGGAATCTGTAGATTTTTTTCCTATCTCTTTCTCATGCTCATTATTATTTTATAAAATAAGTGAAGTATATCATCCCTAAAGTTTGCAAGAAGTCAAATGTTATTCAGTACATTTCTGCCGATGTTGATGATGACAAACTTTTTCCTCCGCAAATTGGTTAACTTGAATCTTTGTGATAAATTCTGTCAGCATTTGGTTTTTCTATAGCTGCTGAATATTATTTGCTAAAATTATAGTTAAGATTTTGCATTTGGGTGCCTGAGATTAGTCTTTTTATGTCAACATGATGTTAACCTTATAAAATGGGTTGTGTACCCTATCCTCTTCTTCTGACCCTGCTATATCTGACATTTATAGGATCACTGAAGGCAATTCCCTGTAAATTGAGTTTTGCTGTCGATCTTATGTTTTAATGCCATCAATTTTCAACAAGAAACAGCTAGTAAGGTAGAATTGAAAGCAGAAGAGACGTCTGAAGACTAGGGTATGGGGTCCCTGTATGACTCCCCATGTGACTTTAGACTAGTCGTTTGATCCATTTTATTAGTGTTTTCTTTGGAACTCTGAAAGTTTGAACTAAATGAGTTCTGAGCTGCTTTCCAGCCTCGCCAGTCTATGAATAGAATTCCATTTTTGGCTCCACGCCTAATCCTGCCGGCACCAGTACTTCAGGGACAAACAATAGCTGCTGAGACGGCCACAGCTGCCGAAAGAGCGCGCAGCCGGCTGTAGTGACGTGTGGTCTTAGGACACCACCTGAGTAAAGACGGTGCGGTGCTGCGGAGATCTCCGAGCTCACAGTCCAGAGCTCTGAGGGGCTGGGTGCTGAGTGATAAAGTGAAGGAGAAGCTGCGTGTTTGCTCGTGGCCAGCAAGGCAATCTGTGTTTTGCAGAAGCGGAGGACGTGACGCCTCCCTGCCGGTGGACTAGTCGGCTTGTCGGCTCTGCATGTTCAGTGTTGGCTCTGGTGTGTGTTTCGGGGGGATCCAGTGTTGGCTCAGGTCCTTATGGGCCAGGACCACCTTCATTCATTATTGTATCCACCACAGAACCAGGCGTGATACTCATGAAAGATTTTTAAAAGCAGCCACATTTGAAGGATTTTCCCTTTCACCCATTGGAAGAGGAGGCATAGCAGTTCACACAGACAAATGCTGCCCTTGATGTAGTTTCTGTCACTCCCGCTCACTTGCGCCTTCTGTCCACCCATTGTACAGCTCTCAGGACTGTGCCATGATCTCTAAGTCACATACACAGCTTTGTTCTGGGGCCGTTTCATTTTATTTAAGCTGGTTGGGTACAGATCCGTAGACTAGAATGTTCCATGGATGACATGTTTACAAAGGGACAGTCAGGTGCTATCTGGAGTTCCACAGTTACAGTCTGTTATTTCTGTAGCTCATGGTGCTTTATTAATTTATTATTAATAAATTTATTATTAATAAATAAATTTAGTAATTATTTGTTAATTATTAATTTATGAATAATAATGAAGCATCAAATAATTTATCAATTATTAATAATAAATAAATTATTTAATAATAGTAAATAAATTATTTAATTATTTAATACTTCATTGTAAAAATCAAAATAATGACCAATTGTGTTGCCCTCTCTTTTCCGTGCAGTTGGTTGACCCTGGACCAGTGGTGTTGCCCTCTCTGTTTTCCATGCATCTGGTTGGTCCCTGTAGTTCTTTGGTAGCTTACCTAACTCAGAGCAAGCTCTCTTTCAACACTGAACCATGGACATTTAAAACAATTTTTAGGAGCCCAAGATTTGTAACACATGTCCTGTAAAGTTCTAAAGCACTTTTACTTAAATCTCTGACCTCTCATATCTTCCCTATTTATGTAATTTATGTTCATTTTTCCTGGTATTAGGCCTTTTTACTGTTCTTTCTTAGCTGCTGTATAAGAGAAGCAAGAGGTACGGTTAAAATCGAAAGGACAGTTTGGGTAAACACAGGGTGAGCACAGGTAAGTTTTTCTGACTAATGATAACATTAGGCAAATTAGTTTTGTAAAAAAAATTTTGATTAACTTATTGTACCCTGAGGCCCATGTTGCTGGTGAAGTGAACTCTTGAGGACAGAGAGGCTATTTTGCTTTACTCAGAATCAAAGAGTCTGTTCTGTCTTGGTCCTTAGTTGAAACAGCTTTAGAGTTGGAACTTTTGTGTGTTACAGGCATGAAGCTAGAATGTATAATTATTAATAGAGTTACTAAGTCAATATTTAGGGAGTTTTTTTTCTGTTATGGAGAGGAAAGAATATGAGAAATAATATACTCAGAACTGATGTATAATTTGTGTCATATTTTGTATATTCATAACTGAAAACAAAAGACTTAGCTGAGTTGTGGTTCTCAGCCAGAGATGTTAAGGAAGTCCCATTCCAGAGCCGAGGCATCCTGCTCTCTCCTCCTCCTGAGGGAAAGCATGACTCCACTTGGGAATTTTGTTTCATCCCAGATCACCTTTGGAGCTGAGTTACTTGTTTAATCCTCTGCTTTTTGTCTCGTGTGTAGAGTGATAAGCCTACCAAGCCATAAAACATTTCAAGTGAAGACACTAACAAAATACAGAAGGTAATAAAAGTGGTTATCTCTGAATAATGGAATTGTTCACCAGTGTTACCCAATTCTTTTAGAAAATATTTTTTCAGTACTTTCATTTGCTATCCAAATAAAAAGGTGTATTAGTATGTATATCCAGACTCATCAGATTGTATATGTTAAACATATGTAGTTTTTGGTATATCAGTTATACCTCAATAAAGCCATTAATTTTTTTAAAAAAGGTTTATTTCCCTAAGGCTACTTTCCATAAATTTAAACGACAGAGGTGGATTCTGTCGCGGTTCTGGAGGCCAGGAGTTTGAATTCCAGGTGCCGTGAGGGCCTGGCTCCCTCTGAAAGCGCTAAGGAAGGACCTATCCTCGCTCCTCCCAGTCTCCAGGAACCTGCTGGCTTGTGACGGAACCACTCCAGTCTCTGCATCTGTCATCAGACACCTTTCTTCCCTGGGTCTCTGACTCAAATCTCCTCTACCTTTCTCTTAAAAAGACTCTTGCTATTGAATTTAGGGTCCACCATAAATCCAAGGTGGTCTCATCTTGAGGTTCTTAATTACATCTTCAGGGATGCTTATCCACATCAGTTCACACTCACAGCTTCCAGGGTTGTATGTATCTTTTGGGCAGGAGCCACCATTCAATCCACCACAAAGGTATTTCCAAGAAGACGGAAAATATGCTGTTCAATGGAAATGTATATAGCCATTTAGATTCCTCTTAATTTTTTTAATGTTGTAAAGACTACATTTCATTTAACTTTTGTTCTAACAGGCTTTAATGATTTGGTCGGTAGTTGCAGACTTGTCAGGAAGATTCTGGGTGATGTTTTAGGACTTAATAAGCAGTTGAAGAACAGATGGAATCTTCAGGTGGGCTCTCCCGGCCACTTCTTTGTTGCATTTTTTGCAATGTTAATTATGCTTCTTATGGTACTTAAGAACCATACTTGAGAAATACTGTGTATTTCTTATATGTCCATAGTCCTATTGTGTTTCTCTGTATCTCAAATAGTATTTTAAAGAAATAGATAATATGCTTTGTTCCAGAATATGTCCAGTAGTAATTATTATAATGACTGAAAACAAAACTGTTAAAAAAAGAGTGAATTTTTTTCAACTTCTGTCAGCACCTGTACTGAGGAGGTCAGCATGGGATGGAATCACCGGGAAACCTTCATGAGATGGTACAGGCTGGGTCCTCATGAGTGGAGAGTGTGATTTGGTGGCTCTGGCATGGAGCGGGAAGAAGGGGGGTTGGCATTCACACCCCATGATCCCGATGCACACCTCTGCAGGAAAAGGCTCGAGCAGTAGAGCCTTCTGAACACTTTCCTTGGTAGGAAAGTTTCTCCTGCTGACTCAGACCTTCAGGAAATTATTCCACATGCCTAGACCTCATTTCCTCATGTTTTAAGGTACAGGATTTGGGCTAGAGCATCGTGAAAGACCCTCTGGCTTTAGCAAACTTTATTTTTACAGTAAGAGGATACTTAGCACCCGTGATCCATTTCATTAAAAATTTGCTGCAACTCAAAAACATTAGAAAAAGTCATATAGGATATGCCACTTCAATATTTCTAAGGAGTTTGAGTTTTTTATATGTGTGGCCATATATTAGTGTATATAAGGCTTAAAAAATAATTGATTTGAGATTTTCCAGCCTAAGTTTAGTTTTCAGCCATCAAATATGTCTATATTTTCACTCTGAGCTTTAAAATGTTTTAATATTTAAATTTATTTGAGTAATATGCCCATTAAAGATTAAAGATGGCCACAATAAAGTAGTGTATAAAATGAAGTTCTCCTGTCTCCTCTCTTCCCTCCTCTCTCCTCTCTTCCCTCCAGCTACCTGTTCCATTTCCCAGGAGTAGCCAGAAGTAATATGTCAGGGTTGAACGTGTCACAGCTTCTGTGCACAGGAGTTTGTGCACACATTACATCCGTACACACATATGCATGTCTCATCAGCCCCTTGCCTTGCTGGTTTTTGTAGTGCTCCTTGTCTAAAAGTTACCCAAACAGTGTAAGTTTCACAGTCCGCCCATGAGTGTATTACAGGTGTTTTATTGTAATTGTCCTTAATGTTGCTGATTCTTAAGCACACTGAATGTCCCTGGGAGCAGTCCCTGCCACAGTCAGGATTGAAGGGTAGAAATCTAACTTCCGGATCCTGGTAGTAACAACTCCTGAAGAAATTACACTGAAGACCCTAAAACTTAAACTAGACACTTCCTTTACCACCAAAAATACTATGATTACAGTTCTTAAACTTAGTATCAAGTAGAATATATGAAAGTGTTTCAGAGACATCATCGGGTGAAAATGGTATGTATCTGAAGTGCGTGCCTGCAGTCAAGGGTTTGTCAGAATAATGCTATGATTAATACAACATCGTGAGAAAGGGATGGAGCCCAGAGGACTCCTTCCTGCAAAAGGAGCTGGGCTTGGTGGAGAGAACATTCTAATCCTAGAAGAAAGTGAGATCACTGAATAATTTTGTTGTATAATCATTATACATATTAAATATGATTGATACATTTAGAGTTGTCTATGTGAATTAAGAGCTTGGACTCTGGAATCAGACAGACTTGGGGTCAAATCTCAGCTTTGCATTTAGCTGGCAATGATTTTACTTCTCTAAACCTCAGATATCTTAAAAATAAAGGTAGTGTGTATTGGTAGCTCCCTTCTAGGGTTGCTGTGAGTATCCAGTGAGAGTGACGCATATAAAATGCCTACCCCAGAGCTGGGTCTTGGGAAACACATAATTAGTGGTGGCTAAAAAGCGAACTGTGAGAGGACAGTTTAATATTCACCTCTGCCTTTTACATGTGGTAGTTGTTTCCTTAAATAAATTGTATGCCTTTGAGGACAAGAGCCTTGTCTTAGGCTTTCGTATATGTCTCTCATGGTGACATTTGGGAACAGCATTCTGAGCAGTTGAATGACAGTGCACAGTGAACAAGTGGGTGACTGAGATCGTAAACATTATGACATTACTACTGTTTATGAACATAGATTTAATTTAGTCACTTTTAGTGCTTAGGAAAAAGAAGCAAAAACAAAACAAATTAGTAGAGTCATGATTCTCCAAGTCACAGCTAAGCACAGAGCCTCTTGATTGGTACGTGTTCAGGTGAAGTAGTACACCAGCAATTCTAAAGCAGGCCTCTTCGTCGCCCGCTGAGCCAAGTGGAGACTCATAGCAGAGAACGGGGAGCAGGAGCATGGCAGGGCAGTATCAGCACAGTCAAAATCTAGGAAAGTTTTACTTTTTTTTTTTTTTTCTATGTAGGTTTAAGACAGATGTCTACAAAAATTTGGATTTAGATAAATATTTTTTGCTTCAAATTTTAACCACAGAAAAGGATTTTGAATATTGCAGATGTTAAAGTTTTTAGTTTTGACAGGCAGCATTTGAAATTGGAGATGCTATAAAGGATCAGACATAATTGGTGACTATTTAAATTTAAATTATTTAAATTTAAAATTCAGTTCTATGGTGACATTAGCTCTGTTTCAAGTGCATAGTGGCCACATGTGGCCAGGTGCTACCATATTGGACAGTGCAAATTATAGAACACACAAATCATCACAGAAATTTCTGTTGGACAGTGCTTTTCTAGAACGTGTATGGCTGTGGTTCATGAATTATTGTAAAATAAAAGGGCGGAAAGGCCAAAATCATTGCAGGGGGTAGAGGAAAATAATCAGAGTAAAAGGAAGGTATCGGGTGACCAGATTTTTACCTTTTTTCCTTGATCTTTTTCCCTTCCTGTGCTTATTCTCTAGTAGAGTAATTGAAAAGTGTTCCAAGTAAATTTCCTGCCGGGTGAGGTGAACATAGGGCTGCAGAGATTCCTTCCTTTAGAGCCAGGACCCTGTCTTTCAGTGTGGGGTCATCGATGACTCGTACTACAGATTGCAAGTGCTTGCTCTCTTGTTGCAGTTGGACCTGAATCCTATTCAGAAATCCTATTTTTTTCCTTTTCTAGCTGCCATCTTTCATGTGTGTGTGTGTGTGTGTGTGTGTGTGTGTGTGTGTATATATTTTTTTTTTTTTTTTTTGTGAGACAGTCTCACTCTGTAACCTAAGCTCAATTGCAGTGGTCCGCCCTCAGCTCACTGCAACCTCGGCTTCCCAGGTCCAAGTGAGTCTCATGCCTTAGCCTCCCAAGTAGCTGGGATTACAGGTGCACGCCACCACACCCAGCTAATTTTTGAATTTTTAGTAGAGATGGGGTTTCTCCATGTTGACCAAGCTGGTCTCGAACTCCTAGCCTCAAGTGATTCACCTGCCTTGGCCTCCCAGAGTGCTGGGATTATGCCATCCATTTTTATCCACTGTGCTGATGTTGAAATTTATTTTTTACAGAACCACAGTCTTCAGTCCCTCCCTGGTTTCTTTCACTTTTAATGTAGACTTACTAGATTTATTGAACCCCCAACTTCAATACTTTGCTAAATGACGTTGAGTAAGCAACTTAATCTCTCTAAGCCTGTAAAAATGGAGATATCTTCACATATTTACACATCATATGTGAAGATATACACATATACATATGTGGATATATCTCAGTTTTTTACAGGCATATATATATATATATATATATATATATATATATATATATATATATATATATATATGTAATGAAGTATCTATTAAAGCATAATACCTTGGCTAACAAACTGTCAAAATTGAGTGGCTTGAAATAGCTGTCATAATTTAGTTTAGGGTTCTGCTGGGCAGTTCTTCCGCCCTTGAAATAACTCATAATTTAGGGTTCTGCCGGGTGCTTCTTCCACTCTTGTGCAGGCTTGGCTGGTGGCCAGCTGGTCCTCGGTGGCCTCACTCACATGTCAGGCAATGGTGGAGCAGCACGAATGACTAGACCACGTGTCTTCTCTTCCAACCAAGTCCACACTTTTCTGGAACACAGAGTTGCTGGCAAGAGCCTTCCTCCTGCTTCCTGTTTTCTGTGTGTAGCTCCTGCACTGTGTTTTCTGTCAGTGCCCTACAATCTATCCTGTCTTACTGTTTCTCACATGTAAAGTAGTCTTTGCCAACTTCTAGCCTTCATCCTGGTTTCTTGCAAACAAGACTGTCTTATCTCCACTTTCTGAGTGGACAGTACAACACAGTTGACTGAATGCATTCATCGCTCCAGCTGTGTGGACCATGTCACATGACTGTCTTCACCTACTAGTCCTTTGATGTTCACTTTTACGTCTATCTGCTTCGCGAAGTCTACTTTATCTCTTGAATTTTGAGAAGTTTGGAGATGGTTTTGTTACTGATTTATAAGAAATGTCAAAGAGCACAATTTTATATTGAAACATAGCTGATCTGACATTCTCTCTGTTCTAAATGAACTCATCTCTAAATGTCTAAGTGGCGTTGAAAGGCCATGAGTGGTTTTTAATGATGTTCCTCAAGTGCCATAAACTTTGTTACTGCATTGTGCATACATTTCTGGGGTGAACTGGTAACTGCTCATTGGTGAGAATATACTGTGTCTGCTGTCTCAGCCCACCTACATTTATCATAGTTTTATTATATAGAATGCAGTGTTTTTCTGGACCAAGGAAAGAAAAATTTCTAGTTTTTCTTCCTTTCTATTTTTAATTATCAGTGCTTGGCAGAAGAGGAAGATGAAACACAAAGTTACAAAAAGAAAACAGTTGCATATACGTTTTTCTGCTTTTGCCTCTTTTATCTCCTAACTTGCTTTTTTGGATCTATTAAATGACTAATGATGAGTCATTCCTGGTTTTTTCGTTACAGTTTATGAAAGTCACAGTTCAGAGTTCATGGAGTGTTGAAATACTATAATACAGCAAATTACGCAGTCAGGTGTGATAGGGAGAAAAAAACGCTCATCTGAGCCTCAAGAGAACGAAATCCTACTCCTGGCTTTGTTAATGACTTACTAGTGGCCTTGGAAAATTTTAACTTCTCTTTGGTTCAGGCAGCTCAACTTGATAATCTTAAAGGTTTCTGTCTAGTTCTGAAGTTCTGTACAGTTTCCTTTAAGTATATATCTTTCTGGGATTTGGCAAAAAATATTGCAGATGAGCACAGATGTCGAAAATGAAAGAAGTGGACATACTTACTAGGACACTTACTACCTACTAGGTTAATAACATGTAGTGGGTATATGGAGCAGTTGTACTTTAGAATTATGTTTGAAGTCGATGTTTCAAGTGGGTGGGGGTGGGGGGGGGATGAGGAGCAGGAGTGATGCTCACAGAGGCGTGAATGAGTGTGAACACAGAACACACTCGGTAGATTGTCTTGTATGGCCAGAGTGCAGGGGGTTCGGGTAGCGTTCCCCGGGGTGTTAGGCACTCAGTGTGGTTGATTGCTGTAAGGTAAAGCGCACCTCGAAAAGACACCCAGAATGCCTAGTATTAAATTACATCATTAGGAAATTCTGTTTTCATTTTGTATGAAAATCCCACAGGAAGCCCTAATTTTACTGTAATTTTTCGCAGAGGGGGTGCATCACCTGGTGCCACCCCCATAGGACACTCATGCACGGCCTCTCTCTGGAGATGGCATTAGGGAAAAGCACTACGGCAGCCTTGCTAAGATTCTTTTTGCTAAGTGTTGTGAATTTAGAAAGAAAGTTTGTTGTTGTTATTTGTTTGTTTTTGTCAGTCTGAAATATCTTACGTGTTCTCCGCAGAAAAGTAAACCCACCCTGCAGGGTTTCTTGCAGGATCTTGATTTGTGAATTATGCCTCCTGAGTAGACCGGTGCCGTCCAGCAGAGCTTCCTGCCGTGGGGAGCGCGTTCTCCATCTGCCTTGCTCCATGCTGTCGTCACCGGCCCCTGGGGGCTGCCGTACCCTGGAAATTTGGCTTAGTGTGATTGAGAAACTGAAGTGTAAACTTTACTGAATTTTAATTAATTTAAATTCCACTGGTCTCAGGAGGCTAGTGGTGACTGTATTTGTTAGTGGAAGTCTACATCTTCGTCTTCTCTCTAGTTTACAGTTACATGTGAGACAATCTCGTCTTCGTAAAAGTAATACTTCTCCTGGTCTACTTCCTGCCTCACTTTCTCTTTTCTTCCAGGCTCCTCCAAAGTACGTCCTCCTTAAAATCGTCTGCCTTTGGCTTCTGGGACACGAAGCTTCTCTTCCAGCAGATTGCTTCCTAGGTTGAAGATCGGCCCGCTATTTTCTCTACCGTTTTTATAGGCCCACTGTTCTCTTTAGTATTATGCTCACTTCTGTGGGTGTGGTCTGAGTCACACCTGTCTGTATGCCCACAGCTTCTTCCCTGCGCCTCGGGTCTGTGCTTCTAAATACCCGCAGGGTGCCGCCAGCCCCTAGCCACCCATCGCAGCACGTAGCCACCCATTGCAGCACCTAGCCACCCATCGCAGCACCTGGCACACGCTGCCTATAAATATGTACTAACGCATTCTCTGTTGGCTCACTTATGGGCTGTGGATTTGTATCATTTTCAGGTTTACAGTAGTTTATCTCTCTCACTCTAGCACATATTTTTAATTCTGCTCATTCATAGTTTTAAGAAATTCACATGTTCACACGTTTAAGTGTTTCTTGAGGATGACGGAGAGATAGCTATGTGAGCAAGCTATGCAAGAAAGACAGCCACTGTCCTCGTGAGTTTTCCAGTACAGAAAAGAAGACTAATTTTTAAATGAGGGGCTTTAATACTGTGGAGTAATATTATGATAGAAGAAATATTAGAACTTGGAGAATGCAGCAGCAGGAACCCACGCCAGGCCCTGCAGTGAGTTTAAAAGTTTAAACCCGCTTCAGTTTAAACTGAAGGGTGAGGCAGTGACTCAGGCTGAAGTGGAAAGAAAGGGGCTAATATTACCATTCATTGCATTGGGATGAAATTAAAGCTCCATCTGAGTTAACGGAGGAGAATTAATTTGAGGAGTATAGAACATGCAAATAATTTCAGACCCAGGAAGGAGGTGGTCAGGTAGCCTTTTGGCTTTATGTGGATTTTGTTTTTTTTTTTTTGACAGAGTTTTGCTCTGTCGCCCAGGCTGGAGTGCTGTGGCGCAATCTCGGCTCACTGTGGCCTCCTCTTCCCAGGTTCAAGCTTTTCTTCTGCCTCAGCCTCCTGAGTAGCTGGGATTACAGGTGTGTGCCACCATGTCAGCTAACTTTTTGTATTTTTGGTAGAGACAGGGTTTCGCCATGTTGGCCAGGCTGGTCTCGAACCTCTGAGCTCAGGTGATCCGCCTGCCTCAGCCTCCCAAAGTGCTGGGATTACAGGTGTGAGCCACCATGCCCAGCCTTTTTATGTGGAATTGGTAGTATGGACACAGGTACAGCTTTCCTTAGCCTTCTTGTGTGCTCTAAGTAAATCGTGAAGTGGGGAGTTGTATTTGCTCATAAGTATTTGCGCAGTGCTGTTGGTGAGTGATTAAGTGCTCTGCAGAAGAATACTGTTTTCCTGGGAACGTGTCAAGCTGCTATTCCACGTGATGTTACCATCAATCACAACTTCTTGGTGGACACATTACAATAATTAGATGTGGGACTAATCAAGGGGCTCCTTGTCGTTCCTGAACTATTTACAACCACAGTTAGGAGAGGATGGTACATTTTTGATTGGGGAAAAAAAGAGATTAACTTAAAAGGTTTTTGACTAATGAAAATTAAGCTTGTGCCACATTCAAGCGTCATTTTTACACCCGTAAGCACTGTGAAGCATTTCCCTTTAGCACCTTTTAATCTATACCTATGATCTGGGAAAACCCCAGTGTGGAGGTATGATATAGCCTTCTGTTGCCCTTGTTAAAAAGAGAACACTGTTTCGTTGAATTGTGAGGAAAATAATGTTGATTTAGATTCTTAGTAACTACTTAAGGAAAAAAACCTTTGAATTAAGTGAAAACACAAGCCTTTCACTTATTGCTGCAGAGAAACATGTTGAATATCCCTTAAGTGATAGTTCTGTGAAATTAGTAAAGATTATGGGAGAAAATAAATTAGATTAATAATGTCTATTCTTAAATGTGAATTATTTAAGGTATTTCCATATGAGAAAAAAGCCGCAGCACTGGGAGGAGAACGTTCAGCCCTGGTGATTGTCCTGCCACACAGGCTCCACCTGGTTTTAAGGTCGGAGGTGCAGATCATCCTGCATGCACCTGTTCACCATCAACACAGATTGGGGACGACATTTTAGTGCTTAGGGGAGTTTTGTTTGTGGTTTTGGTGAAGCATAAGAATACATTTTATAAATTGTAATTGCCTTCTAGTTCCAAAATATGCAGACAGTTGAGCAGTTATTAAAGTTCTCAAGAGAGGTCAAAACTCATAGATATTCTAGTTTGATAGGAAATTTGTTTTCTAGAATACAGAATTTGAGGATCATTAATTTTCTTTTATGGGAAATTAAATGAGCAAGATTACCTGGAAAATTACATTACTTTTTATAACAGTTCTTTATTTATGAGAGTGGATAATTCAAAGGTAATAAATTAGAGTTAACACTTTATTTTCAATAGTCCTTATTAATATAGTTATAGAAGTCATTTCTGTCAACTCTCAGTTATCTCTTGAGCAGTTAAAGGAGATGGATGAGATTGAAATCCTGGATAACTTCATCTCACTTTTAAAAAATCTTTTCTGACAAAATGTATATTGAAACCACTAACAAATAGAAAATGTAACTGATTTGAGTTTTTCCACTTTCTTACTATTTGTCATTTATCCAATATGAGTCATTAAAGTGAGAAAGTATAAAGTATGTTGTTGTTTGTAGACAAAATAACCGTACCTGGAAATTAAATTTCTTTAGTAAGAAATTTCTTTCTTCTTTTTTTCTTGAGAAGAAATTTGCTCAGACTTTTACAAGAGTATGGTTTTGTTTTTTATTGTATTTTTGAGATGGAGTCTCACTTTGTTGCCCAGGCTGGAGAGCATTGGTGTGATCTCTGCAACCTCCACCTCCCAGGTTCAAGCAATTCTCCTGCCTCAGCCTCCCAATTAGCTGGGATTACAGTCACGCGCCACCATGCCTGGCTAACTTTTTGTAGATACAGGGTTTCATCATGTTGGCCAGGCTGGCCTCCAACTCCTGACCTTAAGTAATCCACCCCCCTGGGCCTCCCAAAGTGCTGGGATTAAGGCATGAGCTACCGCACCTGGCCAAGAGTGTGATTTTAATTGCAGTATTTTGTAATTGACCTTATTTTGTGAGGATTAATGAACTGTTATCATTTTACAGGTCTCATCACAACTACGTCAAGGAAGCTAGACCGAGAACAGCAAGATGAACACATATTAGAGGTAAGTTTTTTTTTTATCTTTAATACTTAAAGATTCGTAGTTACAAGTATCATGGGAAAGAACAATCTTGTTCCCATTAACCAGTATTCTTAGCTATTAATATTTTGTTGTATTAATATTATTTACTGGTTGTTAGGAAAAAGGAATATAAGGAAATTGTTAATGAATATAGCTCTTGTCCCCTTTATCCCTCAATACCATTCCCAGAATACACAGCCACTGTCATGGGCCGGATTCAGATCTTTGTATTTTATGCTTGCGCACACACAGGGGGCGAACAGATCTATAAACAGTGTCATGTGGAATTCATTTGCATTTACATAAGTGATATTTTTCTGTATACATCTTTTTTTCCCCTTACTATTATGTTTTTGAGATATATTTATGTTGGTATTTATAGATCTGTTTCAACCTTTTTAACTAGAGGTAATTTGTTTCCAGATTCATTTTTTTGCTCTTAAACAGTTGCATTATTTTTGCGTTTTAAACTATGAATTACTTAGTTTGTGCTTCTTAAATACCTCAAAAGTAAAAGTAGATTGAAGTCTCAGATGTGCTCTTCTAGAAAGTTCTAATAAGGCTTCTCATTCTCATGGATAATTTACAATGCCTTTTAGTCCTTAGAAAACCCACAGCTTGTTATCATGTATTGGTCACCTGGTTTTTGGCTAATAGTAAATACATTGCAGAAAAAGGCCGCGAGTAATTTGGAGAGGGAAGGTGGAGCGTAACATGGACATCAGGTTGATGAGATCTCTGGGCCGTGTCGTCAGGAAGCGGCTGAGAGACAGGCAGACCGCAGAGAGGGGCGTAGAGACATCTCTCTGTCCCGTGTGGAAGACTGGTGTTCATTATCGGAGCCAGCCTTGGAAAAGGCCACCTGCCTTTGTTTAATTGAGTTATCAGTGCTCTTCTTCCACTCTAACAGTATAAGTGACAAAATTCTAAACTGTAACTTTTGAAAATTTCTTTTAATATTGCTGTTTATAATGCTGCCTGCTTAATTTCATTTTATCCTTGGTCAAATTTTCTTAACGTTGTCAGTAAATACTTAGTTTTTATAGTTGTGCAGTGTATGTGTGTGTGTGTGTGTGTGTGTGTGTGTGCATTGGGAACTGGGAATACCCTCTGGAAAAGGTGGTTTCACAGCCACAGTGCTTTCCCCATTAGGAGCTGCTTCATGTATTACATCTGAGTTTTTAGTTCATAGGGTGTAAAGTTCGCTTGAATTCATTTTCTTTATGATAGAGCAAAGTTTTGAATTTTCATTCTGTCACTACAAGGATTGACAGAAGGGGCAAATGCAGTCACTGACAAAGATAAACAGATGGGAAGATAGGAGAGCAGTAGTTACACTGACATTTTGCTCCAGTCCTTTCAAATTTCACATTAATTGCATACGTCACTCCAGAGTCCTCTTTTCTCCGTGAATATCAAAGGCTAGGTGGAAGCAGATACCAGATATATAGCACTTTGAAAGTCATATTTGGACATGGATGGGAAATAAATTTTCCCTTCAACATACATAATTAGTGTATTTTTCAGTAGGGTCCTTTTGGGGTGGTATATTTGAGAGCCAGTGCTGGCATTGATTTGGCTGTCTTAAAGATAGTGTCTCCATTACATGTTGAAAGCTGTGACTAGCTACTGGTTCTTGAACCCAAAGTTAGGAACAATTTGGTGATGAATACTAAAAAACATAGTGCTTGCTTGTATTTCTCTTTCTTGTTTTTCTAAAGCTCATATGCAAACTGATGAAAAGGAAATGTTTCGAGAGTTTAAAATTAAAATAGTAATGTTTTATTTTGAAAAAGCTTAGGAAGGTAAATAATATAAAGCAACTACTTAAATACTTTTGACAGGCACCATCGGGATATAGTCACACTTTAATAAACAGGGTTTACAACTGCCAGACTTCAGTCTCCTTGACCGTTTTTAGTGTTTTGGTAATTCAGTTGGGAAGAAGGTAGGGGTGTGGATAGGGGAGAATAAGCATTACTAATGTCGTTATATTTAATGTGCCCATTGACGTAAACGTGAACATTTGATTTAAGGGTGAAATGGTCTCTTAGGGACATAGAAACAGTCATCAGTGCAGTCCTCAAGACTCTCTGATATTTTTTCCTAAATAGAATATAAGAATATATGGATAGTTTACTTAAAATGAAAGTTATTTTACCGAAAATCTTATTTAATGAGTTGGTCTTAAATTTAAATGTTTAGGTCCACTCCTATAAAAATCTGTAGAGGAAAACAGCCAAAATAAAATGGTGATTACTGGTATTAAAAGGTGTACTATTTATTTAACACATACTTTAAAATGACAATTTAGCATATTTTACTGATGAAGTTTAACATTTTTAACATGATATATGGAAATTTTGTTTTTAAGTATGTAGAGTGTGTTGTTTTTAAGAAGACTCTTTAAATGTGTAAAGCAGAATCTTCACGTATCTCTTCCATGGCCTAAAGGTATTAAGTTTTTGGTAGCTTAACATTTGGGTGAGGTTCACTTTCCACTTAAACTAATGCGAGAAGAGAGCCTGCGTGGTCAGGAAGGCGCGCAGGGGTGCAGCTGTTTCTTTCTTAGCCATGCCCGGCCCCCTGACTCTCTCCCTGTAGAGATGGGAGGTGCTGCCTCACCTCCTTACAGCCCTGTTGTTGGAATGAAGATCTGCTGTGTATGTTGTCATCGTGCCCTGCAAAATGCAGAGCTTTACACACATGCGGAGTAGCATGAGGAAGAAGATGCTCACTTTTTATATAGTATATCTTAACATGTTAATCTGTTAACTTTAAAAAAACAGGTTACTGTGACAGACAATGGTAGTCCCCCCAAATCAACCATTGCAAGAGTCATTGTGAAAATCCTTGATGAAAATGACAACAAACCTCAGTTTCTGCAAAAGTTCTACAAAATCAGACTCCCTGAGCGGGAAAAGCCAGACCGAGAAAGAAATGCCAGACGGGAGCCGCTCTATCACGTCATAGCCACCGACAAGGATGAGGGCCCCAATGCAGAAATCTCCTACAGCATCGAAGACGGGAATGAGCATGGCAAATTTTTCATCGAACCGAAAACTGGAGTGGTTTCGTCCAAGAGGTTTTCAGCAGCTGGAGAATATGATATTCTTTCAGTGAGTTAAGATTGTAGTACTGTAATTTTTCATATGTTGTGACTATAAACCTTATTTTGTATTTTTTCTTTAGTAACTTTATTTCTATTTTGTAAACGGCTGAAGTGTTTGTGACCTGCTGGCCCCATTAGGCAATGCCGGATAACGTTTGAGAATCAGGGTGCTTATTGTTTATGTTGAATGTGGTCATGAAATCATTGTTCTTCTGTCAGGCATTCCATACACAGAATACAAATGTGAAATGTTTGAAATTGGCTCAGTTTAAGACCAAACCAGTCTGTGCTTCATTCATTTCTGGGTTGTAACTCCTGATTTGCTGTTTTTAATCCCCTCTGCCCAAATGTTGTAGATTAAGGCAGTTGACAATGGTCGCCCTCAAAAGTCATCAACCACCAGACTCCATATTGAATGGATCTCCAAGCCCAAACCGTCCCTGGAGCCCATTTCATTTGAAGAATCATTTTTTACCTTTACTGTGATGGAAAGTGACCCCGTTGCTCACATGATTGGAGTAATATCTGTGGAGCCTCCTGGCATACCCCTTTGGTTTGACATCACTGGTAAGCATTCCCCCTCATTTTCGTTGTCCGTATGGGTTACACTGAGGAGAACCTGCATACGGTTTGATGAGTTTTGGGCACAAGTCAGGATTTAAAATTGGGAATAAGATCGACAGGTGGAGAATTTGCTTTCAACTATAATATTTTGATTGCAAAATTTTTCACAATATATAGCATATGTTAAACTTGCTTAAAATAGGTGCTCTATTCTACCAAGTTATTGATATAAAAATAAAATTTTGTAAAAGTTTGTCAAAGAGTTACAGACAAAAGCCTTGAATGTTTTGGTCCAGAAGCACAGCTTCTTACTGTTTATTTATTGATGCATAACCTATGGCACATTGTTATTTTTATTGATGCATAACCTATGGCACATTGTTATTTTTAGTGAATATGATTGGAACATTTAAAGTAACTATGCCTGTGTGACTGTCACATGTCAATATTTAATAGGGAATAAGCTTACAAATTTTGATTCATACCAGCTTATGGTACAAAGTTATGGTACCAGCTATGGGTTTTTAGTTTTATATTACCTCATTTTCAACAGGTAGGAGGATTCATTAGATTATTTCATCCTCCAGTAAAGTTTACTTGCTAAAGCCATTTCTTCTTCTTATTTGTCATGTAGTTTAGATAAGACATTGAATGTAATACCCTATTCAACGTATTTTTTAAATTTCACATTAGAGTTTGCATCTTAGATTTTTTTTTATTGTTTCCTCACATTTTAGTTACAAGGGTATTTAAGAACAAGAGTCTCTGTTGCGATTCATCTCTCTGGGGGGGACTTTATGTCCATTTTTCCCCTTCTGCCCCTTAGTCATGCTAACCCGAAGCCCCCAAAAGTTGCAGCTGATGGACCCAGACCACTGGGCATGTCAGGCCAGGCCAGGCCTTACCTTTGGAACTTTCATGCTAAATGCTTTGGCTGTTTTACCAATTTGGTGATTGTGTGAAATTGATGTCATCAGCACCTGTGAAACCCTTACAGCATACTTTCAAGGGAAGGGGAAAAAGAGACTATTTTCGTAGTTAACGATGCTCAAAACCGTTTGTTTGCTTTCTGTTAACTTTTATCACATTTCCAGATCAACAGGCTGCTGCTGTGCAGTACCTGACCTCGCTGTGTAACCTTGCTGTGCTTGGACCTGGTTTGATTGATTGCTTTTATTCTGTGCTTGCTTTCCATGCGCGCTTGCTTCTTTTTGGCTGTGCCAGGAGACACGCTTGCTAGAGAAGTTTTTTACATCTTTCAGATGACTTGTGACCCGACCTGTACAGCAGAAGGTATCTGCTGAGATCACATAATTTGCCTCAGATTATGAGATCTAAAATAAAAGCCTTGTTTTGTTTTTGTTTTTTTTTACTTTTTTATTTCCAGTGACTATCTTCCATCGCTGTTTTTTTTTTCATAGTGTGCGCATGGTCACCCATCCCACTCGCCAGCGTGTTGCCACGTAATGCTCACCTAGCTCCGTGGTTTTAGGTTTCTCTTAAGACGTCGTGTGTGTTGTTTTGTTTCTTGGTTAGATTTAGTAGTAGAATTTCATCATGACATTAAACCTCTATTTTCATCCCATTTCATTTTATATCTAGGTCGATGGATTTGAAAAGAGAGTTTTATCAAAAATATTTGGATAATATTAATAGGATAGAAACTTTTGTTTCATTAGGCTTTGTGTTTGTCAAAAATGAGAAAAAAAATTCTTTTCAAATAGTTTATAGTAGCCAGGACTAATTAAAGTTAACGACCGCTATTTTTTTTAGAGTTAACATTGATTTTTAATAGCTATTTTATTAGGTCAATTTGCTCAAAGTATCAGAAAGTTTTGTTAGTAAGTAAGCTTTTAAATGGCCCAGTGATGGTATCTACTGAGATACAAATTGAAGAGGAATTCAGAACCCCTGAAAAAGCAAATTGAAAGTAACTCATTGGCAATATTAGCAATGTCTTTGTTTTCAGAGTTGCTTTCTTGCTTTCTTTCAGTTAGTTGCTTCCTGGACAATTAGGGTTCACTTTGCCTTAACAAGCATTGTCTTTCTAATTGGCCACTCTTTTCTTTCAAAATGCTCCTCCTTGGAAGCTCTTTGCTAGTATATTAGAAGATTTTTCAGTGCCATTAAGTATGAGAAAGCCACAGAATAAACTACAGAGTGTTATCCTGTGACCTGTTTTTACTTTTTTTTCCCCAAATTAGGTGGCAACTACGACAGTCACTTCGATGTGGACAAGGGAACTGGAACCATCATTGTTGCCAAACCTCTTGATGCAGAACAGAAGTCAAACTACAACCTCACAGTCGAGGCTACAGATGGAACCACCACTATCCTCACTCAGGTAAGTGAATTACTAATGACACACTTGTCAGAGGAGGATGGAGATAACGTTCTGACTTAGGGGTCCACGGGCAATATGAGCGGTGGATTCTGCCCTGTGAGGGTCTAAAATCAGAAGTTTACACACATGCACACTAAGAATTTTTATTTAGGGAAAGAAAATTAATTCCATATCCCAATTTGGGTTTTGCATATAATTAAGCAGTTTTGAGAATTTTGAGAGAAGACTTCAAAAACCAAACCAAACCAACGTTATACCATCAAAATCTTCGAATTTTACACTCATTTTAAACTATGTTAACATCAAGTACATCACTGTTGAGAATGAATTGTTTAAATCATTTTCAGTAAAACTGGTTAAAGTGATTAATCTTCTAAATCACTTTTTTTTGGATTCCTCCTGGCTATATAAAATAACTAATAAAATTGTTCTAATAATTCCTTTACCACCTTTATTTGTTCCTATCTGGTAATTGAGATGGCCAGATTATGGGGATTTCAAACTTAAGTGTTAAAATCCTGTAAGTGAAATTTAAATTCTGTTCTTTCTTATTACTTTTCTTTGGTTCTCAGTGTGGGCCGTTTGGAGTGTACAGAAGGAATATTCCTAGATAGAAGAAGCATCCTGAGGTTTCAGGAGCAAGCAGAGTGTCATTCACTCATTTATTTACCAAGTATTTGTTGAACACTTGTTACATGCCAGGCACCATTCTGGAAGGTGAATAGTAGGAAACAGAAGAGGCAACAATCTTGCCCTCTTGGAGCTTACACTGGGATGGCAGAAGCTAAAGGCTTGTTTATAATCTACTGTGGCCTAAATGAAAAAGAAAGAAGTTAAATGTCAGAGAACAAGGTGCATCTGAGTTTGAAATTTTCTAGCGTTAGATTATCCTGTTTTAAGTACTAAGCAAGACAGATCATCTGCTAACTCATTTAGCTGCATTAAAAGATAAAAATTATAGTCGGTGATGTCTTTTCGATTAATAAATGGGTAGATAATTTAAAGCCATTTACAAAAATATTTCTTTCTCCAAATGCTTGTGATTTTTAGTGTATATAAAATTGATACATGTATGTTATATGCTTTTGGGGTCATTTTGAGATTGTCTTGTAAAAGTTCTAGTATGGTGTCAAAATTTCAATTTAGTTGGTAGCTGTTCTCATTCTAGAGACAAGCAAAATCTATTGATTTTCTCTCTTTAAACATAAGCCCTTGTAAAATTTTAGAGCACAAAAATGAGAATAAAAACATCATAAATTGTAATAAATCTAATAGGATAATTCTGAGAGAAGGATTTAAGGGGTATAACTGTAGACCAATTCACAGAATCGACTACCCAGAAATCTAACAAAAGGAGCTTCATAAACAGTGGAGCTGTCCCTCTTTGCCAAGCATTCTCATTACTAAAGACCCTACGTCTATGAATAATTAACAGTGCACCTCTTTCCCAATAATTATATTTTTAATTAGTGCAGTTAAAAGTTTAGCATGAAATATCACGTGCACCAACTAAAATCCCTATAAAACCCAGGAAGTGTATTCTAGTTTTCTTTCTTGGAAACACAAAATATCTTAAATTTCATTGCTTCCTTTATACTTCTGTAACTTATTTTTGGGCCATTGTCATAGGCTGTAGATGCTATCCTAATCGCTGGCAGAGAAAGGCAGTCGGACTATAAGAGAACAGTAGCCCAGGTTGACCTGTTAAGGTGTGGGACAAAGGGAATGATTTGTGTTTAGATTATTTTTCCTCTTTAGCTGAGAACCTGGAAATATGAATTTGGGTGGGGGCGGGAGGGGGGTGCAGCAGCTGCCACCTGGAGAAGAGCACAGGAATCAGCTGGACAGTGAGAGGCACCAGGATACAGCGGGGATGGATTGAAAAGCAGAGGGATCAGCTGGGCGGCGAGACACTAGGATACTGTGGGGATGGATTGAAAAGCAGAGGAGTCACCTGGGCAGTGAGACACTAGGATACCGCGGGGATGGATTGAAGAGCAGAGGAGTCAGCTGGGCGGCGAGAGACTAGGATACCGCAGGAATGGGTTGAAGAGCACAGGAGTCAGCTGGGAGGTGAGACACTAGGGTACTGCAGGGATGGATTGAAGAGCAGAGGGATCAGCTGGGCAGTGAGACACTAGCATACCGCGGGGATTGATTGAAGAGCACAGGAATCAGCTGGGAGGCGAGACACTACGATACCATGGGGATGGATTGAAGAGCAGAGGAGTCACCTGGACGGTGAGACACTAGGATACCGCGGGGATGGATTGAAGAGCAGAGCAGTCAGCTGGGCAGTGAGACACTAGGATACCGCGGGGATGGATTGAAGAGCAGAGGAGTCAGCTGGGCAGTGAGACACTAGGATACCGCGGGGATGGATTGAAGAGCAGAGGGATCAGCTGGGAGATGAGACACTAGGATACTGCGGGGATGGATTGAAGAGCAGAGGGGTCAGCTGGGAGGTGAGACACTAGGATACCTCGGGGATGGATTGGGGCTTGGAAGTAACACTCAGAAGTCAACAGAGCAGCCATTGTGTATCCAGGTCAGGGGCAGCAGATGCCGATTTGAGAAGGTTTAGGTGAGCCGTTGGTGAGTCAAGCGGGCAGCCTCCAGCAGAGGTAGGCGGCAGGACAGTGGGAGAACTGCCAGTGCCCTGCGGAAACAGCTCTTCTCTGGCTTTCCTGTCCTGCGTGTGTGGCTTAGGATGCTGACCGCCATTGATTCCAGTCACTTGGCTTTATCTTGTATCTCCAGGTAACTTACCAAATCCAGTTACCTTTTTTTTCTTTCATTCAAACAACTTTGCTTTCATATCTTCTTTAACTTTCTCTCGAGCATCAGCATCGTGGCCTCTGGAGCAGATCACTTGGTTTGAATCCCGGCTCCACCTCTTGTACTCCTTTCCATGGGCAAATAGCTGTAACTCTCTGTGTGTCCATGTTCTCATCTACAAAGTGGGGGTGGTGATAATCGTCCTTTTGGAGGTCTTAGGAAGGTTGATGAGGTGACCCGCAGGGTGCTTGTTCTTCACGTTCTGAGAGCCTGTCACCCAGTAAGCACGCAGAAAGCCATAGTCTTGTTGCACATCAGCACTGGTTTGGGCTCTTGTCCCACCAACACTCAATTCACCTTCCAGTCGCCATTCTTCATCCCTGCCACTCATGTTGGAAGCGAGTTTCTTCTGACCAAAAGGAGCTGTGTAGTCCTCCCACATCAGTTCTGGAGTCGAGGCTCTGCGTATTTGACTCTGCCTTCTTCTTGCTCCTTTACTGTATCACCCCTGAGTTCCAAGTCCTCTCCAGCCTCTGAAAGGCAGGATGTTCCGTCCCACTGCTTGCCTTCATGTCGTTGACGCAGCCCTTCCTCATACTTACTCACCTGCCAACCAAAAATGTACCCAAGAAAGCATTATCTCCTTAAGAGCTTTCTGAATATCTCAGCCAGTCTCTGGACTCTTAAAAACTTTACATGATAATATATGAGACATGGTTAGGCTGTGCATGTGCAGAACATTGCCTGGTAAGCCTGGTGGCTCTATGAGGGCAGAGACCATTGCATGCTGATTTCACACCCAGGCAAGCATTGGGCATGGAAACGCACAATCCGTGTGTTTCAATTGAATTGCTTTGACTTCCAGTTCTTTCTACTTAATAATGCTTGAGCTTGGAGCAGGATTAAACTTCTCTGCTCAGTACCCACTACATGGGAAAAGTAATTTTTAAATTTATAGTGGAAATGAATATGTAATCTAATCTATGGTAATTGCCTTTATAGCCATCCCTTCTGGATCATCATTGACCTGTAAAAGTGAGGCATCTGTAGTTTTAAAGGTTTACATAGCTTTCACATGCAACCTTTCCGTGGTTTGGTGGATGCATCTGGAATTCATACAAAATGTAATGTTACGTTTTATTTAACTAAAACATCCTTGATATTTTGGTCTTCTGTGAGAACACTGATGTAGCCCTCATGGAAGGAAGGCCTCTGTTCATGGCCTGCACCATGTGGTTGACCGCTCTGCCTGGGACCCTGGCCCCCTGTGCTGCTTGGACCAGCAGATCCCTTTGTTCCATATGCCCCCACGAAGCGCAGTTTTCTTCTTCTTAAACTCTAAAGCATGTTTTATAATTGGCAGTGATTTCCGCTGTGCCAAATCCATACGTCTTTTCATTATGGAAATTAATCCTCTTACTGTCAAAGTTTTGTTTGTTTCTAATTTAGCTTAGTACCAAGTTTCTTAACATTTGCTTTTTTCCTCTAAAGGTTTTTACTTTATGTAGACATAGTTAAGAGAGTTTATTTTTTCAATCTATTGACTAAATTGGTTTTAGGGAGTAAACATATTTACTACATAGATGTAGGTTTATGATCACAGAAATACAGTGATTTCTAAACACATTTCTTATTTTTTCTTTTTACGTATTAAAAAAACCTATGATCAGGGGCTTGGGATGTCAAAGATGAGAATGAGAAATTTGGATAGTGTAATCATCTGTCTTACCTCAGTGGGTTGGTAGTTGCAGATACAAATCTGATTTAAGAAATTAGTCTTCTATAAATCCTGGTAAATTGTTATCCGTACATGAGTGACCTACAGATACCTTCTCTGTGGAGGCGTAAGAGAAGTTAAGCCCACGTAAAGACGTGGCAAGTGTGAAAATCAATACATATTTTGTCCCAGAGTTAGTTATAAGAATGCAGAAAGGTCATCATTATCTTACTCATATTTAGATAAGTAATATACCAATGAGAAATGTTTTAAGAAATGTATGATTCTAGGTTTTTGTTGCCTTTCTCGTATTTTATTTTGCCACAGTATCGTTTCAATATACATGACTTTCGTTCATGGTTCTTTAAGTATTAAAACATTCATAATTGGAAATATTGTATGAGTCATTTTGTCATCCATTACAGGTATTCATCAAAGTAATAGACACAAATGACCATCGTCCTCAGTTTTCTACATCAAAGTATGAAGTTGTTATTCCTGAAGATACAGCGCCAGAAACAGAAATTTTGCAAATCAGTGCTGTGGATCAGGATGAGAAAAACAAACTAATCTACACTCTGCAGAGCAGTAGAGATCCACTGAGTCTCAAGAAATTTCGTCTTGATCCTGCAACCGGCTCTCTCTATACTTCTGAGAAACTGGATCATGAAGCTGTTCACCAGCACACCCTCACGGTCATGGTAGGCGCTCTACCCGCTCTCCTCCCACCATTTGGTCCTGAGGCCTTTGTGTGTTCGAGCGTGATTTTTAATTAGTTATAAGGAAAGCACCAATGGGATTGATAATGTGTCAATTCTTTTTAGGTACGAGATCAAGATGTGCCTGTAAAACGCAACTTTGCAAGGATTGTGGTCAATGTCAGCGACACGAATGACCACGCCCCGTGGTTCACCGCTTCCTCCTACAAAGGGCGGGTTTATGAATCGGCAGCCGTTGGCTCAGTTGTGTTGCAGGTGACGGCTCTGGACAAGGACAAAGGGAAAAATGCTGAAGTGCTGTACTCGATCGAGTCAGGTACTTTTGGAGCCTTCAGTGGCATTTTAAATTTGCAGTTGTTAAAAGTCTGTTTCTACTTTTCCAAAATCAGTTCTGGGTATTGAAGCATTTCTATGTATCTGCAAAAATGGCTTAAATTGATCTCTAGATACAATTTTACATGTTAGGAGAAAGGAATTTTTTTTTTTTTAACTTTTAGCCCATCAGAGAGTTTGGGGGAAGTTCTGGGGGATTCACAATATTAGCCCAGTTCAAGGCTCTGAGAAGCCACGTAGTAGAGGAAACTTTATTTGACCAATTCAGTATTTCTGAAATTATTTTAACCACAGTTTCTTCTGTAACATTGGTTAAATTAAACACACTTAGGAAGCTGCTTGCCTAGTAATTTAACGTTTCACTTTTTTGTCAGAGAGTATTTTCTCTTGAGCAGAGCAGGAAGCTCCATAACAGTGTTGACTCATCTCATTGTAATTGGCTGAAACCTCAGAAAGAGGTGTCGTGCCCCTCCCACCCCTTCCACATTTACCTGGATTTTTGCCACTCGCCTTTAACAGGTGGATTTCCCTCATGGAATTGGGTTGAGGACTAGACCCCAGAGCTGGGGCCTGCTGGGGTGGGGCTTGAGGCAGCAAGGGCAGCAAAAAAAACAGCTGGAGCTGCGGTCCTGGACGGTTCCGGGACCCAGAGGCCAAGAGATCCAGAGTCGGGATAACAAGGGGGACCACCAGGAAGCAGTCCTGGCATAGCAGGATGTTTTTGGTCTGTTTTCCACTGCCATTCCCTCATTCATTCATTCATTCTGTGGGCTGATGAAGCTCGTTTTATGTGTCAGGTGCCATGTTGGTCACTCATTCATTCATTCTGTCGGCTGATGAAGCTCGCTTTATGTGCCAGGTGCCATGTTGGTCCCTCATTCATTCATTCATTCATTCATTCTGTGGGCTGGTGAAGCTCACTTTATGTGCCAGGTGCCATGTTGGTCCCTCATTCATTCATTCATTCATTCATTCTGTGGGCTGGTGAAGCTCACTTTATGTGCCAGGTGCCATGTTGGTCCCTCATTCATTCATTCATTCATTCATTCATTCTGTGGGCTGGTGAAGCTCACTTTATGTGTCAGGTGCCATGTTGGTCCCTCATTCATTCATTCATTCATTCATTCTGTGGGCTGATGAAGCTCGCTTTATGTGCCAGGTGCCATGTTGGTCCCTCATTCATTCATTCATTCATTCATTCTGTGGGCTGGTGAAGCTCACTTTATGTGCCAGGTGCCATGTTGGTCCCTCATTCATTCATTCATTCATTCATTCTGTGGGCTGGTGAAGCTCACTTTATGTGCCAGGTGCCATGTTGGTCCCTCATTCATTCATTCATTCATTCATTCTGTGGGCTGGTGAAGCTCACTTTATGTGTCAGGTGCCATGTTGGTCCCTCATTCATTCATTCATTCATTCTGTGGGCTGATGAAGCTCACTTTATGTGCGAGGTGCCATGTTGGTCCCTCATTCATTCATTCATTCATTCTGTGGGCTGGTGAAGCTCACTTTATGTGCCAGGTGCCATGTTGGTCCCTCATTCATTCATTCATGCATTCATTCTGTGGGCTGGTGAAGCTCACTTTATGTGCCAGGTGCCATGTTGGTCCCTCATTCATTCATTCATTCATTCTGTAGGCTGATGAAGCTCAGTTTATGTGCGAGGTGCCATGTTGGTCCCTCATTCATTCATTCATTCATTCTGTAGGCTGATGAAGCTCGCTTTATGTGCCAGGTGCCATGTTGGTCCCTCATTCATTCATTCATTCATTCTGTAGGCTGATGAAGCTCACTTTATGTGCCAGGTGCCATGTTGGTCCCTCATTCATTCATTCATTCATTCTGTAGGCTGATGAAGCTCACTTTATGTGCCAGGTGCCATGTTGGTCCCTCATTCATTCATTCATTCATTCTGTAGGCTGATGAAGCTCAGTTTATGTGCGAGGTGCCATGTTGGTCCCTCATTCATTCATTCATTCATTCTGTAGGCTGATGAAGCTCGCTTTATGTGCCAGGTGCCATGTTGGTCCCTCATTCATTCATTCATTCATTCTGTAGGCTGATGAAGCTCGCTTTATGTGCCAGGTGCCATGTTGGTCCCTCATTCATTCATTCATTCATTCTGTAGGCTGATGAAGCTCACTTTATGTGCCAGGTGCCATGTTGGTCCCTCATTCATTCATTCATTCTGTGGGCTGGTGAAGCTCACTTTATGTGCCAGGTGCCATGTTGGGAGTGTTCCTCCTGGGCATGGTACGTAGGCGTTGCCATTGGGTCCACAATGCGTGTCTTGTAAAAGTTCCACCCCGATAGAAACAGGGCTCTGCTTTAGAGCATACAGTCTGTACAATCAGAAGTCACGTTGCTTTAGGATGTTCCTGCTCATGCCAGATCCTCTGAAAGTGATGAAATGTTGGGAAGACAGTTTACAGTTTTCTGTTTTCTTCAGTGCCATTGTTAGTACAAGGAATATAGTCCCTTTCAGTCTTCTTCATAATGAGTTTAGAGAATTAAAATATTCCATTTAACTTGTTTTCTTTTTTAAGTCTGTAGCTCTACATATTTAGAAATTGTCTCTCCTAGGCATTAGAATTGGTACAGGTATAGATTAATTATAGATCATGTAATAAAAATTTGAGGAAATGGAGAGTAATTTTAAAAAACTTACTGATGTGTTCTAGGTGGTTAAACTATGTTTATTTAACATATTTGAAATTTCATTTGTTTCCCTTAAAACAACCAAATCGAGTTCATTAGTCACAAATAAGATCTCATACACTGCCTGTGATTGCAGTGTTAAAATGTAGTGTAGTTAGTGCCTTGAGTAAAGATGAAGTTTTTTTCCACTGGTTGAGAAATTTGCAGTTAGAAAAACAGTGCATTCCATTTGTGCATGCCTGCGTACTTCAATAAAGTAATTCTGTCATAGACAAACTGACTGGGTTTATGTAGGAGAAAATGTTAAACTTCCCCTTAGCTTTCACATAATTGTCAACAACTGGGTGGTTAAAATATGATTGTTGGTGTCTGAGTAGAAGCATGTGCATTCTTTGAATGCTTCTAATGACTGACAGGATTAGGAATCTGGTATTCAGAGAATGGAACTCCCTCCTCCATGAATAGATAATACCAATGGCCTATTCTGGCATAGAATTAGGACTTTTAAGATGCTATTTTTATAGTTTTGGTAATATAAAAATTATGCTCAGCAGTTACTTTGTAGGAGACCACTACCATTAAAATGCAGTAGAATTTTGTGGAAGGGGTGTGTGCATGTGTTGGAGATGGAGGTGGACATCTGTTGGAATAGTACGAACTATAAAATGTTCATACAAATGCCTTTCATTTAAGTTTATTCATAATTATCTGCTTCTAATTTGTGTCAGATTACATTTAAAGTTCAAAAAGACTAGTTACAAATTCAGTACGTAACACTGCATGTTTAATTAGCAGCAATTAATTGAGTAAAAGGTTTGGTCTGATTAGGAGTATTCAGGGAAAAAGGAGTTAATTAAGAGATATTTTCAGTAACCATTGAGTTATATGCTGGAGACATGTCAGTGCCATACTCTGGTCTGTGTGTTTTCTTCTTACATCTTTTTAAAAAAGTAGATTATTAGAGCACTACTTCTAAACCATTTTAATACCTGGAAATAGAAGATACTCCATAAATAAATATACTTATTGATTAGAATTGGTTTTCCTCCCCAAACTTAAGTAATTGCCTTGAGAGTCAACGGAGGGTGCCACTCTGCCAGTCAGTGGGGCCCCAGCTGAACATCCAGTGTGTGTCTACAGGGGAAGAAACAGACTCCCCTTCACAGTTCTGTGTAATATACTTAATAGCTTAAGAGTAAAAATTAGCCTGTTTGTCTAGATAATTGCCCTGTTCCCATACAGGGAACAATTTAAAGTTGTTTAAAAATCACTCATATTGTAGCTAAAGTCAGTGAATAAGCCCCCAGCCTCGTACAGACCTTTTCTGCCACCTTAGGAAGTCGTTCAACAGCACCAGTGCATCTCAGTGTCTGTGAATGAACCTGTTGTTAGGCCAGGCAGGGGCACTTTCTACCACTCAGCAGCCCTCATTGTTTCTTCACATAAACACGATGCTGCTTTCCCACCTGCAAATCTGATGATTTCTGCCTTAATCTATATGGATGTGGGATTCATGTATCCCATCACGAGCTGGGTTCCTGTTTAACCTTGTTATCAGTGACATGCTCCAAGCTGTGTTCACCAGAGTCATGATGCCCCAGATAATAGAGGATGTTTCTGAATCTTGCATGGCCGATAAAGAGCAAGGTTGTAATCCATGCTGTAAAGAAAACACAGGGCGATGAGACAGAAACAGTAAGAATAGCGGGAGGAGACTCTTCCAGGAGAGGATGCATCAGACACTGGGGCTCTGAGATGAGTGTGCTCTCCTGATTGAGGACAAAGAGAATGCCCACTTGGCTGGAGGGCAGGGAGCAAGTTTTGCAGAAAGCAGTGTGTTCTAGCAGCACCAGCCTCCTCCACAGCAGATAGTCTCTTCGTTCCTCCACATGAGGCCTTGCATATTTGAAGCTTCATCGGCAAGATAAGATTATCCTGTACAATAAGAGAGAAGTGGATATAGAAGAATGAATATAAAATATGGTAGGTCAGCTGGTGAGTACAGACATAGGGAAGTCTGAGGGGCAGGGATGAAGAGAGTCACCATGGCTGCCCCAGTCTCCTGTGTCAGGCCAGGCAGTCAGTCACAATTTTAGACAGTGAGGGTGATGTACAGGTGGGATGAGAAAAGGATCTTGGCGTTCTGACGACGGCCAAAAATGCAATCAGGAAGGACCTGGGATCACTGACTCATAAGTACAGACAGGCCGGAAATTAGTGTCTCAAAAGCCTGGCAGAGGCAGCAGGACCCAGTTCTCGGCCAGGGTTCAGCTCAGAGCGTCAGGGCCTAGAGAAACCCTGGGCCTCCACCCTGTTGCAGACTGAGGCACTGCCTTGGGGCTCGGATGCAGAGCCAGTAAGACTTAATGAAAAGCAGGCTGGATCTGGTCTCTAAAAAATGGCCGTGGATTTTTGGAAAATGTATGAAAGGAAGGAAGTGAAGACTGTAGAGGAAGTGTTTCCTGTTAATGATGTGGAGAACAAAGTGCTTGGTGAATCCCTGGTGTGCAGCTCACACTGAGCAGTTCTGGTCTGTGAAATGCCACACTCGTGGCAAACCTAGAGCAAGAATCTGAGAAAGCAGTTAAGTGGCAAGTGAGCTTTGTTTTGGGTAAGTATAATAGTTCATTTGGGGAAAATAAATTCTGTGCTATGACAGGGATGGTGAATTCTGGGTGCTTGTTCATGAAACAGAAAAAGGATGGGCTCGTGGATGGATTAAACCTGAGAACCTGCAACGCCACCCTGATTTATCCAAAAGGGCTGTAGAGAACTGCTTGTTTCTTTGAAGATTCAGTCGATGATACAAAATTATACAATATTCTGGAGTTGTGGTTGCAGCTAAAGATACATACAGTATAGCCTGAAAAGGTCCAAAGAAAAGGAGGTAAAACACTCTATCTTTGAGCAGCCTCTCAGCTTCAGCACTGCTGACATTTGGAACCAGATATTTTTGGTTGTGTAGGGCTGTCCTGTGCGTTGTAGGATGCTTAGCAACACCCCTGGTCTCCACCCACGAGACGCCAGGAGCACCCTCTTCCGACAAGTAGTGACAACCAAAAATGTCTGCAGGCATTACCAGATGTCTCCTAGGGAGCAGAATTGCCCCCAGGGGAAAACCACTGACCTAGAGGATAAGTTGACCTGAAAAAGATAAGAAGGGAATGTTGTTGCAATCTTCAAAACCTGTAAAGTGGGGTGGGTTACACACATTTATCCATGGACAATTGTCTCTTGAAGCTTGATGTCAATTTCTTACTGAATCGAAATCTTTCGTAATGAATACATATCTTAAGAATTTGTAAGTCATAACCGTTGAAAATACAAATGTGGTCCAGAAGTGTTTTGAGGGACTCCTGGAAAGTGACTCACTCAACTGCTTTGTGGAAGGATAGCCTTGTCTTTCCACCACACATTCCCAGTGCAGCCGAGAGAGGGAGTTTTGGCTTCGCTAAGAGCAGAGTGCTGTTTCTTCTGTTTTTTGTTTTTCATCATTTATGGACAAAATTCTGTAAAGTATACCTGGTTTTAGGTGGATAAAAATAAAACAAGTTGAAGGTTCCATTCAAATATTGACATCCCCTGAGTTTCTGCTTAATTTCAGAATATAATTTTTAAGGATACTTTGTTTCTGTTTCTCTAACTACTACTACTACTGCCCCTTGTGTTTTTCTGTAACATGTATTTTTTCCTCTCCTTCCAGGAAATATTGGAAATTCTTTTATGATTGATCCTGTCTTGGGCTCTATTAAAACTGCCAAAGAATTAGATCGAAGTAACCAAGCGGAGTATGATTTAATGGTAAAAGCTACAGATAAGGGCAGTCCACCAATGAGTGAAATAACTTCTGTGCGTATCTTTGTCACAATTGCTGACAACGCCTCTCCGAAGTTTACATCAAAAGAATATTCTGTTGAACTTAGTGAAACTGTCAGCATTGGGAGTTTCGTTGGGATGGTTACAGCCCATAGTCAATCATCAGTGGTGTATGAAATAAAAGATGGAAATACAGGTGATGCTTTTGATATTAATCCACATTCTGGAACTATCATCACTCAGAAAGCCCTGGACTTTGAAACTTTGCCCATTTACACATTGATAATACAAGGAACTAACATGGCTGGTTTGTCCACTAATACAACGGTTCTAGTTCACTTGCAGGATGAGAATGACAACGCGCCAGTTTTTATGCAGGCAGAATATACAGGACTCATTAGTGAATCAGCCTCAATTAACAGCGTGGTCCTAACAGACAGGAATGTCCCACTGGTGATTCGAGCAGCTGATGCTGATAAAGACTCAAATGCTTTGCTTGTATATCACATTGTTGAACCATCTGTACACACATATTTTGCTATTGATTCTAGCACTGGTGCTATTCATACAGTACTAAGTCTGGACTATGAAGAAACAAGTATTTTTCACTTTACCGTCCAAGTGCATGACATGGGAACCCCACGTTTATTTGCTGAGTATGCAGCGAATGTAACAGTACATGTAATTGACATTAATGACTGCCCCCCTGTGTTTGCCAAGCCATTATATGAAGCATCTCTTTTGTTACCAACATACAAAGGAGTAAAAGTCATCACAGTAAATGCTACAGATGCTGATTCAAGTGCATTCTCACAGTTGATTTACTCCATCACCGAAGGCAACATCGGGGAGAAGTTTTCTATGGACTACAAGACTGGTGCTCTCACTGTCCAAAACACAACTCAGTTAAGAAGCCGCTACGAGCTAACCGTTAGAGCTTCCGATGGCAGATTTGCCGGCCTTACCTCTGTCAAAATTAATGTGAAAGAAAGCAAAGAAAGTCACCTAAAGTTTACCCAGGATGTCTACTCTGCGGTAGTGAAAGAGAATTCCACCGAGGCCGAAACATTAGCTGTCATTACTGCTATTGGGAATCCAATCAATGAGCCTTTGTTTTATCACATCCTCAACCCAGATCGCAGATTTAAAATAAGCCGCACTTCAGGAGTTCTGTCAACCACTGGCACGCCCTTCGATCGTGAGCAGCAGGAGGCGTTTGATGTGGTTGTAGAAGTGACAGAGGAACATAAGCCTTCTGCAGTGGCCCACGTTGTCGTGAAGGTCATTGTAGAAGACCAAAATGATAATGCGCCGGTGTTTGTCAACCTTCCCTACTACGCCGTTGTTAAAGTGGACACTGAGGTGGGCCATGTCATTCGCTATGTCACTGCTGTAGACAGAGACAGTGGCAGAAACGGGGAAGTGCATTACTACCTCAAGGAACATCATGAACACTTTCAAATTGGACCCTTGGGTGAAATTTCACTGAAAAAGCAATTTGAGCTTGACACCTTAAATAAAGAATATCTTGTTACAGTGGTTGCAAAAGATGGAGGGAACCCGGCCTTTTCAGCGGAAGTTATCGTTCCGATCACTGTCATGAATAAAGCCATGCCTGTGTTTGAAAAACCTTTCTACAGTGCAGAGATTGCAGAGAGCATCCAGGTGCACAGCCCTGTGGTCCACGTGCAGGCTAACAGCCCGGAAGGCCTGAAAGTGTTCTACAGCATCACAGACGGAGACCCTTTCAGCCAGTTCACTATTAACTTCAATACTGGAGTTATCAATGTCATAGCTCCTCTGGACTTTGAGGCCCACCCGGCATATAAGCTGAGCATACGCGCAACTGACTCCTTGACGGGCGCTCATGCTGAAGTATTTGTGGACATCATAGTAGACGACATCAATGATAACCCTCCTGTGTTTGCTCAGCAGTCTTATGCGGTGACCCTGTCTGAGGCATCTGTAATTGGAACGTCTGTTGTTCAAGTTAGAGCCACCGATTCTGATTCAGAACCAAATAGAGGAATCTCATACCAGATGTTTGGGAATCACAGCAAGAGTCATGATCATTTTCATGTAGACAGCAGCACTGGCCTCATCTCACTACTCAGAACCCTGGATTACGAGCAGTCCCGGCAGCACACGATTTTTGTGAGGGCAGTTGATGGTGGTATGCCCACGCTGAGCAGTGATGTGATTGTCACGGTGGACGTTACCGACCTCAATGATAATCCACCACTCTTTGAACAACAGATTTATGAAGCCAGAATTAGCGAGCACGCCCCTCATGGGCATTTCGTGACCTGTGTAAAAGCCTATGATGCAGACAGTTCAGACATAGACAAGTTGCAGTATTCCATTCTGTCTGGCAATGATCATAAACATTTTGTCATTGACAGTGCAACAGGGATTATCACCCTCTCAAACCTGCACCGGCACGCCCTGAAGCCATTTTACAGTCTTAACCTGTCAGTGTCTGATGGAGTTTTTAGAAGTTCCACCCAGGTTCATGTAACTGTAATTGGAGGCAATTTGCACAGTCCTGCTTTCCTTCAGAACGAATATGAAGTGGAACTAGCTGAAAACGCTCCCCTACATACCCTGGTGATGGAGGTGAAAACTACGGATGGGGATTCTGGTATTTATGGTCACGTTACTTACCATATTGTAAATGACTTTGCCAAAGACAGATTTTACATAAATGAGAGAGGACAGATATTTACTTTGGAAAAACTTGATCGAGAAACCCCGGCGGAGAAAGTGATCTCAGTCCGTTTAATGGCTAAGGATGCTGGAGGAAAAGTTGCTTTCTGCACCGTGAATGTCATCCTTACAGATGACAATGACAATGCACCACAATTTCGAGCAACCAAATACGAAGTGAATATCGGGTCCAGTGCTGCTAAAGGGACTTCAGTCGTTAAAGTTCTTGCAAGTGATGCCGATGAGGGCTCCAATGCCGACATCACCTATGCCATTGAAGCAGACTCTGAAAGTGTAAAAGAGAATTTGGAAATTAACAAACTGTCCGGCGTAATCACTACAAAGGAGAGCCTCATTGGCTTGGAAAATGAATTCTTCACTTTCTTTGTTAGAGCTGTGGATAATGGGTCTCCATCAAAAGAATCTGTTGTTCTTGTCTATGTTAAAATCCTTCCACCGGAAATGCAGCTTCCAAAATTTTCAGAACCTTTCTATACCTTTACAGTGTCAGAGGACGTGCCTATTGGAACAGAGATAGATCTCATCCGAGCAGAACATAGTGGGACTGTTCTTTACAGCCTGGTCAAAGGGAATACTCCAGAAAGCAATAGGGATGAGTCCTTTGTGATTGACAGACAGAGCGGGAGACTGAAGTTGGAGAAGAGTCTTGATCATGAGACAACTAAGTGGTATCAGTTTTCCATACTGGCCAGGTGCACTCAAGATGACCATGAGATGGTGGCTTCTGTAGATGTTAGTATCCAAGTGAAAGATGCAAATGACAACAGCCCGGTCTTTGAATCTAGTCCATATGAGGCATTCATTGTTGAAAACCTGCCAGGGGGAAGTAGAGTAATTCAGATCAGGGCATCTGATGCTGACTCAGGAACCAACGGCCAAGTTATGTATAGCCTGGATCAGTCACAAAGTGTGGAAGTCATTGAATCCTTTGCCATTAACATGGAAACAGGCTGGATTACAACTTTAAAGGAACTTGACCATGAAAAGAGAGACAATTACCAGATTAAAGTGGTTGCATCAGATCATGGTGAAAAGATCCAGCTATCCTCCACAGCCATTGTGGATGTTACCGTCACCGATGTCAACGATAGTCCACCACGATTCACGGCCGAGATCTATAAAGGGACTGTGAGTGAGGATGACCCCCAAGGTGGGGTGATTGCCATCTTAAGTACCACGGATGCTGATTCTGAAGAGATCAACAGACAAGTTACATATTTCATAACAGGTAAAAAAAATTCATACCAAACGGTTTAATTAATTTAAAATGATTTTTAGAAGCATAAAGTATAAGATCTGTATTGTATGGAAATTGGGGATTTAAGGGATGATTTTAGTTAAAAATATCTAAAATAATACGTAGAAATAACATCTGTTGAGCCTCATTTCAAGCTTGTTACCTGAGCAAAGCTACCAGTTGTTTCATTAGACTGTTTTTGATTTTTGTGACTCATTCTTTTGAACCTTATACTTAGTGTATAATAAATATAATTAAAAACATCTATAGTTTTAATGCAGGCTAAATGATTAGTAGTCTTAATGCTATGTTTATGCATTTTAATGCTGCCCTTGTTTTTGTAAATTGGAAGGCTAATA
The DNA here is from genome assembly GCF_000001405.40 of Homo sapiens. Classification (NCBI taxonomy): domain Eukaryota; kingdom Metazoa; phylum Chordata; class Mammalia; order Primates; family Hominidae; genus Homo; species Homo sapiens. The sequence continues at coordinate 186,617,339 of NC_000004.12, read as the reverse complement.
TATGCCAAATTAATTCTTTTAATACTCAATTCTTTTAAACTATAACATTATACATCTTTTGTACAGTTTATTTTTTCTGTTACTTATTTTTATCCTTTCAACAAATTTGATTATTATCTTCCTCCATTGATTTAATAGGAGGGGATCCTTTAGGACAGTTTGCCGTTGAAACTATACAGAATGAATGGAAGGTATATGTGAAGAAACCTCTAGACAGGGAAAAAAGGGACAATTACCTTCTTACTATCACGGCAACTGATGGCACCTTCTCATCAAAAGCGATAGTTGAAGTGAAAGTTCTGGATGCAAATGACAACAGTCCAGTTTGTGAAAAGGTAAGCAGCTCTTCCCTTACATTTGTGTGTTATGAATTTCAATTTCTTAATTCTTTCAATGGGACCATCATTTGGCGCTGTGGTGTAATTCACATGTGTTTTATGATCACTTACTGATTAAGCAGAGGTGTTAAATGGGGTAAGACTTGGAAAAGCTTCAGAACTATTTGCGGGAATGCTCAATAAATCAAAAGCCTCATTCTAGAAAACTAAATTACGGACAGGACTCCAGTTGCATCCAACACTGAAAATGCTCTGTAACCTTTTCATGAGGGGATTCTCTTAATATGGGGATACAGCTGTTTTGGGGGAAGGATCTGACGGGAAACAAAGTGCCGACGTGCCGTGAGACACTGTTTTGGGGGCATCTGCTCTTCTGCACGCTGGAGAAGCTCAGAGGTGGACAGCGTGCTTCCTGCATCTGCGCGGCTCACCATTCAGTGGGAACTAAAAGTAGACGTAGGAAGGGCTGCTCCCTCCAAGGTTAGATGAGGGCATGTGGCTCGAGCAGGGGTGGTCCCTGGGGCCAGAGGGTGAGAAGGGCTGCCCAGAGAAAGGGCTGGCTCAGCTTCGGGGGGCAGTAAGTGGGTCGTCAGGAGTGGGTGGGGAGGGGCCATGGAGTGTGAGGAGGGATTGTGGGAGTAGCCACTGAGTTTGCCAGAAGTGGGGAGTCTGCACTGAGAGTCTTGGAAAAGGGTGAACTGGATTACAGTGGGCAGTGGCGGTCGTTCCAAGGGATTTGAACTCGATCCTAGAGAAAATAGGGACTTTGGAGCCTTTTATATCGGTAAGGTAGAGATGACATGAGACGAGTTCTTAAGCTTAGTTTGGAAGCATCGTGCCCATTATTTAGACAGGGAGGAGTGGATGCAAGGGGGCCCTGGAAAGGCAGAGGTGGGGAAGGAGTGAAAGGACCAAAGCCACCACCGAGGAAGACCATCTGGTGTGACAGCCAGCCAGCATGCCATCGAGCCCGACTTTCTACATGAGTAGGGGGAGCGACCAAGGCCGTGGCAAAGAGGAGTCTGAGCCGGGGGCTGGTTTTAGAGGAGTTCCGTGTTGAGTTCCAATTCCAGTTTGCTAAAGTAATGAGACATACAGTTGACCATGTTTTTTAGACATTGAGAGATGGCGAGATGTTGGATGGGTATTAGGGAAAGGTGTGGAAACTTGGCGTTGTCTCTGGATAGCTGAAAATTGACTTCATTTGAGAGGATACTAACAAAAGGGAAAAAGAAGAGAGAGCTATTTCCAAAGGGAGAAGGGAGCTGAGCTGGAAGGAAGAGGAGGACACCAGTGCAGTGCCAACCTGGGTTGGGGAGAAGAGGACTTTGGGGAGGCAGGGTGGCGAGTGGAGCTGGGATGTTTGGGATGCGAAACAGACCATTTGGGTCCCGTGATGCTGTGTAGGTGGCGGTCTTGGTAGCAGGACGTGGATGGATGCCTGATGGCAGATCAGAGAGTGAAGTGATGAAGAAATAGACCTGCCCAGGGAAGAAGGCTGAGAGTGACAGGGAGGAGGAATGTGCTGGGCCAGGAGAAGGCTGGGTAGAGAGGAATGTGATTGTGAAGAGGATGGAGGAGTTGGAACCCACCACAGGTTCTGTGAGTCTGAGATGCTTGTGGCTGTGGAAAGTGATAGGGCTGTTCTCAGGGAAAGACTTAAGATGGAAGAACCCTTATATTCAGTCATGAGGGGAAGGGGAACTTCTGAGGGATGAGGAGTTAATTCCAGTTCTTATTTGTACTTTATATTTTCAGAAGGGGTGCGACATTCTCTCTCTCTTACAGCAACTGTCTTTGGTTGTTTTTTAGCCCTTTGATATTATTTCAGTACAATACTCTATCATCTTCAGGAATAAGACTGGGACACTAGATCCTTTAAATTCATCCTATTATGAAATACCCTTTTTCCTGAGTCCTTTTTCATGGAGTACTTTTCCGTGAGTACTTCACTGGTAGTTGAGTTCAGATTAAGAAAATCAACAGAATCTTAATCTTTTTGTCTTAGGTTTTAATTTATGGCATGGATTTCTAAATAATTGGAACTGGAAACAAGTGTTCACCGTGTTTGAGCATGAGGGCAGATGTGAGGAGAGAGGGCACCAGGATCACGCAGGGCAGTAGAAGGGCCTCAGCCTTCATCAGAGTCCCTTCTGTGGCCTTCGAGAATCTTCGTTTTCTCCCATAACATGAAACTTGCTTCTCTCTCAACTGCAGTTATTTATGTTAGGAACATTTGCAAAAAATAAATTCCTGTATTTGGAAATGAGCAGATATGATACGACAGATATTTATTCTCTGCAGTTTTTAGGTAAATACGGAGCACTACTTACATTTTTGATTAGTACTTACGTTTTCTCATAAGGATTTGAATATGAAATCAGCTTAATAACATATAATAGCATTTTGTAGGTTAAATGTCAGGCCAGGCTCTTTCAGGGATGTGGAGCTGGTGGCTGCTCCACGGCTCCTCCTTGTTTCACATGTGTTTTATGTTTTATGAGAAAAATCGTTTTCAAAGCTCTTGGGATTTTATCTTTAGTCATTTCCCATGTTTTCTGTGGTCAAAGATGAATGATTTCTTTTCCATTATTCCCTTGATGTTTGTGCTGCCTGTTAATGCTTTTATGTAACGTTTTTGTTTAAACTCTTTGCAGACTTTATATTCAGACACTATTCCTGAAGACGTCCTTCCTGGAAAATTGATCATGCAGATCTCTGCTACAGACGCAGACATCCGCTCTAACGCTGAAATTACTTACACGTTATTGGGTTCAGGTGCAGAAAAATTCAAACTAAATCCAGACACAGGTAATGATGGAGTTTGGGACAAAATAAATTGTATATTCCAACAGTATCATATATGTGGGTGATTTTAGATCACACACAAAATTTGAAATTACATTTTGCCCTTTTCAAATGTATTCTGATGCTCCGAAGTTGACATCTCTTAGAAATCTTACCAGCAATTTAGTGCGTAAAATTCAAGGTGAGATTTTTTAAAAAACAGCAAGAATATCACCTAATTGAAAAAAGGATTTAAAATTTAGAAGGCGTTTATACCACTTGTTTAAAAAAAACAACCCTCAGAAATTAAAATATAACTCAAGCTTTCTGCTTTTTATCCATTTTATTTAAATAGCATATTTTCTTGAATTGGTGACCATAAATTTATAACTTAGCATAATTTAGAATTTTCATAAACAAAATGATTTATGGGATTTTATTTATTTTAAAATAGAGTTGTTTTCCTTTTGTATTTTGGTAAAATTGGGATCAACTAAGTTTCCTGTTAAGCCTTTTTATTTTCTTCCTAAAGAACTAATTGTGAACATGTGAATCTAATTTTTGAGTCAATTTAAACATTTTTTAAATTTTGGTAAATTTGGTAGCTGTTTCACCTGTGCAATCTTATACACAAGGTGAGAGGCCCTGGCCTCAGACCTGCAGGACTTAAAGAGCTAGCCCCTGGCAGGGTTGGAGACCTGGAGCTCACTGCCTCTTGCAGCTGTTGAATCTGTCATTGATAATACTGGTCTCAAGAGGAAGGCTGTGAATACTCAGACTAAGTAATTGAAAGACAAAAGGGGAGGAAATAAGATGTACAACTGCAAGTCACGTCTTAAATTACAAGTGAGTCCATTTGTTTTTGTTTGTAGGTGAACTGAAAACGTCAACCCCCCTTGATCGTGAGGAGCAAGCTGTTTATCATCTTCTCGTCAGGGCCACAGATGGAGGAGGAAGATTCTGCCAAGCCAGTATTGTGCTCACGCTAGAAGATGTGAACGATAACGCCCCCGAATTCTCTGCCGATCCTTATGCCATCACCGTGTTTGAAAACACAGAGCCGGGAACGCTGCTGACAAGAGTGCAGGCCACAGATGCCGACGCAGGTATCTCCCGGGAATGCTCTTGCCTGACGCTGCTCACTGAGATCCTAGGAGCCTCTGTTTCAAAACACACCCCAGATTCAGCCTGTGCCACTCACTCCACCTCATGCATGTTCCATAGCCCTTCCTTGTGGAAGGAAATCTTTAGAATAATTAATTAATTTTTAATGAATATTTAAAGTTCCAAAGTTGTGCCCAGTGAACCTACTGCTGTGAGGTCTCTAAAATTCTGGTTACTGAATATTAACTGATCTTCACATCCCATTGAATTAATCAGTGATGTGTTATTTTGTCAATAAACCATTGAGGACAGAGAGAGCTTTTAGCCTCATTGCAACATAATGGAAGCAAATGCTTTATGATAGGTTTACAAACCTTTCAAAATTTTTTTAGAGAAAATTGGACTATAGAATGTATATTTGTAGCATTTGATAGCAGAGAATAACTTCTTCAGTCATACCACAGGTTGAGTATTCCTTATTTATTATAGTTGGAACTAGAAGTATTTTTGGATTTTTGGATATTTTTCAGATTTTGGAATATTTGCATTATGTACTTATCAGTTGAGTATCCCAACTCCAAAAATCTGAAATCCGAAATGCTCCAATGAGCATTTTTTTTTAAAGCATCGGTTCTGCACTCATAAAGTTAATAGATTTTGGAGCATTTCAAATTTCAGATTTTCAGTTTAGGGATACTCATGCTGTGATTCTGAGAAGTTTCAGAAGAATAGCAAAAGTGTTGCTTTTCAGATCTTTGTCACCAAAGCTCAATGATAAACAGATGTGATTTGTAAAGGTTTGTTAGGTACTGTATTATTGGCTCCTATACGAAATAGTCTAAGAAGCCAGATTCCCATGAAATTATATTTACATTTGTTTTAACAGAGTAAGTTGTTTACCTTTTAAAGGTCATAGTCATACAAATTTGCGAATAATGTATATTAGCGTTTACCCTTCTAAAAAAATTTTGTTTGGTTTTTAAAAAAAAAAAAAAAAGCGTTGGCCGGGTGCGGTGGCTCACGCCTGGGATCCTGGCACTTTGGGAGGCCGAGGCGGGTGGATCACGAGGTCAGGAGTTCAAGACCAGCCTGGCCAACATGGAGAAACCCCGTCTCTAATAAAAATACAAAAATTACAGTGTGTCTGTAACCCCAGCCACTCGGGAGGCTGAGGCAGGAGAATTGCTTGAACCTGGGGGACAGAGGTTGCAGTGAGCCAAGATCACGCCACTGCACTCCAGCCTGGGCGACAGAGGGAGACTCCATCTCAAAAAAAAAAAAAAGTGTTAAACTTTTTTATTTAAAATCTTTTGACATGTTTTTATGTCTTCATAGGATTAAATCGGAAGATTTTATACTCACTGATTGACTCTGCTGATGGGCAGTTCTCCATTAACGAATTATCTGGAATTATTCAGTTAGAAAAACCTTTGGACAGAGAACTCCAGGCAGTATACACCCTCTCTTTGAAAGCTGTGGATCAAGGCTTGCCAAGGAGGCTGACTGCCACTGGCACTGTGATTGTATCAGTTCTTGACATAAATGACAACCCCCCTGTGTTTGAGTACCGTGAATATGGTGCCACCGTGTCTGAGGACATTCTTGTTGGAACTGAAGTTCTTCAAGTGTATGCAGCAAGTCGGGATATTGAAGCAAATGCAGAAATCACCTACTCAATAATAAGTGGAAATGAACATGGGAAATTCAGCATAGATTCTAAAACAGGTAACCTACCATGTATCTGAGAGGAAACCCTTCATTCCACCAAGAAAACTAGATTTGCTTAACCACGTTGCCTTGTATTAAGTGACCCTGTGTTGTCAGTAGATGTTCTAAAAAAGGCAAATCAAGTTTTCTTTTAGTTATTTACAGTGGGATTGAATGTTGTTTGGAAGGCTTCAGATTATAGTTCTACTTAATACATTTTGGGCATGTTCATTATAAAATACAAGCAAATTAACTTAAAATAGAAAATCAAAGCAGCATGTTCTATTAGTTTAGTTGAGATGTAAGGTATAGCAAGTTAGTAAAGATAAGAATAGGGGATAGTAGAGGTCCTTATGTAATCAGACTCATGGATGGTAACTTCCCAAGTGAAATAGTAATTCCAGTCTTTTTTATTTTAGTTTCTGTAGTGGGCTTCTGATAATATATTAAGTTGACTTCGTTATCATGCTAGTTGTCTATAACAGTTGGAGTACTTTGAATCACAGTTAGGGAAAGACCGCCAACAAGCTCAAAAGGCATAGGAACTGCTGACTCCTGCTGCGTGAATGCTTCATCATCTTGCTAACCTGTGGCCTAAAATAGTCCTAAGTCTTAAAACAGTGTAGAAAGTTGCTCCATTCAAATTTATATTTATATAAATTATATAAATTTATATTTATATAAATTATATAAATTTATATTTATATAAATTATATAATTTATATTTATATAAATTATATAATTTATATTTATATAAATTATATAAATTATATAATTTATATTTATATAATTTATATAAATTTATATTTATATAATTTATATTTATAATAAAATTATTTTTAGGGCTCTTTAGGACTAGAATGATGTGAAAGATGTTAAAAGGAATTGTTTAAAAAGGGATTTTTAAAAATGAGAGGATGTAAATAAAGGGTTATCTAGAAGTTAAAAGGATATAAATCTCCATTTTAAAAATATGAGAAGGAAAATATTTTAAAAAGATGAGACAAAAAATGAAACCGAAAGACACAATAGAATTTTTACGTTTTTATTTTGTTGATTAAATTAGAGTGAAGTCGAGTGAGCTATGGTATGGAAGGGATGATACAATCATCATGTTTATAATAAGCAGGGATGTAGGTGGTGTTGACTGGAAAAGCAATTTAAATATCATGAAGAATATCATGAAAATTAAGAGAAATAAAGATCCAGGGATGGGCAGATTCATAGTTTTTAATTGTTGAATTAAGAAAATAGGAAACATACGTAAATGGTAAGTAAACTTTTGAAGTGAAAACTAAATGTACTCAAAAGCATTCATCTATTTCAGTCATAGTGGGAAAATGTGGTGGCATTGCAGAATGCTGGAAGTAATTTTGATTTCTATTCAGGGGCCGTATTTATCATTGAGAATCTGGATTATGAGAGCTCTCATGAGTATTACCTAACAGTAGAGGCCACTGATGGAGGCACGCCTTCACTGAGCGACGTTGCCACTGTGAACGTTAATGTAACAGATATCAACGATAATACCCCTGTGTTCAGCCAAGACACCTACACGACAGTCATCAGTGAAGATGCCGTTCTTGAGCAGTCTGTCATCACGGTGTGTATTTTTTCCCCATTACAGTGAAAACTGTGTATCTTCTGGATCTTTGCAAAAGTTTTTAGTAAAATCAATCTAGTTTTTGTAGCGGCCTTTGTAAATATTTTGGAGATTTGAAAGTGTCTTTTGTTAGGCCAACTGATTGCTGACTTTGTTATGAATAATTGTGTTAAAACAGCTAAGCTAACCCTGTCTCTACTAAAAATACAAAAAAAAATTAGCCAGGCGTGGTGGCGGGCGCCTGTAGTCCCAGCTACTCGGGAGGCTGAGACAGGTGAATGGTGTGAACCCAGGAGGCGGAGCTTGCAGTGAGCCGAGATTGTGCCACTGCACTCCAGCCTGAGTGACAGAGCAAGGCTCCATCTCAAAAAAAAAACAACAACAAAAAGAAACAGCTAAGCTATTAATATCACAAATTTTGTGTAATAGGTTTAGGCCTCTTCTTAGCTGTCTCCTAAACAGGAGTGTGGTGTGTTCTAGGTTATGGCCGATGATGCCGATGGACCTTCCAACAGCCACATCCACTACTCAATTATAGATGGCAACCAAGGAAGCTCGTTCACAATTGACCCCGTCAGGGGAGAAGTCAAAGTGACCAAACTTCTCGACCGAGAAACGGTAAGTGAAAAAGGTTGATTTACGTTGTTTACAAATCACCACATCAATAACTAGAAATGCCTTGTGCTCTTGTCTGCTGGGCGTGGTGTGAGCAGGACTGACCGCCTCAAGAACTGACGGCAACATGTAAACACTCGAAAAGCAATGACACTATGAAGATCTCAATGTGAGAAATGTGTTCCATGCTAGGATAAAGTTTGGATAATAAAGCTTTGCATTCAGGAAGGAATTACTGTTGGTTCCAGTGTTCTGAGACACTTCCTAAAGCTAGAAGCTGGGTTTTAAATAATAGCAGAGGTTTGGAAAATCATAGAGGTTGAGAGAAGGGAATTTCCAGCGAGGAATTGCATGGACACAGGCATGCAGATAGAAGCCAAGAAATATATTTAGGGGACTTTACCCAGTTGTATTGGAGTAATCATAAGAAGAAAGCAGAGTGAGATAAAATAGGAAGGTATTTTACACACAGGTTATTGGCCACATAGAAAACCAGGACCAGAGGTTTGGACCTGATGCCTCAGGCACTAGGGTATGAGCATTTGTGAGCTGAGGAAGGTCAGTTGCTCCCCTCTATCTGCAGATTCTGCATTCGTGAAGTCAACTCAACATGGATCGAAAAGTATTAGAAAAGAAAAAATGTCGGGTGTGGTGGCCTCCTCCGATAGTCTCAGCTACATGGGAGGCATAGGTGGGAGAATTCACTGAGCCCAGGAGTTGAAGACCAGCCTGGGCAACATAGTGAGACCCTGCCTCCAGAAAAAGAAAGAAAAACAATAAAAAATAACAATACAACAACAAAAAAAATACAACCCCGACCCGCAGTATAACAACCATTTACATTGCATTGATACTGTATTAGGTACTATAATCTAGAGATGACTTAAAGTGTTTGGGAGGATGTGTATAGGTTATATGCAAATACTACACCATTTTATATCAAGGACTTGAGCACCAGTGGATTTTGGTGTCTATGAATACCAAATGAAGAAACTATTTGCAAAGGAAAAATTAGAATCCACAAAGCTTAGATATGGCTCCGTGTAGAAAGCATTGGTGTCAGAGGCAGCCTGATTTTTTGGTCTTGCTTTGACTGGGTAGTACCATTAAAGAAAAGTTATGAGGTATAAACGTGTAAGGGATGGGAGAGGCTAATGAATGTGGTTTTCAATATGCTGGTTTTTAAAGGGAAATAGCATATTCAGGCAGAATTACTCAGCCAGTATTTGGAGATTTTAGTCAGATTTAGAGACTGGAAAACCCTAAGTGTAGATATGGTACTTGCCGTTGGAGATGTTGATAGAAGTGACATGAGGGATTGAGATAAATATGAACAAATAAGGAGAGGCAGCAAGGCTGAACATCCACCCACCCACTTATCCAGTATCCATCCACCCATTTATCCAGTCATCCATCCATTCATCCATCCAGTTATCCATCCACCCATGCATCTCCCCACTCACCTACCCACCCATTCACCTACCCATCCATCCACCCACCGACCTGTCCACCCACCCATCTATCTAGTTATCTATTCACTCACCCATCTACATATCTATTCACTTACCCATCCATCCACCCCACCCATCCATCTATCCAGTCATGTGTCCATCCACCCACCACCCATCTATCCAGTTATCCATCCATCCACCTACCCACCTGTCCATCTAGTTATCCATCTACCCATCTATGTGGTTACCCATTTGCTCACCCACCCACCCACCCATGTATCCACTTACCCATTCATTCACCCATCTATACAGTTATTCATTCACCCATTTATCCATCCACCTATCTATCCAGTTACCCATCCACCCATCTATGCATCCATCCATTCATCCATCCATTCACTCATCTGTGCAGACTTATGTCCAGGAAGGGAAGCTGAGCAGGAACTACCTCAGAGAGGTAGGCCTGTGAAGGAGAACCAAAAGAAGCCTTCGATTTGGGAATGAGAAGGACACTGGTGATGATTAAGAATGAAATTTCAGAAGAATAATGGGTGTATCTAAGATTAAAGGAATTTGGGGGGAGATAGTGATGAGATACCTCATTAAATTCTTTAATTTCTCCTTTGATGTGTGAATGTTGAGAAGGGACTTTCTAAGGATTTGGGAAGCATGCTTAGGATTGCCCCCACTGTGGGGCAGAATAAATTTAGTATCTTTGACTAAAGAACCCAGATCCTTTAATACACTTCTGTCCATTGTGAGATACCAAAGGAGCTAGCCTGTGGTATTTCCCAAGCTAATGCGCCAGCAGAATTCTTTTTCATTGGAGCGTCTTGCAGGACTAACGTTCTGTAGAACATACTCTGGGATCTAGCCAGCTTTCTGGCTTCTCCCACAACTCATTCTAGAAGACAGAGCTTTATAGGGAACTGCCCTGAAAAAGAAGCTATCTCACTTGACTTTCTTTCTTTTGTGGGAGGTCCTGACAAGCTAATCCTGAGGGATTTAGACAGCTGAGTATAATCCGAGTGTGAAATTGAGGGGGAGGGTGATCTGGAGTGTCCTGAGGCATTGGAAATGAGTCAGCGCTAAGGTGCGGGAGGCAGCTCATGTCTGTCTACTTCCACTGAGAGCAAACTTGGGGCCCTAAGGAAGGCTGCTCCCATCTTACCGAAGCAACAGCATTTGAGATATGTTAACTTCTTGTCCTAATCATTTGTATTACTTTTATGTCTTAGTTTCTGTTAATAGAACTGCAAGATAAAAGACTTTTACAAAACAAGTACATATTTAAGAGGCATCAGAGAATCTAATCATTATTGGTAATTCTTGCTGTTGGGAAATGTGTATTACTTGCATGCACTCGTTTGTAGGAGATTAGGGCATCGCTCACAGGCAGGATGCAACAGATAGTGGTAGCTCACTGGGACCTGCCCGTCAGGACTCTCAGGAGGACACTCCTCATTGGAGCTCTGTCGGCCTTGTGAAAATGAACGTGCATTCTGTCTTTTGCCTGAAAAGATTTCAGGTTACACGCTCACGGTTCAAGCTTCTGATAATGGCAGTCCACCCAGAGTCAACACGACGACCGTGAACATCGATGTGTCCGATGTCAATGACAACGCGCCCGTCTTCTCCAGGGGAAACTACAGTGTCATTATCCAGGTGGGCTTCGAGTGCCAAGGTGGTCCTGGGGTTCTTTGAAATGAGCTTTTCCATTGGCCTCTGTTGCTTTTCTTTCTTATCCAAAGGTTTCTTTCTAGAAAAATGGGAAACGTAGAATTCAAGAAGTCGCTATCAGTATTAAAAGATGAGCATTTTAAAGATAAAGCCAAGCTTTTATCTCTTTCCTTTCCGTGCTTTGATTTTTGAGATATTCTCACTGTTCTAGGATTCCTAAGAGCTTATTGCTTAATCAGACCTGCTGCCACTGGTGCTTTTCCTCTGCCCTCTCCTCCCCCCTTGACCTTCCTCTTCCCTCTTGCTCTTCTTCTAGCCCCCAATCCTTCCTTCTCGCTCCATCTTCTACTCCACTTTCTTCACCCCACTCTTCTTCCTCCCTACTCCTCCTCCCTCCACCTCTTCTCCATTCCATTCCTCCTCCTTCTCTTCCTCCTCCCCACTCTTCCCTCCTCCCCACTCCTCCCTCCCATTCCTCCCCCCTCCCTCCACCTCTTCTCCATTCCTCCTCCTTCTCTTCCTCCTCCCCACTCCCCTCCCCACTCCTCCTCTTCCCTCCACCTCTTCTCCACTCCTCCTCTTCCTCCTCCCCACTCTGCCTCTTCCCCACTCCACCTCCTCCCCCAACCTCCTCCCTACTCCACTTCCTCCCCATTTCACTGTCTCCACTCTTTCTCCTCCTCCCTCCACCTCGTCGCCACTCCTCCTCATCACCCCTCCTCCTCACTACCCCTCCTCCTCCCCCTTCTCACTTTTCCTCCTCTTGTCAACCTCTTCTCTTTCTCCTCCCCACTCCTCCTCTTCCTTCCTCTCTTCCTCTTTTTTTTTTTTTTTTTTTCTGAGATGGAGTTACACTCATTGCCCAGGCTAGAGTGCAATGGCACGATCTCAGCTCACTGCACCCTCCACCTCCTGGCTTCAAACAGTTCTCCTGCCTCAGCCCCAAGTGCTGAGATTACAGGCACCCACCACCACGCCCGGCTAATTTTTGTATTTTTAGTAGAGACGGGGTTTCACCACGTTGGCCAGGCTGGTCTCGAACTCCTGACCTCAGGTGATCCGCCCGCCTCAGCCTCCCAAAGTGCTGGGATGACAGGCGTGAGCCACCGCGCCTGGCCTCGTCTCTTCCTTTTCTCCTCCAGTCCTCTTCTTCTCCTACACTCCTCCTCCTCTCTGCTCTTCCTCCTGTCCCCCACTCCTCCTCGTGTCTGCTTCCCCTCCTCCCTCTTCCTCCTCACACTCCCTTTCTTACCATGTTTCCTTCATCCTCCTTTTTCTTCCCTTTTCGCTACACCCCTTCTCCTTTCCCTCCTCCTCACCACCACACTCCCGTCTCCACCTTTCTTCTCTTCCTTTCAGATAGAGCAGAAAGGCTTTGTTTTGTATGTATTTTATATTATAGAAAACTCATGTGTCTGTCCCATATAGATTTGGCTGTGTTCCAGGATTTTTGTTTAATTTTGTTTCTAATCTTGTGCAGGAAAATAAGCCAGTGGGCTTCAGCGTGCTGCAGCTGGTAGTAACAGATGAGGATTCTTCCCATAACGGTCCACCCTTCTTCTTTACTATTGTAACTGGAAATGATGAGAAGGCTTTTGAAGTTAACCCGCAAGGAGTCCTCCTGACATCATCTGCCATCAAGAGGAAGGAGAAAGATCATTACTTACTGCAGGTGAAGGTATGAATGGCTTTCTTTGTGGTTTGGTTGTGGATTCATAGAGAAGAGCTGCTTGGCGTGGTTCCCCTCTTCTATTTGAACAGCTTACATTTCATACAAAAACAAACTTTCATAGAATTGCTGTCTTTGTTTTTTGCCATACCTTCCATTTTTATCCCGCTGTGTTTGAAGGAGCTCATTGTTGATTCTGTCATAGTCATTGACAGAGCTGGGTTTCAGTGTGAATTAGTGAAGTGCTATAAAGAAATTTGTCCTTTTCTTTGATACGTTTCTTGTGTGGAGAAATGAGTATCTACCAGTTAGTAATTTTTTGGGAACTTGAGTAATACAAATGTTTTTATTGAAGAAGTTATAAACAGTGCCATAGACAAAGGTGATTTTATTTTTCTTTTCTTGTAGGTGGCAGATAATGGAAAGCCTCAGTTGTCATCTTTGACATACATTGACATTAGGGTAATTGAGGAGAGCATCTATCCGCCTGCGATTTTGCCCCTGGAGATTTTCATCACCTCTTCTGGAGAAGAATACTCAGGTGGCGTCATTGGGAAGATCCATGCCACAGACCAGGACGTGTATGATACTCTAACCTACAGTCTCGACCCTCAGATGGACAACCTGTTCTCTGTTTCCAGCACAGGGGGCAAGCTGATAGCACACAAAAAGCTAGACATAGGGCAATACCTTCTCAATGTCAGCGTAACAGATGGGAAGTTCACGACGGTGGCCGACATCACAGTGCATATCAGACAAGTCACACAGGAGATGTTGAACCACACCATCGCGATCCGCTTTGCCAACCTCACTCCGGAAGAATTCGTTGGTGACTACTGGCGCAACTTCCAGCGAGCTTTACGGAACATCCTGGGTGTGAGGAGGAACGACATACAGATTGTTAGTTTGCAGTCCTCTGAACCTCACCCACATCTGGACGTCTTACTTTTTGTAGAGAAACCAGGTAGTGCTCAGATCTCAACAAAACAACTTCTGCACAAGATTAACTCTTCCGTGACTGACATTGAGGAAATCATTGGAGTTAGGATACTGAATGTATTCCAGAAACTCTGCGCGGGACTGGACTGCCCCTGGAAGTTCTGCGATGAAAAGGTGTCTGTGGATGAAAGTGTGATGTCAACACACAGCACAGCCAGACTGAGTTTTGTGACTCCCCGCCACCACAGGGCAGCGGTGTGTCTCTGCAAAGGTACTGCACATGAGTGTATGAAAGTCGGTGTCACAGATGGTTTCAGACGGCCTTTGAAGCCTTTGATGGCTATACATGAAAGGTGATGTTCTTGAAATGTCTGTTAATTATCTTTTCCCTTTCTCCCCTCTTTGAATGAAGAGGGAAGGTGCCCACCTGTCCACCATGGCTGTGAAGATGATCCGTGCCCTGAGGGATCCGAATGTGTGTCTGATCCCTGGGAGGAGAAACACACCTGTGTCTGTCCCAGCGGCAGGTTTGGTCAGTGCCCAGGTGAGAGTTGAATGGTTGGGTATACTTTTATTTTTAAAAATCGGTTTCATTGTTTCTTACCATTTTCTTCTTTATTGGAGTCTAAAAATATTGCAAAGTATGTTTATTGTAAGAAGACAGATGTGGAGATGAATAAAGAATGACAGTAGTAAGTTTTGCTTCCTCTTGTTACAGCACACCCCTTGGTTCATAGTTGGTGTCCCTCCTCCTGTGTCTTCAATGATTATATAGACATACAGCTAACAACGCAGTGCCATTATGTAGCAGTTTAATTTTCCTGGAAATTCAAGAGTGATCATATCTCACACAGTTCTCTCCCTGTTGCCTTTTCCCTCCACTTAGCAGTATGGTAAAGAGCACCTTTCGTATGGTTCCGAGCCAGTACCTTTAAACCTGATTCTTTTTGATAGCTGGATAATATTTTCTAGCATGGCTGTACTTATTCAACATTGTTCTTATGTGTAAAGATTCGAGTTGTTCTCTTTCTTTCAGATAAAGAAATCTTTATACATGTATCTTTACATACTGATGCGTTCATTTCTATACGGTGTATAGATTATAAAACTAGAATTTGCTATCTCAAACATCAATGACATTTTAAATTTTTTTGTATCACTATATTAGTTTTCCAAAAAGTCGTATTAATTTTTATTTCTCCCAGTTATGTATGAAGGTTTCACTCTCCATTCTTTTGACATCATTGAACATTTTCGATTATAAAACAAATTCCCCACCATCTATTTTATGGGTGTGAAGTGATATCTAATTATTATTTTAATTTGCATTTCTCTGGCTACTTTAAAAGTTTTCATCTCATTTGTTCATTTCCTATCAGTATTGCCTCTGCTGTGGCCTCTACCTGTTCATGTTGTTTGATGGTCTGGGTTATTTGTTTCTTAGTATCAATGTGTAGAGTTACTTGTGTATTAGGAGTATTAACATTCACAGTGTTGCAGTTACCTCTGTCTTTATATCATTTATATTGATGTTATCTTTTGATTTGTTAAGTATGCCTCTTGTCATTTTGAAATTCAATTGTTATTTAGTCAGTTCTACATAATTTTATGTAACAGTTGCCATCTGTGGAGATTGATGACATTTGCATCTTCTTTGGGGAATGGGGATTGTTTTATTTTGCTTGAGAAGGTTTCTTAAATCACCTTGAGGCTATGTATAACTATTTTCTGAAATTTTCTTCTAATAATTTTATACTGAACATTTTTATATTTAATCTTTCATTACTTTAGAATTCATTTCTCTGTGATGCAGTCGTCAAATTTATTCTTTCCAAACAGAGAGCCAGTCATGCTGGGCTTTTCATTAAGCAAATAGACGTTTTCCCACAGAATTGGATAGTAAAATGTTATCATCTTAAATAAAACCCTAAATCAGTCTCAAGGGGTGCAGGGGAGTCATACTTTAAAAAATATGCTTAAACTTGGTTCTGGTTTATTTTTTCCTCTGTGTGATTCACAGGGAGTTCATCTATGACACTGACTGGAAACAGCTACGTGAAATACCGTCTGACGGAAAATGAAAACAAATTAGAGATGAAACTGACCATGAGGCTCAGAACATATTCCACGCATGCGGTTGTCATGTATGCTCGAGGAACTGACTATAGCATCTTGGAGGTATGTTTCTCCACAGCGTTGCATCTTAGTGGAAGACTTTCAAACCATAAATTTCATTTTATATTCAGATTGTTAATTTGCACAGATAATAAAGTAAGTGAAATGGTTGAATTCCACATTTAAATAATTCATTGATGCCTGTACAAGTTTTAGACTTTGTGGGATGAAGAGCTCTTTTTGCCCTGCCATGACAGAGATTTAGGTCCATGTGACAGTTAACATTCAAACTCTAGGTGATGCCCCATTTTAATAATGTTGGCTGGGTGTGGTGGCTCACGCCTGTAATCCCAGCACTTTGGGAAGCTGAGGCGGGTGGATCACTTGAGGTCAGGAATTTGAGACCAGCCTGGCCAGCATGGCAAAACCTGCTCTCTACTAAAAATACAAAAAATTAGCCAGACTTGGTGGCGGACGCCTGTAATTCCAGCTACTCAGGAGGCTGAGGCACGAGAATCACTTGAACAGGGGAGGCAGAGGTTGCAGTGAGTTGAGATCACGCCACTGCACTCCAGCCTGGGCGACAAGAGTGAAACTGTCTCAAAAAACAAAAACTGTTACAGTTTATAGAGACATCCTACATGTGTTTCAAGTGTTATGTATCTTGCCCACCTTTTTTAAAAACATTATTCAGTTTTGACTTTTGATATTACCTAATGCTTATGTGTTCAGTTAATAGTTAATTATTCGCTTCCATGATGCTTTGTGGATGTGCATTTTAACTTGATATTCCTAAAAGACGCATTTTAATGATTTATACAGTGGACAAATGAATCTGTGCTCTGTAGTACTTAAATGTAAGGCCTAACTTCTACCCTCACTCCCTAAGCCCTCTCCTGTAGATTTGTGATCAGGTGCTCTCATTGAAGGTTCTATGAGAGTAATGTGAACAGTCATTGCTTTTATCCTAGATTCATCATGGAAGGCTGCAGTACAAGTTTGACTGTGGAAGTGGCCCTGGAATTGTCTCTGTTCAGAGCATTCAGGTCAATGATGGGCAGTGGCACGCAGTGGCCCTGGAAGTGAATGGAAACTATGCTCGCTTGGTTCTAGACCAAGTTCATACTGCATCGGGCACAGCCCCAGGGACTCTGAAAACCCTGAACCTGGATAACTATGTGTTTTTTGGTGGCCACATCCGTCAGCAGGGAACAAGGCATGGAAGAAGTCCTCAAGTTGGTAATGGTTTCAGGGGTTGTATGGACTCCATTTATTTGAATGGGCAGGAGCTCCCTTTAAACAGCAAACCCAGAAGCTATGCACACATCGAAGAGTCGGTGGATGTATCTCCAGGCTGCTTCCTGACGGCCACGGAAGACTGCGCCAGCAACCCTTGCCAGAATGGAGGCGTTTGCAATCCGTCACCTGCTGGAGGTGGGCTCCGTAATGTTGCCATCTTTAAAATGCTGCACGTGTGTACATTTAAGGGGAAGCTCCCCAGGTATTTTTTTATTTTTTTCTCTTTTGATTCAGATAATTTTGTCAGACACTGCAGTCAGTGTTGGAAGCGAGCAGCATCCCTCATACGGGGGCAGAGCTGGGTCTGCTGCCCTTCTGGTGCCCAGGCTGCAGGTACCACGGCTCCCACTGCTGAGCGCCTGCAGTGCCCTCCCAGTGCCCGAGCAGGAGGCACCTCAAGTGACTCAGAACTCTTCTTTAACTCCATAGTCATCGGCCCAGGGGAATTTAGAATTCGTACCGCTTAGCCCTTCTTTGTTATTTGTATCACCTTTTATCTAATGGCTCAGCGTAGGGGGCCTGCTAGATTCTTGCTGGCAATAATAGTTGGGAATATGATTTTCCAGAAGGCCCTGAATCCCTCCTGAAGTGTTGCCATATCTGTCTGTCTTGAAGCCCTGGCGTAGTGGGGTACTTTGTGTCTTTTGCACCCTGGACTCCTGTTAGGCCCACTTACCAATAATAGGGTACAGTTAGGAAAATGACAGTTGTCATACCAAATAGAGCTTGGTATAATGAACAGAGCAAAAATAATACTGTCATTAAGTGGGATTTCCAAAGCTTTGGTTTTCTGCTGTTCTCTCAGGGAGGTATATTTGCATTCTGTGTGCGTAGAGTGGGCCAGGCCATCCCCACAGAAACACTCTCATTTATACTGTGCTCATATTAGTTACACGTCCAAACCAGGTTAGCAAGGAGGCCGTCCTCATTTTGTCACTTAGGGATGAGGCTGAGAGAGGTGCTTTCCTGACATGCACTCCCATGGTCCCGAAGCAGGAGTAAAGGAGTATGGCAGCTGTGCCCTGGCTCCTAAAGGCCCTGGCCCAGGGCACCACAGTTCTTCATCCTGAGAAAAACCCACAGCCACGCCAGCTTTGGAGGGGCGGGGAAGCACTGTGCTGCGGTGTGCCCTCAAGGCAGGCAGTTAGAAGATCTGCCACACCACCTGTCACTTGACAAAGTGGAGTCGACATTCTTCGTACTGCTTTGAACAGATGTGATGATCTCCTTTCTTAAATCTTTACATGTTTGAGAGGCTGAGGCAGGAGGATCACTTGAGGCTAGAAGTGAGGCAGCCTGGGCGTTACAGGGAAACCCCATCTCTACAAAAACTTAAAAAATCAGCCAGGCATGTGGCATGCCTCTAGTTCCAGCTACTCAGGAGGCTGAGGTGGGAGGATCCCTGAGCCCGGGAGTTTGAGGATGCAATGAGCTGAGATTGCGCCACTGCACTCCAGCCTGGGTGGCAGAGCGAGACCCTGTCTCAAAAAATAAAAATATTGAAAGGTAATTTATAGTCTTCAAAGTGCTTTTCACATTCATTATTTTCTCATTTAATCCTTAAATGCTTGTGAATTGCAAATAAATTGAGATGTTAAGTGGTGCTGTCTACGTACATGGTCACTCAGGTAAAGAACTGTATTTTCCTCCTCTATATGTGTGACCTAGTGATCTTAATGCAGATTATGATGAACTAAAGCTAACTGAGTTCTCTCTTCAATTCTGGGTGTTTTGGTTATACCAGCAGTGGAAGGCTTGTTGATGTAGCCAACTTTTTTCCCAGAGAGAGTGAGAATTTTACGAGCTTTTACAGACCTCGGAGAATAAAGATAAAAAGCAATATAATTAAGACCAGGTTTCTGAGTCATTGAGTGATAGGACTTTTTTGTTCCTTTTTGCCGATTTAGGTTATTACTGCAAATGCAGTGCCTTGTACATAGGGACCCACTGTGAGATAAGCGTCAATCCGTGTTCCTCCAAGCCATGCCTCTATGGGGGCACGTGTGTTGTCGACAACGGAGGCTTTGTTTGCCAGTGTAGAGGATTATATACTGGTCAGAGGTATGTGTATTTTTCTTAACTTTCATAATCAATTGTAGTATAAAATTCTTAAACATATAATGGTACATGTAAAAAGTCTGCACGTTAATTTGCTAATGTGTTCTGTTTTGCTTTCTGTTTTGCTGTATTTATTTGCAATAGGATCATGAGGTTTATGTCTGTTTCTCCTTACTCTTCAGGTGTCAGCTTAGTCCATACTGCAAAGATGAACCCTGTAAGAATGGCGGAACATGCTTTGACAGTTTGGATGGCGCCGTTTGTCAGTGTGATTCGGGTTTTAGGGGAGAAAGGTAAATGGTTTCTTTCAAAATTTAGGTTCATACCTTTTCATAGCGTCATATTGACTGGCAGATGCAACAGACCTTCAGTGATTTGAACTACATTATGTCAGATTTTGATAATCCTCATATTGGCCCCTTATATAATTTATAATCTTTTCACTCTTTAAAATGAATTATCAAGCAGATGAATACAGTATATATAATACTTGAAAAAAACTAATGTTTAGCCAATGGGGTTGATGTAATAGTCTGTTGATCCTAGGAAAATGGCCATTAATATTGGCTTGATATGTTTCCTTCCCAAATATACATCAAAAGCATGCGATCACATGATTGGTTTCTCCACAGAAGGTCTTTTCTCGTGGTTGTCGACGTTACATTTTTTAGTTGTCTTTTATCTGGGTTTGATCTTCACATAGCTCATCAAGGAGGGATTAGTCTTCAGTCTCTAAGGATTGAGCCTGACATACGCTGGCGTATGCTACAGAGGTCTCTCCTCATTCCTGACTTCCTTGGCAGGTGTCAGAGTGATATCGACGAGTGCTCTGGAAACCCTTGCCTGCACGGGGCCCTCTGTGAGAACACGCACGGCTCCTATCACTGCAACTGCAGCCACGAGTACAGGGGACGTCACTGCGAGGATGCTGCGCCCAACCAGTATGTGTCCACGCCGTGGAACATTGGGTTGGCGGAAGGAATTGGAATCGTTGTGTTTGTTGCAGGGATATTTTTACTGGTGGTGGTGTTTGTTCTCTGCCGTAAGATGATTAGTCGGAAAAAGAAGCATCAGGCTGAACCTAAAGACAAGCACCTGGGACCCGCTACGGCTTTCTTGCAAAGACCGTATTTTGATTCCAAGCTAAATAAGAACATTTACTCAGACATACCACCCCAGGTGCCTGTCCGGCCTATTTCCTACACCCCGAGTATTCCAAGTGACTCAAGAAACAATCTGGACCGAAATTCCTTCGAAGGATCTGCTATCCCAGAGCATCCCGAATTCAGCACTTTTAACCCCGAGTCTGTGCACGGGCACCGAAAAGCAGTGGCGGTCTGCAGCGTGGCGCCAAACCTGCCTCCCCCACCCCCTTCAAACTCCCCTTCTGACAGCGACTCCATCCAGAAGCCTAGCTGGGACTTTGACTATGACAGTAAGAGCCACTTTTTCATCTCACTAAAGTGTCACTTGAGATAAACAGTGAGGTTACAAATTCTGTCCAGTCAAAATGTGTGTACTCTTCATTAGAGACAAGTATGCTCAGACTGAAATCCGTATGATGATTTGAAACTTTTTTGGATGTCCCGATTGCTGGGTTAGCATTGTGGCTTTGATGTTATTTTAATTAAGAAATTGAATCTAGTCATGTTTAGTTAATATTCTGGAGAGATCATTTCATTTTATAATTGATAAAGGTTCTCATCTATAATTTTTTGAGTTTATTAATATGTCAAAAAAATAATCGGGAGCATTTTCATGCTAGGATTTTTAAAAATATGACCTGGCGAAGTGGAAATATTTATATTAGTGACCTAACATATATTTGATGCTTTTTTCTTTTAAAGCTGTACATACTATTTTAAAACAAAATTTTAGCAGCCTTTACTGTCTAATGATACCCATAGGCATGCTTATGGGCGATTTCTACTCTATGAATAATCTCTAAGATGATGTGGAGGTCTTTCTGTGCAGGGGTTTTTTATTTCTTCGTTTGAGTTTGTAAGGTGTTTCTGTTTTTCTTTCAGTCATTCATTTATTGAGTAAATCTCAGGCCATCGTTGGGTAATGCATGGTGTGTCTCAGGATTCAGCGGTGAACAAAACCGTCTTGGCCCATATACTTACTGTTTGTCATCCTTCCTTTTAGCAAAAGTGGTGGATCTTGATCCCTGTCTTTCCAAGAAGCCTCTAGAGGAAAAGCCTTCCCAGCCATACAGTGCCCGGGAAAGCCTGTCTGAAGTGCAGTCTCTGAGCTCCTTCCAGTCCGAATCGTGCGATGACAATGGTGAGGCAGCAGTGTGCTGCAACACTGCGCTTTGCTTGCTTGTTGTGTTACTGTGTTATCTCACAATGTAGACGCACTATCTACCCTTAAAGCCTCACCATATTTTCATTTTTCTTGGACCACTTTTAAACAATACCATACATACTTGCATGAATGTCTGCTGGGGAAAATAGCCAAACTGTTCTTAATGAATAGGTGTTTGAACTTGTCAGTAATAGAGAAGAACATATTCATTGAAGGATCTGATCGACTAATCTTATATTGGCTTTTTTTCACAACAGTTAATATCACCCCAGTTTTGTGGGTTTGTCAGAAATCTTCCTCGCAACTTTCTTAACCACGCAGCACGCACACAAACACACACTCTCTCTCACACACACACACACACACACCCCCTCTAAGAAGAGATGTGATAGTCTGAAATGTTCGATTTCAGTAGCACCTTGGGTATTACAAGGTTTTATTTGTCTCCTCCCCCAACCCCACTGCGGCCCCAGCTCCCATTTGGATCAGAGCGTACTGCCAGAGCACAGTTTAAGAGATTGCTAGTAAGTTTGATTATATTTCTAATGAAGAAAGTTTAACAGTGGGATCTTTGCCACCAGTTATGTTGATCTGGTTTCCCTATAGGGTAAATTGCATTGATAACTAGCTTTGCCATATTAACACATACCAGTAGAGAAAAACGTCAATATTCAGTAACACAATGTAGTTTTTAGTGGAAATTTTTGAATCTCAGAATTAGTAAGTTTAATGATAATTTTTATTGTATAAACGTAATACGTTTATTATTAAACATATTAATATGTTATACATTTCAAATATTTTATTGGTGGGAAAAGGTAACCCCACTAATAATTATTCAATCCAGAGTAATATAGTCCATAATACATCATATAGTCCATAAATCCATATAGTCATTATCTATTGCAGTCATTTTTCAAACTAAAGATAGCTATAAGTATGTGCTATCATTTCTGATTTCAAGTATATATATATATATATATATATACTTTCAAGTATATATATATATACACACTCTATTCCTAATCAACACAGGTATATTTTGATACCGTATATATGGTATCAAAATATACCTGTGTTGATTAGGAATAGGGTGTATGGACATAGCTTTGCTTGTTAAACCAACAAGATAGAATTATGTCTTTTATCAATTTTAATTCTAAGAAGTTCCTGTTTCCAGTTTATGTAATAATTTATATCTTGGCCCCTAAATGCTCTTTATAAATACATTTCAGAATTTTATCAGCATTTTCTTTCTAGTTCTTGTTGTTGGAACATCAGTCTTCTTAATAATAGTCCCAGGTGGCCGGGCGCAGTGGCTCACGCCTGTAATCCCAGCACTTTGGGAGGTGAAGGCGGGCGGATCACAAGGTTGGGAGATCGAGACCGTCCTGGCAGTGAAACCCCGTCTCTACTAAAAATATAAAAAAAATCAGCCGGGCGTGGTGGTGGGCACCTGTACTCCCAGCTACTGGGGAGGCTGAGGCAGGAGAATGGCCTGAGCCCGGGAGTTGTAGCTTGCAGTGAGCTGAGGTCACGCCACTGCACTCCAGCCTGGGCGACAGAGCGAGACTCTGTCTCAAAAAAAAAAATAGTCCCAAGTGCTTTCAATAAGTTATGGTCAAATTAGTTATGAAAACTAGCTTCCAGATAGTACAATGCAGAGAAAAAACATATATACAGGAGTGTTTTTATTTTACTCATTACCATAATGTAATTATCAGTTGTAAACTGAAAGTCTGCTGAGAGTCTGTTCCTGCGTCGTATTCCCGGTTTTCCAGGGCCATTACAGATTACCACAAACTTTGTGGCCTAAAACAATGTAGACTTGTGTTGCTGTCATTCTGTAGCTTAGAAGCCCAACCCCTGTGTCTCACAGGGCTTAAGTCATGCGATCAGTAGGGCTGCATTGCCTTCTGCAGCTCGAGGGAAGAACCTGTTTTCCTTCCTTTCCTGGTTTTTAGAGGCTGCCCACATTCTTTGGCTCTTGGTTTCTTCCATCTCAGAGACAGCAACACAGTGTTTCATTGACCACCCTTCTGTCAGCAGAGCTCCCCCCAGCCGTAACTGGGAACGCCTCTGTGCAGAAAAGTTACCCTTATGATTACACTGGGCCCACCCAGGTAATCCAGGGAAATCCCTCATCTCAATTTCCTTATCTGAACCGCGTCAACAAAGTCCCTTTTGCCATGTATAGTGACATATTCACAGGCTCCTGGGATTAGGACGTGGACTATTTGAGGGCCAGCCTTCTGCCTACCACATGCGTACATATTTACCTTGGCATAGTTATTTTAAAACAATCTGATACACAAATGAAAAGGGAATTTACACAGGAAACAGACGGACAGAGTCTCCTCCTATACTCGTACATTAGCTCACCAGCGATTAGTCCATCTGCAAACAGACGAGAAATTTGCAGGGAAAGCAATCAGAACAGGGACAAAAACATTCTTGTTTTAGATTGCATATGTTTCTCCTTCAATTTCTTTTTTTTGGGGGACAATGTGTGAGTGATTAAGCAGCCGGAAGAGTGGCGAACCACAGACTGTAGTCTTGGAATGTCGAGTCTTGCCTGTAAGATGTTAAAATAAGAATCGTTTTGGCCTGGCATGATGCATAATTGTAATTGTGAAAAAATTTAAAGCTAAAAGTTTTTTTGTTTAAATTCCAATAAAATATGTTTACGTTATTCCTTTGATTAATAATAACAAATATATAGCTCGATTAAAAAAGTCTCTGAGACACACAGCTAACAGTGAGGAGACCACGCATCATTATGTGGTTGTATTAAAGCACTCATCGGTTGGAATCTGAGGTAGAAATGGTATAATACAAAACTTTATTTCATGCACTGTTTTCTAACTAACTGAAGATGTTCCTAATTGACTGCTTTTGTACCTTTTTGCAAGCTTCCATAGTGACCGTAATGCACCTTGTCAATGCTGTGGTTGACACGGTGAGCACAGAAGGTACAGTTGTAAGTGCTCGTGCTTGTGTCTGTGTCTTGCAGCAGCCGTGTCGTAGAGCTCGGCCGCATTGCTATTGCAATGGTAGGAAAAAACAGTTTGTGGTTTTGAGGGGGTTGAGTCCTTTTATTTTATGCAGGTGTGTATATACGTAATATGAGTGCTTTGCAAAAAATATCTCAATGTATGTTATGTCTTTGTTCCTTTTTACCATTCATAGTGATTTACATGAGATCTGGAGAGCTTATCTGTAGGTGGTGCAATCAAGAAAAAGTTCAGAAGTAATTTTACCTAAAATTTTTTTGAAACAAAAATTCTTCTTCGTATGTACAGGAATAAGACTTGAATAATGTAAAGCTTTCATAATTAACCTGTAACTGACTCTTCACTTTTGGTTTTTCCCTGAGTATGATCAAAGAAAAGGGTGTAGAGCATGGTAAAAGAATATTTTCATATTTGGTTTAGTGAAAATTATTTAATGTGAAGCTTTATCTGCTCAGAGTTGTAAGAAAGGACATTGAGCACCTTCCCCAAATTATTTTAAATTAAAATAGCCCTTTATTAGTGCACTGAAATTCATCACATGGGGAAGACACAGGCTAGTACTTTTCAAACTGTAATGTGAATCAGATCATCTGGAGGGCTGTTAAAAGCCCAATTGCTGGTTCTCAGCACCAGCATTTCTGATCCAACAGGTCTGGGTTGGGACTTTAGAATTTGCATTTTTCACCAGTTCCCAGGTAGCTCTGATGGTGCCGGTCTAGAGATCCCACTCGAGAACTGCTTACAGAGGCCATCGAGTACACAGACGTCATCATAGAGTTCGGGGGATCCTTTATGCTAGGACATGATGCTGTCAAGGTTCAGGAGGAGGGAGGATAGCTCTGGGCCCCATTTGCTATCAGGCAGAAGAGGCTTAGATACTCCAGTGTTCATGGTTATAGTTACTGATGACGCCTACACTTCTTTTCCTAAGAAGTACCATGTTTTCACTGGGCAAATCAGAAACATACCTGTATTTTGTCTAGTGAAGTTTTAGTGTTAAACTGATGACCTTCAGCATTTTAAATATTATTGAAGCTTATAGAAGCAGAATTTCAACAGTTCCTTCATTGCAGTCTCCTTCATTGACAAATATTTTTTGGCATATCCAAGAAGTGCACATGGAATTTAAAGTTGAAAGCTATTACTAGTGCCTACGTAACAAAAGTTGTTGATCTTTTTTTGTTTAAAGGAATTGCTGCTTTTGTTACTAGACTTAAAAATGATTCTGTAGATACATGTTACCTAAATGCCGGCGTATTCATGTTTTAGAGACACCACAGTCTTTTAAAATTACTGAAATTTCTAGAAGTGAACTATCAATCAAATATTTGTCCCAAATTATAACACTGTTGAATGCATAGAAAGCCTTGTTTAAAAAATCACGGATGTGACCGTTTTTCTGCTGTGATGTCTACTTTCACAGTTATTGATAGTTTCTAACAGTGCTTAACCTGCATGATCCTGTTTAATCCTCATAACAACTCTAACGGATTTTCACCCCATTTCAAAGAGAGAACCTGAAGGTTAGCCAGGGCCTGGGCAGGCGTCTCATGGCCCTAACTGATAGTGGGATTTACATGCGTTTGGTTACACTTCCTGCTGGGCTTCTGTGTATAGATGCGGGGCCCTGGCAGGGCAAGTGTAATTACAGACATGGGGTAAGTGTAGCCGTGGTCTCTTTAGGGAATGGCTCACAGTGTCAATATTAAAGCATATTCAAAATACATACAGTTTGGAGAGATCTTCAGCTTGTACATCTGTCTTTAAGTATCTAAGTTTGCCTATGAATTCCTCTGAATTTAATGTCCTTTGAAGTTGCAGTGTGCTATAAAGTGTGTGCATTATGTAGCTGTAGATGTATTTGGATTATCACCTATGTAATCTGATCAGTTTATATTTTATTAGAGCCTGTTTGTTTTGTTTTCATTATTCCTAAGGAAATTCTGTGTTTTCAGGCTGTGATTGTCAGAAACAAGGAAAAGAAAGTAATATTTGAGTTTTCTGGCCAAATTTCTGGTTCCTCATTCCGCAGTCACTTTCCTCCACTTCCATATTCCATTTTATTTGTGGTACATACATTTCTCAGCCATTTGGAATTGTCATAGATACTGGCGTAAGGACATGCTGTATGGCTGATTGGGCCTCTGTAAGCAGTTTTCATTGTTCTGTGTACTTACCTTTATTGCCTTTTCAGCCGACTGTTTTAATTACAAATGTTTTCTTTTTTTTCTACTCTGCCACCAAAAGAATCTTTGGCTGCTCCTGACCTCAGCAAACCAAGAGGTGACTTATGCATGCCAGTTATTCATTGATACTCACTAAAAACAATGGGTCAAGCCTTGCCCCAGTGCTGACTGACTACGCTGGGTCGCCCAGTGTTTGCAGCAGTAACTAAGTACACGGCTGCATGTGTGTGCGCATTGCATTTGAAGCACGGATTGCCTAACCTTCTCCCGCCTCTCCAAGGATTTTTTAAATCCTAAGGAGGAAAAAAAAAAAACTATTCCAAAATTGGAAGTTTTTTTTTAAAATAGTGGTGCTTTATATAGTCTAAAAGGATCACAGTCCTTTTGGAAGTAACACAGATTGATTGTTACAGTGTATCAGAGGCTGTGTTATAATCTTGCAACGCTTGTTCAATTGTATTTTGCTTGAATTGGCATGCTTTGATACATACCTATATTAAGTTAATTTGTTGTCTGAGGGTTAATGAAAAATAGTAATTTTAATATTAAACTTGCTACATTATTATGAAGGAAGCTTATTTTCTAAACTTTAGCATGTTAAAGGTTACTTTTATTACTTTAAAAAGTTGCATTGGCTGGGCCTGATGGCTCACACCTGTAATCCCAGCACTTCGGGAAGCTGAATTGGCAAGATTGTTTGTGGCCAGGAGTTTAAGACCAGCCTGGGCAACATAGTGAGACCCTGTCTCTATAAAAAATAGAAATGCAAAATTTTTTTAAGTTGCATTAATCAGTATTTTTTTAATGAGAAGTAGTGCAGATCAAGTGACACTGGATATTTCACTAATGTCCTGAGACTGGATCAGTACTCTTCTTCCTACAGAGCAGTGGGTTCTACAGAAGAAAAGCCAGAAGGATGGTTAGAATCATTTGTAGAAAAATGTATATAATTTAGATGCTAGCATCCCATTTCTCTTAGGACTCCTTTTGTTTCCTTGAATGTTAGTTGCGTACATAAAACTGTAAGTCCACATTTTAGAACTAGAGCCTAGTTCATAGGGGTCTTTAAACTGGAGTGGGTTGGGGGATGTCTTCAAAGCAAAGACGAGGAATTTCCAGTGGTGAACTTTGAATGAAGGCATAAATGCGGTTGCATCTTTGTGTCTTTGATACACTGAGCTCTCTTTCCATGGCACAAAAGCTTAGGAGAAAACACACTGACATCTGTTTTCTTTTCCACCAAGGGTATCACTGGGATACATCAGATTGGATGCCAAGCGTTCCTCTGCCGGACATACAAGAGTTCCCCAACTATGAGGTGATTGATGAGCAGACACCCCTGTACTCAGCAGATCCAAACGCCATCGATACGGACTATTACCCTGGAGGCTACGACATCGAAAGTGATTTTCCTCCACCCCCAGAAGACTTCCCCGCAGCTGATGAGCTACCACCGTTACCGCCCGAATTCAGCAATCAGTTTGAATCCATCCACCCTCCTAGAGACATGCCTGCCGCGGGTAGCTTGGGTTCTTCATCAAGAAACCGGCAGAGGTTCAACTTGAATCAGTATTTGCCCAATTTTTATCCCCTCGATATGTCTGAACCTCAAACAAAAGGCACTGGTGAGAATAGTACTTGTAGAGAACCCCATGCCCCTTACCCGCCAGGGTATCAAAGACACTTCGAGGCGCCCGCTGTCGAGAGCATGCCCATGTCTGTGTACGCCTCCACCGCCTCCTGCTCTGACGTGTCAGCCTGCTGCGAAGTGGAGTCCGAGGTCATGATGAGTGACTATGAGAGCGGGGACGACGGCCACTTCGAAGAGGTGACGATCCCGCCCCTGGATTCCCAGCAGCACACGGAAGTCTGACTCTCAACTCCCCCCAAAGTGCCTGACTTTAGTGAACCTAGAGGTGATGTGAGTAATCCGCGCTGTTCTTTGCAGCAGTGCTTCCAAGCTTTTTTTGGTGAGCCGAATGGGCATGGCTGCGCTGGATCCTGCGCCTCTGGACGTGCTAGCCATTTCCAGTGTCCCAACTACTGTCATCGTGAGGTTTTCATCGGCTGTGCCATTTCCCAACGTCTTTTGGGATTTACATCTGTCTGTGTTAAAATAATCAAACGAAAAATCAGTCCTGTGTTGTCAGCATGATTCATGTATTTATATAGATTTGATTATTTTAATTTTCCTGTCTCTTTTTTTTGTAAATTTTATGTACAGATTTGATTTTTCATAGTTTTAACTAGATTTCCAAGATATTTTGTGCATTTGTTTCAACTGAATTTTGGTGGTGTCAGTGCCATTATCTAGCACCCTGATTTTTTTTTTTTTACTATAACCAGGGTTTCATTCTGTCTTTTTCCACTGAAGTGTGACATTTTGTTAGTACATTTCAGTGTAGTCATTCATTTCTAGCTGTACATAGGATGAAGGAGAGATCAGATACATGAACATGTCTTACATGGGTTGCTGTATTTAGAATTATAAACATTTTTCATTATTGGAAAGTGTAACGGGGACCTTCTGCATACCTGTTTAGAACCAAAACCACCATGACACAGTTTTTATAGTGTCTGTATATTTGTGATGCAATGGTCTTGTAAAGGTTTTTAATGAAAACTACCATTAGCCAGTCTTTCTTACTGACAATAAATTATTAATAAAATACTTGAGCTTTATGCCTCTTTTTCCTTCCCATTGATACTCCTGTTCAGGATTCAGTGGCTGAGATAGAAGAATGGATGAATGGAAGGGTGGATATTGATGTATTTGCTTTTAGTGGACAAGGCGTAAATGTGAAAATCCTCTCTACCCTGACCAAAAGCCCTGCTGTCCAAGCGGAGCCAGCCACCAGGTGGCAGTATATAGCTACTTGATACGGCTCAAAACTATAGCCACAAAAGTAAAAAGCATAACTTTTTAATATTTTTAAACAAAACCAAGAAAATTTTATACATTTTTAATTAGTATGAATTTATTGGTTGTAATTTTAATGCTTACATGTTTTTCACCTTTGTCAATGTTTTATATCAAAAACAGTCTCTGTGAAGCATTATACCTTTCTGTTGTCAACTTACACAGTACTGTATGATTTAATGTGAGATCCAGAAGCTATTTTTTATATATTTTTATACAGTCAAAATCCATCCCTACTTCCAACACATTTATTGAGTACTTACTATATGCCACTATGATATGAATGACAAACAATTAAGCTTTCTTAGAACTTTGGAGAAACATGTTTTCCCTTTAAGTAAATGCCTTTTTATCAAATAATATAAATACATAGTTTAAAAACATCAAAGAGAGCTAAAATATATATAATAAAACAGCAGTCCCATGCAACCTGCTGTACCCAGTTACAACTCCTTAAGCTGTTTTTCTCATTCTTCCTTTCATATTTTCAAATGTATATATTATTCTTTCTTGAGTCACTAAATTTAGAAATTGCCTGTTGACTCCCTATGATGTTGGAGGAAGACCATGTAACCTAATAGACCTCCACTGATCTTGTTTTCCTACCATTAGTTATAATTTTTGGATTAATCCATATACAGCGTTTCCATTATTTTGATTATGTAAGTATTCACTGCTGTGCCAAGCAGTATATGATGTTTATTTTCATTTACTTAGCAACTTTCTTTTTTTAACAATTGTCTTTTTATTTTACTCATTTTTTAAACTTGTGACTATTCATGTATTCAGAAAACATTTTCCCTCAATAATACTATATTATTTTGCCTGAACAGACAGACAAAAGTCCTCCGTCATCTTGGAATTTACATTTGGTGGGGACAGGTGGTAGGAGGAGATGATCAGGAGATACATGGTAGTGTTTATAGTAGTGAGTGCTGAGGAGAGAGACTGTGATTGAGGAAGGAATGTGTGAGATTGTGATGGGAAGGGACGGGGAAGGGGTTGTGATGGGAAGGGACATTCTGAGAAGACAGGAGGCCTCAGTGGCAAGCGGCATTTGAGTCCAACCTTGAAGTTGATGAGGAAGAATACCACGTGGTTTCTCTGAGAACTGTTCCAGGCAGACAGATTAGCTGCTACTGTAAAGGGAGGAGTGTGAGAACGCCCAAGAAAAACACAAGTGCAGCCTGTCATGTACATGGTCACAGCAGGAAGTCTGTCCGCTCCTTTTTTTCCCTTGGACATTCTCCTCAGGGAACCCCTCGGCTTGGTGGCCCAGACTCCATTTTTTTGTTCTCTTCGGCATCTATAGTTGTTGTTCCGGAATATTCTCCTTACCATGGACTCTGTAATTTTCTCTTGGCCTAACTCTTGTTTTGATAGAGCATATCCTGTTATTGTCTGAGAAAGAGTTGCATGGGAAGTAATTTTTTGTGACTGTGTTTCTGAAAGTGTCTTTATTCTACTCTTGATAGATTGGGTGTAGGTTTCTGGTTTGGAGGTAAATTACATTCAGAATCTTGAAGTCATGGAACCCACTGTCTTCCAGCTTCAAATGTTAACATTGAAAAGTCCAGTGTTGTTCCTAGTCCCAGTTCATTATTCGTGGCCTAATATGACTCTCACAAATCTTTGGGGATATTCTTCTGGGGACATGCTACTTCTCTACAACATTGTGAGATTTCCTGCTGCTGTGTCTTGGCGTGGGCCTTTTCCAGGGATTGCTACTCCGTTTTTAATGAAAATCCACGTTGTGGGGACTGTTCTTGTGTTATTTCTTTGATCATTTCTTCCCTTCTGCTTTCTCAGTTCTTCGTTTAATTCTCAAAGGAGGTGATCTCAGTTCTCTTGTCAAGACTCATAACTATAGGTTGCTTGACTTGCTAAATTCTCTCATTTTTTGATTGAACTCCTATTGTCCATCTTTGTCTTATTCCCCTTCTGGGATTCATTCCACTTTTATCTTCTGTTCCTTCTGTTACCAGTTTTATTTCTGCTGTCATTTTTAATGTTTAAGAGACTGGTCTGGTCCTGACTGTCCCTTTTCTATATTACACAGGCATTTGTTCCTGTTTCGAAGCTCCCTAGTATCTCATTTTTGCTAAATGTATTTTAGAATAAGTCCTTCCATTTTGCCTGGTTTTCCCCTGGACGGCTTTTAAATATTCCTTTCAGGAGGGCTTGCTCCCCTTTCACCTTGCAGGCTTTCCTCTTGCTTGACTTGAGCCTAATGAGGCACCCAAGCTGACAGAAAGCCATGACTGTGCTCCTTAGCTCCTGGACTTCTCTGTGACATTGTGGGCCAGCTTGCTTTGTCCGTTTCTTTGTCTTATCTTTGAAGAGTTTCAGTTTCTCCCGAGGAAGGACCTTCTGTTTCCAGCCTGGGAAATATCATTGCTCTTATTTTGAAATTGGCCAGATAAGGGGACTGGAGATTTGTCATTCCCTTAGTCCTCTAGTTCTGGGTTACGAGAACATTCCTGCTTCTTTCTCTTTGTCTATTTCATCATCGAGGCGGCTCAGGATAGAGCTGAGAATCTGCATTCTAACAGCTTGAACACCGTTCAGACAGCATCCCTGCCACTCACCCCATTCTTCATTACCTTCCATGTGTGACAAAGGGGCCTGTTCCCATGGCCTCCAGGCTCTGCTGCCCGATCCTTGCATCTGCTGTAGCGTGGTTTACAGTTAACAACGCCTCTTAAAAGCATTGAAAATGGAATTGCTTTTTAACTTTTTCCCCCATTTCCTGTTTCAGATTCATTTTCCTTTTTTAAAATAATGTTTTATTTACTTAAACAGTTATTGTTTGATTGATTTTCAGGAGAAGAAGGGGCAGAATGTAGCCCTCCGCCATCTGAACCTGGAAGTCCGGAATGTGCTCACACCACCGGTTTCCAGTGTTTGGAAGAACATTGGGGTATCAGTGTTCTGTTGCTCCACAGCACATGGCCGTACATTTAGTGGCTTAAAATTACCCCCATTTATTACTTCTCATTGCATAGATCAAAACCCCCGGGCATGGCATGGCCAGGTTTTCTGCTCAGCTTCTCACAGGCTGGAATCAAGCTGTCAGCTAGGCTGTGGTTTCATCTGAGGCTGGGGAGCTCACGAGGCTCTTGGTAGAATTCAGTCCCTTGCACTTGTAGAACTGGTCTCATTTTCTTGCTAACTGTACTTGCTAACTGTAGGACAGAGGTTCCCTGTTTCTTGCTGGCTGTCCCCACTTTTTTTTTTTTTTTTTTTTTTTGACATGGAGTCTGGCTCTGTCGCCCAGGCTGGAGTGCAATGGCACAATCTTGGCTCACTGCAACCTCTGCCTCCCAGGTTCAAGCCGTTCTCCTGCCTCAGCCTCCCAAGTACCTGGGATTACAGGCACGCGCCACCGTACCCAGCTAATTTTTGTATTTTTAGTAGAGATGAGGTTTCACCATGTTGCTCAGGCTGGTATTGACCTCCTGACCTCAGATAATCCACCTGCCTCAGCCTCCCAAAGTGCTGGGATTACAGGCGTGAGCCACCGCGCCCAGCCCGTCCCCACTTTCTTGACAGCTTCTCTTGAGTCAGGTCCTAGCTCCTTAGCCCTCTCACATGTAGCTACATCTTCACCTGCTTCCTGATCTCAGGAACGGCCTGATCCCTTTTTAAAGGCTCATGTGATTTGGTCAGGTGCTCACTCAGGACATCAAGTCTCACTTTGAGTAACTAAAAGTCAGCTGGTTAGTAACCTAGCCATGGGAATTCCCATCACATTCACAAGTCCCATTCACCTTCGGGGGGGAATTACACCATGTACCCAAGGACAGGGATGGGTTCTTTGAGGCCATCTTAAACTTCTACCTACCAAAACTGGCACTATTCGTTAGTTCTTGGTTTTATTTATTTATTTTTTTTTTTTGAGACGGAGTTTTGCTCTTGTTGACCAGGCTAGAGTGCAATGGCATGACCTTGGCTCACCACAACCTCTGCCTCCAGGATTCAAGCGATTCTCCTGCCTCAGCGTCCCGAGTAGCTGGGATTACAGGCATGTACTGCCACGCCCGGCTAATTTTGTATTTTTAGTAGAGACAGGGTTTCTCCATATTGGTCAGGCTGGTCTTGAACTCCTGACCTCAGGTGATCCACCTGCTTCGCCCTCCAAAATTGCTGGGATTACAGGCATGAGCCACCATGCCTGGCCAGTTCTTGTTCTTTTTCTAAGGGATAATTCCCTTATTTAGCAGAATCATTTTTAAGAAGTTTAAGGTTTTAAAATGCCTAAACATAAATATTATAAAAGATTTAAATATCTTTAATCCCTTGGGGGAAATGGGGAAATGTTGGTTAAAGGTTACAAACTTTCAATTACAAGAGGAACGAGTTCTGATGTCCCTGGGTTTCACCTGGATTCTATGAGACACGCACACACTAGATTTCAAAACCACTTACTATTTGTCACAATCTTTATTTGGTACCCTTGGAAATTATGGTTCAGCTTAAAGGAAGAGATATACAGAAAAAAGTCTAGTAAGTATTTAAACTTTTAAATTTCTATTTTTCTTAATTCTACCTCTAAAATTTAGGGGGTTTTTTGTTTTTGTTTTTGTCTGTCTGATGCGAAGAATCAATTGAAGTGATTGTGCTTATCACGTTCATTTTTATTCTAGAGTGTGTGGAGCCATCCTACTCAACCTGCTGAAAAGTGAGGTAGACTTTCCCAGTGCCCAGAAACAGCAAATGTTTTTCCAGAAGCTGTATTAGCCTCTGGGGGCCACTTTTTATTGGGGGAGCCCACCCCCAATATTTCAACATAGGTTCTTTCTATTTTCCGTAAGTGTCGGCTGGCTGAGAAATAGAGACAGTACAAAGAGAGGAATGTTACAGCTGGGCCACCGGGGTGACATCACATTTCGGTAGGACCGTGATGCCCGCCTGAGTCTCAGACCAGCAAGTTTTTATTATGGGTTTCAAAAGGGGAGGGGGCGTAAAACAGGGAGTAGGTACAAAGATCACATGCTTCAAAGGGCAAAAAGCAGAACTACTAATAAGGGTCTAACAAAGATCACATGCTCCTGAGGGAACAGGACAAAGGGCAAAAGCAGAACCACTGATGAGGGTCCATGTTCAGCAGTGCCTGTATGTCTTGATAAACATCTTAAACAACAGAAAACAGGGTTCAAGAGCAGAGAACTGGTCTGACCACAAATTTACCAGAGTGTAGTTTTCCCAACCCTAGTAAGCCTGAGGGTACGTCAGGAGACCAGGGCGCATCTCAGTCCTTATCTCAACCGCATAAGACAGACATTCCCAGAGCGGCCATTTATAGACCTCCCTCCAGGAATGCATTCCTTTCCCAGGGTACTAATATTAATATTCCTTGCTAGAAAAAGAATTTAGCGATATCTTCCCTACTTGCACGTCCATTTATAGGCTCTCTGCAAGAAGAAAAATAGGGCTTTTTTTGCCTGACCCCACAGGCAGTCAGACCTTATGGTTATCTTCCCTTGTTCCCTAAAAATCGCTGTTACTCTGTTCTTTTTCAAGGTGCACTGATTTCATATTGTTCAAACACA
Source organism: Homo sapiens (assembly GCF_000001405.40). Lineage (NCBI taxonomy): Eukaryota > Metazoa > Chordata > Mammalia > Primates > Hominidae > Homo > Homo sapiens. Next base: position 186,581,992 of record NC_000004.12, on the reverse strand, counting down.
CGTTTTACAATCAATTTATACAGTTAACACAATTATCACAGTGGTCCTGAGGTGATGTATATCCTCAGCTTATGAAGATAACAGGATTAAGAGATTAAAGTAAAGGCAGGCATAAGAAATTATAAAACTAGTATTTGGGAACTGATAAACGTCCATGAAATCTTCACAATTTATGTTTCTCTGCTGTGGCTCCAGCTGGTCCCTCCGTTCGGGGTCCCTGACTTCCCGCAACAACTTTTAATGCACAGAAGCATTAAAAGTGGATGCTACCTCAGTCTGAATGCACTTTTGCAAAGAAACTAAGCATTAGCCTAGGAAATAAGGGACTCATTCTAAAAAGATAGCGATTGAAGAAGGCTGCACCCACGTACACATTGCTAATGTGGGTGACATGAACTCAAAAGTTTCAGTTTACCTCTTTTAATGAAAGCACTGGAATAAGCTCTTGGAAAGCAGGGCTTTGAGTTGCCAAATGAACTGTCATAGAACTTCACCTACTTTAATGCTGGTATTAATTGATAACTCAAAATCGGGGCTGGGCATGGTGGCTTATGCCTGTAATCCCAGCACTTTGGGAGGCCAAGGTGAAACGATCACTTGTGGCTGGGAGTTCAAGACAGCCTGGGCAATGCAGTGAGACCCCATCTCTAGTAGAACTTTAAAAATTAAATTTTAAAAAATAGCTGTAATCCTCAGACATACAGGAATCAGGGCTAGCTATTATTTTAAAAAAAATAGGGTATCAACAGGGATTAGGAGAAACTGAACATCTGGATTCTTTGATACCTAAGAGTGTAGGGAACTTGGCAAATAAACCAAGCTATGAAATGCCACCTCCCAGGAGCTGCCACAAGCTTACAGGTTAGCTTTAGGATGTTTCAAGTGCAACACCAAGATGCAATCTGAAGTCCTTAGTTTCGAGATGGGGTGGGGAAAAATTAGTCTCACCATCCCCTGCTAAAAAGAGAAGGAAGGATATTGTTGGAACTGAGGTGACAGGAGTGGAGGAGGGTTGGGGGAGGACAGTTGGGGACATGATGGCAGGGCTGCAGGAAGGGAGGTGGCATCCACTCTGCACAGGGCTCAGCCAATGTGAGCAAATGAAAGGCCATTAAAGCTGCATCACAGGAATGCATGGCTGCTTGCTAAAGTCAGTGGCAAGTTAAGCCAAGAATGTTGCAGACAGAGAATGCATTCTCATGTCATCTACTTGGGTGCATTCAGTGGGAAGGCTTGTTGGCATGTTCATTCCTGCATGCATCTAGCAGGTGTTCGCTGAACCTTCACCCTGGGCCACACTCCCTTCCCTGACCTCTCTCTTCCTGGTGTCTTCAAATAATCTGGGGATAAATCTCTTATTAAGCAGAATTGTTTTTTTTTTAAGTTTAGAGTTCTAAAATGTCTAAATATAAGCATTATAAGAGATTTAAATCTCTAATCTGTTGTGGTAATGGGGCAATGTTGGTTAAAGGATAAGATGAGCAGGTTCTAATGTACAGCATAACGATTATAGTTAGTAATAATGCATACTTGACATTTACCGAGAGAGTAAATCATAAGTGTGTTCCCCACGGAAAAAAGGTAATTATGGGAGGGGATGGATATGCTAATTAGACAGATTATGTAATCATTTCACAATGTATATGCATATCAAATCATCACATGGTACACCTTAAATACATACAATTTTCATTTATCCATCATACCTTAATAAAGTTGGGGAAAAATAAGCTCCCCAGAGTTAAACTCCCCAATGACAGGGAAAACCCCAGCTTCCTTCCACTGCTTTGTAGCATTTCTGCTTCCAGGAGATGATACGAAACTACCTCAAAAAGGCACATGGATTTCAGACAGTCCCCTTCATATCTCAGGATTTCATTCCTGGTTCTTCACAGTTTCTTTCTGTTCAAATCACTAGACACCACTGGAACAGGTGCATCTTCTCTTCATTTTGTCAGTCATCTGCACTAGAAGGAAGTCCTTCACGGTGTTGTATATATTTTAATTTTTTAAAAAAGGACATCCGTACTGTATTCCCAACCATGTAAGTTACAGGTATAGAAAGTAGAAATGAAATGATTAGACACATTTTCTTAAGATTTCTGGGATACAAGCAATCCTACATTTTAAAACTGCCATCGAATACATTATCACGTTTTTATTTTTATGTTTTATTTTATATTTAAGTTGAAAAAAGTAAACTATTTTGAAAAAATAGTTATAATCATATCACCCAGGAACACTATTTTGCATGCAATGATCTGATTTTATTTTCTGAGTGCGGTTTACAAAATCCGTATCTTGTATCAAATTTTGTGCCCTGCTTTTCTCACTTTAAAGTATGTGTCCTTTTCAGAAAAATTCCATTTTAAAGAGCTGTATACTATTTCATAGCATGAATTTACTATAACTTATTTACCTATTTTATTTTGCTACTTTGAAGATTTTTTTAATTTTTTCACAACAATGACATCTTTGTATATTCATTTTTGTTCCTCTTCCAGACGGATTTATAGATATGTGGATTATTTGTTTTCAAAGTATTACCTATAAGATAACAAAATTCTAGAACGGCAGCACTGGAACTCTGACAGGATTGTGTTCAGATTTCCTTAACACTGATGTAGTCCTCTGCTGTTACTTCATGCCAATGTTTTCCCCACCTCTTCCATGTCATGGCATACATAGAAAACTTTTTTATGGCATCGTGGATGACATAAAGGCCCTAGGCTGCTCTAAACCAGAGATTTCAGAGTGGTATGCTTACAGTGAGCTCCTCCCAACCGCCCAGCCCGGAGGGCTGGAGCACCAGGCTCTGTGCACAGCAGCTCTGCTATAGACAGCTCTGGATAATCCTGCCTCCCTGTCTCTTCCTGTGAATTTCTTTTTCTTTCTTTCTGAGACGGCATCTCACTCTGTCCCCCATGCTGGAGTGCAATGGCGCTATCTCAGCTCACTGCAACTTCCACCTCTTGGGTTCAAGTGATTCTCTTGCCTCAGACTCCCAAGTAGCTGGGATTACAGGCATGCACCACTACACCCAGCTAATTTTGTATTTTTAGTAGAGACAGGGTTTCACCATGTTGGCCAGGCTGGTCTCGAACTCCTGACCTTAGGTGATCCACCCGCCTCGGCCTCCCAAAGTGCTGTGATTACAGGCGTGAGCCACTGTGCCTGGCCTTTTTTTTTTTTTTTTTTTTTTTTTGAGGCAGAGTCTTGCTCTGTCACCCAGGCTGGAGTGCAGTGGTGCAATCTCAGCTCACTGCGACCTCCGCCTCCGGGGTTCAAGCGATTCTCGTGCCTCAGTCTCCGAGTAGCTGGGATTACAGATGCCTGCCACCACGCCTGGCTAATTTTTATATTTTTAGTAGAAACCGGGTTTCACTATGTTGACCAGGTGGGTCTTGAACTCCTGACCTTGGGTGATTCGCCTGCCTCGGCCTCACAAAGTGTTGAGATTACAGGCGTGAGCCACTGCGCCCAGGCCTGTGAATTTTTTCCATGAAAAACAAAGTCTAAACCAGAATGGAATCGTCTTTGTGAAATTTGCTCTAATATGGATTCAATTTTCAGTGACAGGGGTAAATGTAAGGCTTAGGTTTGCTGTCCATCAGGCCCACTGGAAAACCCTCCCGCCCCCCACGCGCCACCTCCCGTCCTCTTCTGGTTGATGGGCTCCCCTGTCGCCGCAATCCCCACTTTGACTCAAGTCTACTGCATTGGGTCAGTAGCTTTCTGAAGGTCAACGCGGCTGCTCTTTCTCTTTGGCCGACTGGCGTTCCCTATACGTTCTGACAGCTCTTCGTGAAAGGCGTTAGGCTCCATTTCAATTAGTGCACCGGCGGGGGGAGAGCTGTTTGTCAGAATCTAATTTCCTCGCTAGCAGTTTACTGCCTTTACCGCAAACAGAACGAGCCACTTGAATAGAATGGCAAGTATTTTTTTTTCCCCAAGCAAATCTCTGCTCATGTGAACACTTAGGCAATTACTGCACTTGTCACTGTGCCGTTAAAGTGTGGGTGTGTAGGAGCTGCATTTTCCAGTGATGCCAGACTTGAAGAGAAAGAGCGTGTGTGACACATTTGAATGAAAATGTCATCACACCAAGTATATCCTGTAGGGAGCTAACAGTGCAGGTCTCTATAGAAGAGATGTTAAATATGAGCTCAGGCCTGGCTCAGTGGCTCATGCCTGTAATCCCAGCACTTTGGGAGGCCACGGCGGGCGGATCACCTGAGGTCGGGAGTTCAAGACCAGCCTGGCCAACATGGGGAAACCCCGTGTCTACCAAAAATACAAAAATTAGCTGGGCGTGATGACGCATGCCTGAAATCCCAACTACTTGGGAGGCTGAGGCAGGAGAATCACTTGAACCTGGGAGGCAGAGGTTGTAGTGAGCCAAGATAGTGCCTCTACCCTCCAGCCTGGGTTACAGAGTAAGACTCTGTCTCAAAACAAACAAAAAAGATAAATATGAGCTCAGATTCCTAAATTCCAAGCATTATCCAATTATCTCAAGGGATAAAATAAAATTCTCAAAATGTCTAATGACTATCACTTTGCTTCATTTTTTTGTTTGTTTGTTTCTTTGTTTTGAGACAGAGTCTCACTCTGTCACCCAGGCTGGAGTGCAGTGGCATGATCTCGGCTCAGTGCAGCCTCTGCCTCCCGGGTTCAAGCAATTCTCCTGTCTCCTCCCTAGTAGCTGGGACTACAGGCACGCACCGCCATGCCCGGCTAATTTTTTGTATTTTTTTTTTTTTAGTAGAGACAGGGTTTCACCATCTTGGACAGGATGGTCTTGATCTCCTGACCTCGTGATCCACCTGCCTCAGCCTCCCAAAGTGCTGGGATTACAGGCATGAGCCACCATGCCCGGCCACTTTGCTTTGTTTTAATGTTCATGAGCTCTACCTAAGTTTCAGCATAAGGGGAGAATATGGAGAGAGGAACAAGGGCTGGCCCCGGAGGCTGTGTGGGCTCTTCCTGCCTGTCAGCCTTGGAAGCACAGTTCCACGTCTTTGTCAAGTTCGAAATGTTAGCCCACCTGCCAAGTAGGATTACAAACGCATTTTTAAATGATGCTCTTGTTTTGTGATTGGTGTTCTTAAAATTTTAATTTGAAATGAGTATTTTTCTCTTCTTTTGAAAGAAGAGAAAGTATACTTTTTAAAATTATACCTATTTAAGGTATATGTGATGTTTATTTACATATACACACAAACACGTAGAAGTTTACTTCAGTCAAGCAAATGACATGTGCACCGTTTCACATAGTTACCCTTTTTGGTGTGTGTGGTGAAAGTACCTAAATTCTACTCTCTTACTAAATTTCCAGCATACATGATGATTTGGATGTGTGTCCCCACCAAACCTCACATTAAATTGAACACTTCATTGTTGGAGGTGGGGCCCGGTAGGTCATTGGACCGTGGGGGTGGAGTTCTCGTGACTGCTTTAGTACCGTCCGCCCCACACCCCACCCCCGGGTACTGTACAGGGAGTTCTCTCAACATCTGGCTGTTTAAGTGTGTGTAGCACTTCCCCCCTTTCTGTATTCCTCCTGCTCCAGCCGTGTGAGAAGCCTGCTCCCCCTTCCCCTTCCACCATGACTGGAAGCTTCCTGAGGCCTCCCAAGAAGCAGAAGCTGCCATCTTCCTGTACAGCCGGCAGAACCATAAACCTGTTAAACCTCTTTTCTTTATCAATCACCCAGTGCCAGGTTCCTTTAGAGCAATGCAAAAACTGACTGATACACATGACAATATTATTCACTGCAGTCTTAGCATTCTTCACATCTCCAGGCTTATTCATCCTACATAGTGGACACTTTCTACACTTCAATCTCCATCTCCTCAATTCCCGCCACCACCCCCACCCCCCTTATTTTGCTTATTTTGCAAAATGTCCTCAGGTTAATTATAAATTATATTATAAATCACAGAATCTCCTTTTGTATAGCTGAAAAAAATATTCTAATGTGTACACATACCACAGTTTCTTTGTCCATTCATCCATCAATGGCCCCACGGGTTGTTTACATATCTTGGCTCTTAGGAATCCTGCTGTGATAAACAGGGGTACCGATATTTTCATGAGGTGGTGATGTCATTTTGCAAAGAGGGATTGCTGGGTCGGGGCCACATACTGTTTTCCTTAATGGCCGCACCAATCTACAGTCTCACCAGCAGCGAACCAGGGTTCCCCTTTCTACACACCCTCACCGACATTTGTGATCTCCTCTTTTTTATCATAGCCATTCTAACAAGGGCTCATGTGGTTGTAATTTGCATTTCCTTCATGATTAGAGGTGTTGAGTACCTTTATCATATACCCGTTGGCTGTTTTTATTTCTTCTTTGGAGAAATGTCTATTTAGGTTCTTTGCCTTTTTTTTTTTTTTTTGAGATGGAGTCTCGCTGTTGTCGGCAGGGGCTGGAGTGCAGTGGTGCGATCTCGGCTCACTGCAACCCCCACCTCCCGGGTTCCAGCAATTCTCCCACCTCAGCCTCCTGAGTAGCTGAGATTACAGGCACCCACCACCTCACCTGGCTAATTTTTGTATTTTTAGTAGACACAGGGTTTCACCATTTTGGCCAGGCTGGGCTCGAACTCCTGACCTCATGTGATCCACCCCCACCACCTTGGCCTCCCATAGTGCTGGGATTACAGGTGTGAGGCACCGCACCCGGCCCTTTGCCCATTTTTAATTGGGTTATTTGGTATTTTGCTACTGAATTGTATGAGTTCCTTATATTTTCCAGATATTAACCCCTTATCCAATATGTGGTTTGCAAATATTTCCTCCCAATCTGTTTGCTGGGTTTTCATTTTGTTGGTTATTTTCTTTGCTGTGCAGAAGCTTTTCAGTTTGATGTAGCCCTACTTACTTAAATATTTTCTCTTTTATTGCCTGTGCTTTTGGTGAGATATCCAAAAAATCCTTGCCAAGTTCAATCTCAAGAAGCTTTCTAGCTATGTTTTCTTCCAGGAGTTTCATGATTTCAGGTCTTACATTTAGGTCCTTAATCCATTTTGAGTTGATTTCGTATATGGTGTAAGATAAGGATGCATTTTCATTCTTTTGCATGTGGATATCCAGTTTTGCCAATACCATTTACTGAAGAGACTATCTTTTTTCCATTGTGTCTTCTTGATTGCTTAAGTATACTTTAAAATAGATACTTTAAATTAGTCTGCACAAAAGAAAATGTTATTCATAAGCCTTATTAAAAACAAATTGTTCTAATTAAATAAACAATGATCAAGATGCAGAAACTTCTCCAACTAAAAGCTCTTATTGGATAGAAATGGTTTTTAATAATAATTTCTTAAAAATGCTGAGTTTTAACTTCTAGTGGGGAATTTCACAAAATTTAAAAATACACAGAGGTCCTTGAAAACAGGTCATACATACCATGTGCTTGGAGCTGTTACCGCTCACACTGAACGCAGGGCGGGCTCTGTGCTTTTTACCAAAATATCAGCGAACTCTGCTGAGTCTGTGCACAGGCTCTGTTCAGTAAGCTTTAGCTGCAGTTCATCCTTGGGCTCTGGTGGCTGAGCCCACGCCAAGTCCCTCTGCTGCACCTGGTGGGGTTCCAGTTTCACCGCTGAGTGACTGTGACCACACCTATGGCTGGGTAGCTGCACAGTCTCTGGGTTTGATTTATTTAATGGATCAAAGTTCAGTCCATTCTCTCTGTTGGTCAGAGTTTTGCATTTTAAAACCATGTACCCTTAGGGTGCACTTTCAAACTCCCAGGCCTTTGGGCACCAGGGGCAGGCAGGGACGGCCGGCTTCAGAGCACACACCTAAGTTCAAAATTGTTGAACTCTGCAGTCTTTTTTTTTTTTTTTTTTGAGACAGAGTCTCGCTCTGTCTTCAGGCTGGAGTGCAGTGGCGCGATCTCGGCTCAGTGTGACCTCCACCTCCCGGGTTCAAGCAATTCTCCTGCCTCAGCCTCCTGAGTAGCTGGGACTACAGACATGCACCACCACGCCCGGCTAATTTTTTTTTTTTTTTTTTTTTTTTTTTAGTAGAGACGGGGTTTCACCATGTTGATCAGGATGGTCTCGATCATCTGGACCTCATGATCCACCCGCCTTGGCCACCCAAAGTGCTGGGATTCCAGGCGTGAGCCACTGCACCCGGCCCACAGTGATTTCTTAGCTGGAGGATGTTGAACCAACTGCTTACCTTCTACTTAACTTAGTTTCCGCAGCTGAAAAGAATATGACTGACACCTCACAGGAGTTTTGTGAGGAATCAATACTAACAATCTCATTGAGAGCTGTTCTCTCTCTCGCTGTTTTTTGTTTGTTTTTTGTTTTTTTGTTTTTTTGTTTTGTTTTGTTTTTTGAGACAGAGTCTCGCTGTGTCGCCCAGGCTGAAGTGCAATGGTGGGATCTTGGCTCACTGCAACCTCCACCTCCTGGGTTCAAGCAATTCTCCTGCCTCAGCCTCCCAAGTAGCTGGAATTACAGGCACCCACCACCACTACCACGCCGGGCTAATTTTTTGTATTTCTTTCCTTTCTTTCTTTTTTTTTTTAAAAAAAAGAGAGACGGGGTCTCACTCTGTGGAGCAGGCTGGAGTGCAGTGGTGCGATCACGGCTCACTGCAGCCTCAAACTCCAGGCCTCAAGCAATCCTCTCACCTCAGCCTCCCAAAGAGTAGCTGGGACTACAGGCATGCACCACCATGCCCAGCTAATTTTTTAAAGTTTTTTTGTAGAGACAGAGGTCTCGCTCTCTTCCCGAGGCTGGTCTCAAACTCCTGCCCTGAAGTGATCCTCCCACCTATGCTTTCCAAAGTGAGCATACTTTGGGAATACAGGCGTGAGCCACTGTGCCTGGCCCTAAGAGAAGTGTTCTTATTGAATGCTCATTACATACTAAGCATTCTACAATTACTAACTTCATCCATCCAGCAACCCTCCTCAATATCCCCATTTCCCAGATCAGGAAATCGAGGCACAGAGAGGATAAGACTTTTTTGAAGGTCACACCAGAGGTCAGTGTTGACACTGAAACTCAAAGCCCTGGCTCTGGCCTCAAAGCCTGTCCCCTCGGGCCTCCTCCCCGGACAGTCCCTTGTGGAGTGAGCCAAAGGGCACCAAGGTAGAGCCCCTCACGCCGGGACTTTTGGCACAAAGTAGATGGGCAATAAATGTTTTATTGTTTTGTTACTGTTTTCCCCCAACCCATCCCAATCTTCAAACATGCATTTCAATAGTTAAATAGTATTAAAGTGCGTCCTAAGAACATTTAGTTTTGTAAGTGCCCTTTGAGAACACGCTGCACGTCAGCATTTTCTAAATGGCTAGTTTAGGTCATTTGAGGAATCATTCGCTAGTCCGGAGGAGCCCTGGCGTCGAATGCTTGTTATTTTCACCCATTCGGTGCGTCCAACACTGGAGACTAGACAGGGTGTGGGGTGTGATGAAGGCTCAGGGTGCTGTTCACAAATGACTGTTCGCAAGTGACTCTTGCTGTTCATTGATTCAAATATTCTTTCTGAGTATGTGCTGTGAAGCATTCTGTTTGCCGTTAGTGAAGGAGGAACCAGGTCGTCCCTGCTCCTTTTTTTTTTTTTTGAGTCGGAGTCTCGCTCTGTTGCCGAGGCTGGGGTGCAGTGGCACGATCTCAGCTCATTGCAAACCCCTGCCTCCCGGGTGCAAGCAATTCTCTGCCTCAGCCTCCTGAGTAGCTGGGATTACAGGCATCCACCACCACGCCTGGCTAATTTTTTTTTTTTCTGTATTTTTAGTAGAGACGGGGCTTCACCATCTTGGCCAAGCTGGTCTTGAACTCCTGACCTCATGATCCACCTGCCTCAGCCTCCCAAAGTGCTGGGATTACAGGCCTGAGCCACCACACCTGGCCTGTCCCTGCTCTTTATGAGGACTAAGATAAAGATGTACAGGGTCAAACTCACCGCTTCCTAGGATAACAGTGAAAAAGAGGCTGGGCATGACCAACTCCATTTTGCTCCTCACCCGCCCTGCCCCGCCCCGCCCCACAGTGATACCATTTAGGTTAACTGCTTTTGCTGATCCCTGCACATAGGCCAAGCTCACTATGGGAGAAACTGAGTGTACAGTTTAACTTTAAGGCAAGGATGATAGCAGTCCCTTCCCCTAACTAACCCACGCAGAGATAAGGAGGGCCACACAAGTAGCAATGTTATGTTAAGGGTTTACAGGTGCACTGTGGCCTGACCAGGGACAAAGAGGCTTCACAACCGCCTTGGACCCTTGCTAGTGTCCAGATGTCTGTGGTCATCGGTCACCTCTTGACCTCAACTCCCTCCCTCTTCTCCCTTGCCCTAACATAAAAGGAGCCTGAAAATTTGCATTCCCTCCAGATGGTTCTTTAGGACACTAATCTGTCGACTTCTTGGTTTGCTGGCTCTTCCAAATAAAGTTGCCTTCTGTGCCCCAGTACCTTGCCTTCCAACTTATTGGCTGTCACGCAGACAGCAGTGCCACAGCCTGGACTTGACTCCCCTAGCCCATGCCCTCATTTTCTCACCAGCTTCATTTCACAGAATAAAAATCTCTCTCCCTGCCTGGCGTGGTGGCTCACGCCTGTAATCCCAGCACTTTGGGAGGCCGAGGCGGGTGGATCACAAGGTGAGGAGATTGAGACCATCCTGACTGACACGGTGAAACCCCGTCTCTACTAAAAATACAAAAAATTAGCTGGGCATGGTGGCACGGGCCTGTAGTCCAGCTACTTGAGAAGCTGAGGCAGGAGAATCACTTGAACCCAGGAGGTGGAGGTTGCAGTGAGCCAAGATCGTGCCACTATGCTCCAGCCTGGGTGACAGAGCCAGACTCCGTCTCAAAACAAAACAAAACAACAACAACCACAACAAATCGCACTCTCCTCTTGGCTCAAAGCACTGGTGCTGCTGAGGCTCACACACTCTTCCTCCCTCTGCGTCTTGTCTCTTCCATTCATTCTTTCATTCACCCAGTTCAGTTTACTTGGTGGGTTGCATTGATAAGGTATTAGTTTAGTCTGTGCCCTTTGTTATGCCCTGTGCACATAAAAGTGAACAAAACTTGCTTAGTAGCAGTCATGGCCTTTAACTGAGAAAGAATCGTTTGCTATGGTCAGGGAGTTATGTGCTGTGAAGCAACAGGTTTAATAAAAACTGAACTGTGGTGTTTATGGCTTTTTTCTCCCAACTCTTAAAAAGCCCTCACATACGTAAGTGCTGAAGTAACAGTTGCATGTCTGGAGTAGCAGAGAGTCAATCAAAACCGGAAAGTTTTCCTAATCACTTACGAATTTCCTATATGTTAACTCGAAATGAAAGCAGCATGATGCTCATTCAGCCCTGCATTGCTGCAGAACCTCAGGCGGGACAGTAATTGGGGGCAACAGGAATATTTGTAAGTAATTTGCAGTTCCAGATAGAGTAACAGACACAACGTCTGCTCTCATGGATTGCTGATGCTCTCATGCCTTCACAGAAAGGAAATATGAACATAGAGCGAAACCACTCCTCCTTCAGTCAACATGTATAATAGAGGCGAGGTTGATGGGCTTGGAATGTTAACGCGTCGTGGGAGAGGCGGACAGGGAAGTGATTTTCCGTGGGAACTCTGCCGGTAGCGCTGTGCAGGCATCTGTAGCTTGTGCTGAATTTGCATGTGCCGAGCTCCAGATAATGAGTCTCCTTCCCCAGCGCAGACACACACATCGCGATTCAGTTGCTTCTCTGTGTGGGAAACCCCCTAATCCACACACTCGCACTTCCTGGGTCACTAACGTTCAGACGGACTGAAATTTCCCAGAAGTGCCCAGTTTATACCTGATGTGAAATCGCTCACAGAAGGCGGCTTGGGGCCCTAATACAAGCTGTGGACCGACGTCCCTCACTAGGGGTTGAAGATGAGGTCTGAGCCTCTGGGGTTGAACTCGCGGCTCACAAAGTTACTCTGAGGAGGACGCAGCTGCTCTAACCTTTGACAAGTCTCTGCTGCTTTGGCGCAGGGAAATCCCTGATGGCTCTGGGCTGGGGGGGTTCGCTTGTGTGCTGTGTGCACTGCACTTTATCATTTGAGACAGTGAGCAACCCTCACATTTGATTGTGGCACCTTCTCCCTAGATTACAGAAAAAAAAAAGTGTCTTGATGTATTTAACTCTTGTGTTCAGTAATGTCTTTGAGGAGCAGCAAATCCATTTGTAAAGAAATTAATGAGCCCATTTTCCACCTCTACTTGAAAAACAGATCCCTATCTACTGGTGACAGTGACAGATGAGCTCCTTCTCCTGCTGGGACCAGCTTATTCCTTTCCCTGCACTTAAAAAAAAAATTTTTTTTTTGTAAAGGTGGGGTCTTGCTATGTTGCCCAGAGTGGTCTTAAACTCGGGCTCAAGCAATCCTCCCACCTCAGCCTCCTGAGTAGCTAGGAGGACCACCACACCCAGCTAATTTTTAAATTTTTTGTAGAGACAAGGGCCTTGCGATGTTGCTCAGGGTGGTCTCAAACTCCGAGGCTCAAGTGATCCTCCTACCTTGGCCTTCCAAAGTATTGGGTTTACAAGCATGAGTCATCGTGCCCAACCTCCCTGCACCTTTGATGATGGCATACTTCTCTGTTTGAAATAGCACCCACATCCATTTTTTTCTGCCTATCCAAAACTTTATATATTCTTACAATTTAGGAAAAACTTTCCTCAATTTTTTTTTCAGTTTTAAGTACCTATCCAGTTCATCTTTGCTATCAGAAATATGATTATAATACAAACTTTGAAACTTGATCATAAGTTGACTGGCATTCTTTTCTATGTGCTCAAATTGCCTCCCCGAAATCACCAAAAGGCATAAATAGACCCTGCGGTGCCTTCAACTGCCACTATTCTTCAGTGGTGAGTAGGTGAGACTTTGAATCAGAAGGCCAGTCCTAGGACCTTCTCACCAAACCAGCCCTAACTTGCCAATTCCTATTCCAGGCAGTCTGTTTTTACACAAGAATTATGGACACCTGTATTTCATAACCACCATCATAGTGCACATAGTAGGCATGGTACCGAGCTGCTTTGGGCCTGTATTTTTACGTATGTCAATGGGAAAACTTGAATTATTTCTAAGTCACTTTTTTCTGCAGGCAGTGTTTTACTTGGGTTAGTATGAAATGAAACCTTATGAATAACATTAACTATTATTAAAAGATTATTTGTTTTATGGTATATTTAGGTCTTGAAATTAGGGTACATGTATATTTAGTGAAAATATATGTACTTTAAATAAAATTGAAATTCTCATGTTGTTTTATGTCTTCCAGAGGACTTAATGTAGTTCTCTCTTTATAGCAGGCAAGGAAATAAAATCCATGTTAGCTCACTTTGTAATGGAACAAAAAAATTCTTTGGGCCGGGCGTGGTGGCTCATGCCTGTAATCCCAGCACTTTAGGAGGCCAAGGCAGGTGGATCACCTGAGGTCAGGGAGTTCGAGACCAGCCTGGCCAACATGGTGAAACCCTGTCTCTCCTAAAAATACAAAAATTTGTCAGGCGTGGTGGCACGTGCCTGTAATTCCAGCTACTCAGGAGTCTGAGGCACGAGAATGGCTTGAACCTGGGAGGCAGAGGTTGCAGTGAGCTGAGATCACGCCACTCCACTTCAACCTGGGCGACAGAGCAAGACTGTGTCTCAAAAAAATACAAAAAACAAACAACAAAAAAATTCTTTGAGTGAAAAATGTATGTTCTCCTTCCTGCTATTGACTGGAGAAATAAACATGCGGAAAGTGTCTCCAGACTTGAGAGTGACAAACACATTAAAAATCCATGTGCCTGTCAAATAGCATCTTTTTCTGATAAATTAGAAGTTTCCAAATATGATGAAAGACATAATTTCATGAATATTTTGTTATTTTATAGCCACCAGCCAATAATGGATTCATGTATTCTCTCATTTTATTCAACAAGTACTTGTTGGCCACGCATGGTGGCTCACGCCTGTAATCCCAGCATTTTGGGAGGCCAAGGCAGGAGGACTGTTAGAGCCCAGGAGTTTGAAATCAGCCTGGGCAACATAGGTAGACCCATCGCTACATAAAATTTAAAAATTAGTCAGGCTTGCTTGTGTTCGGCTGTGGTCCCAGCTACTTGAGAGGCTGAGGTGAGAGGATCTCTTGAGCCCAAGAGATTGAAGCTGCAGTGAGCCATGATTGCACCACTGCCCTCAAACCTGGGCAACAGAGAGAGACCCTGACTCAAAAACACAAAAGAACAAAACCAAATAATTGTTGGTGTAGGCTGTATGCCAGCTACCGTGTTAAGCACAGGGGATGCAACCGACTACAAGCCCCGACCCCTGCCTAATTGCTGCAGGATTCCAACAAGAAAACAGAGGTATGGTATGGCACGTGGTGAGTGCTAGGATAAAGGACATATAGAGAACTGCAGGGGCACAAAGGAGGAAAACGTAACCAAGACTTGGAAGATGACCTCACACATCAGTTATCCCAGGGGGTAACTGGGGATGGGAAGGGTGTTTCCGGCAGAAGGAACACATATGGGGAAGCTGGGAGGAAGGAGGGAATATGAGGTTTGAAGAACTGGAGAATGTTCACAGTGTTGGAGGGTAGAGCAGGTTCCCTGGGGGAGGGAGAGGATGGGCGGGAGGGATGAGGGTGGCAAGGCTGGGTTATGGAAGGCCTCGGAAAACCTGTGGAATTCGGCTAGAATCCCACCCAGGAGTGATGGGCGTGCATTGACGAGTTTTATGCATGCATGTGGCTGTGCATTTATCTATTTATTTTTATATAAGGGAATATTGTAGTTAGATTTATAATTTTAGAAAAGATTCTTGGCTTTTGAATATATTGAAGGGGAGGAAGATGGGAGCCGGAGGGATTGATTAGGAGGCTGTGATACGAATTTCTGCAAAACATGATGGTGGCCCCAACTTGGTTAGGAGCCCTACGGATGAAGATGAAGCAATGGATTTGAAGCTATTTAAGAGCTAGAATAAACAGATTTGTTCTATTTGGTACAAGAGGTAGAGAAGATTGCAAGACCTAACTTTCACACTAAGCATACCTCTGCAAACTCACACACACGCACAGACACACATGCAAATGCACACATGCACAGACACACACACACAGACACACACGCACAGACACACACGCATCCACCCAAGGAGCTCCTTGTGTAATTTAGAAAATGTTGCCTACACCTCCACTCACATCCCTTCCTATCTTCCCGAGTGATCATTCATGGTGTGATATCAAGGAATTTGCTAACGGCAATTTTTTATCTTCCAAATAAATGCACAAACTAATTAGCATTCTACAGGTTAAATGATAGATCCTCGCTTAGAGTTAAAAAGAAAAAGTGGTTGTAGACCTGAATCACATAAAGTTTGAATTTTAGCAACTGCTGCTTAGCGTGATGCTCTAATTGCAGAGCGAGGGGAGGAATAATGCTGTGTCATTGCGTAGTGAAATTGCCAACCCAAATCCTAAACAGGAAAGTCAATATTTTAGAGGAATGCCAGCCGGCTAATTTAGCTTCTTCGTATATTTTTAAAATAAATGTTATTGTGAATAAGGTATACAGCATGAGGTTATGACATTCATATACACAGTAAAATGGTTACGATAGTGAAGCAAATTAACAGATCCATTATCTCCCACTGGTACCCACGTTTTGTGCATGGCAAGAGCAGCTAGAATCACTCGGCAGAAATCCTGCGTATGACTCAGCATTGTTAACTGTAGTCCTCCTGTTGTACATTAGACCTCTAGGCTTGCTCATCCTATATACCTGCCACTTTTTCATTCATCCCACAAATCTGATTCTTTGACCTACATCTCCCATTTCCTCCTCCTACCCTGCCCCCGGCAACCACTGTTTTATTCCCTATCTCTGTATATTTGACTTTTTTTTTTTTAAGATTCCATATATGAGATCATATAATATTTTTCTATCTGTGCTTGGCTTATTCACTTAGGATGAATCCTCCAGGTTCATCCACATTGTGGCAAATGGCAGGATCTCCTCCTTCTTTAAGGCTGAATAGCATTCATACCTCTATCAACATCTATGTCACAGTTTCTTCACCCATTTGTCTGTTGGTCACACTTATTTTGCTTCCCTATCTTGGTTGTTGGGAATAATACAGTGATAAACATGAGTGTGCAGATATCTTTAGGAGTTGGTGATTTTATTTCCTTTGGGTATAGACCCAGAAGAGGGATTGCTGGGTCACGGAGTAGTTCTATGTTTAATTTCTTTAGAAACCTCCACATCGTTTTCCATGATGGCTGGACCAGTCTATATTCCCACCAATGGTGTACAAGGGTTTTCTTTTCTCCACACTCTCACCGGCACTTGTTAACTCTTATGTTTTTGATGACAGCCATCCTAATGGCTGTGAGGTGGTATGGATAACTTAATAGCTTCATATATTATTAATTTTACACTTTGGGACACACACTCTCTAAATGAACGTCAGGAATGTACTAATAAAATGAGTAGATTATGGCCGGGCACGGTGGCTCACACCTGTAATCCCAGCACTTTGGGAGGCTGAGGTGAGCAGATCACTTGAGCCCCGGAGTTTGAGCCTAGCCCGGGCAAGATGGCAAAGCCCTATCTCTGCAAAAAAATACACAAATTAGCTGGGGATGGTGATGCATATGTGTACCCTCAGGTACTTGGGAGGCTGAGGCAGGAGGATCACTTGAGCCCAGGAGGTTGAGGCTGCAGTGAGCTGTGATTACACGACCACACTTCAGCCTGAGTGACAGAGCAAGACCCTGTCTCAAAAATAGAAAAGAAAAGAAAAAAAAAAAGTAGACCGGGCACAGTGGCGTACGCCTGTAATCCTAGCACTTTGGGAGGCAGAGGTGGGCGGATCGCCTGAGGTCAGGAGTTCAAGACCAGCCTGGCCAACATGGTGAAACCCCATCTCTACTAAAAATACGAAAATTAGCCAGGCATGGTGGTGGGCGCCTGTAATCTCAGCTACTCAGGAGGCTGAGGCAGGAGAATCGCTTGAACCCAGGAGGCGGAGGTTGCTGTGAGCTGAGATCGCACCACTGCATTCCAGCCTGGGTGATGAGAAACTCCGTCTCAATAAAAAAGAAAAGAAAAGTAAAAATAAATTAATAGATTTACTATCAATATTTAGAGATAGAGAAACTATATAAAGATAGCAACAAGAGACAGTATGACCTTCACACCTTCGAAGTTTATGATTAAAAGCAGGTACTTACAGCTACTTGCGAGGCTGAGGCAGGAGAATCGCTTGAGCCTGGGAGTCCGAGGCTGCAGTGAGCTGTGATCCCACCACTGCACTCCAGCCTAGGCGATAGAGTGAGACCCTGTCTCTAAAAAAATAAAAAAATTAAAAGTACTTAAACAGTAGGGTAGTGAGATTTTAGTAAGTTAGCAAATATTTACGATTATAGAGTTTTATAATAAGTTTTTAAAATGTTAATCCTGTCTCTAGCAAAAGCTGGATTTTATAGACTGCAAATTCTCATCCTATAACATTGTCGGAAGTACTGGGGTGAGGAATGCACACCTGCACGCACAAGAAAGTAAGAACATTTTGGCCGGGCGCGGTGGCTCACGCCTGTAATCCCAGCACTTTGGGAGGCTGAGATGGGTGGATCACAAGGTCAGGAGATCGAGACCATCCTGGCTAACACGGTGAAACCCCGTCTCTACTAAAAATGCAAAAAATTTAGCCGGGCGTGGTGGCGGGCACCTGCAGTCCCAGCTACTCGGGAGGCTGAGGCAGGAGAATGGCGTGAACCCGGGAGGCGGAGCTTGCAGAGAGCCGAGATCGCGCCACTGCACTCCAGCCTGGGCGGCAGAGCGAGACTCCGCCTCAAAAAAAAAAATAAAATAAAAAGAACATTTTCCAGGAGCCTAAAACAAAGAATAAATTGAAATACGAGAGCTGAGCCTGTGATAAGCCTGAGGAGCTTGTCCCTCAAAGGAAGCAAGGGACCTGAGTTTTAGTGCCCGTGTGCAACTAGGGGGTGAGTCAGTCCACGGTGATGCAGACAGCTGGAACCAAGTCCTCGCCCTCTGCCGCGTTCCCAAGGCCAGCATCCTCAAATAGCCACACACAGTGAAAAAATGGACCTGGTGAGGGGGGCTTGGTTAGTGGGGGAAATCTGCCTAGCCAAGGAAATTTGCTTGTTTCAGTTTTGAACGGAGGTAAATAAAAAACTCAGAAACGTCTTCTCTGAATTTCTGAGTGGCAAGAGTTCCACATTTATTTTATTTGCATGCTGAGGAACCTTCAACCCAAGACATTTACATAAAAATAATCCCTGCTAGGTGATAGTATGGAGTGTTTTGTAGAAGCAGCACATAAATAAAAGACAAAATGTACACTTAGAGGCTTGTGAAACAATAGGACACTAAAGAATAAGAAAAAAAATCTTGCAAGTAACAAGAGGGAAAACCGGATCACCTTTGAAGCCATGACAATCAGACTGTCAGCTGATTTTCCATAGAGCAATAGAATCCCTGAGGGAGTAATCCAATAATATTCTGTAAGTGCTGAGAAAATAGTAACTGTCAACTCAGAATTCTTTTTTTTTTTTTTTTGAGATGGAGTCTCGTTCTGTTGCTCAGGCTGGGGCACAGTGGGAAGGTCTTGGTTTACTGCAAACTCCGCCTCCAGGGTTCAAGCAATTCTCCTGCCTCAGCCTCCCCAGTACCTGGGATTACAGGCCCCCACCATCACGCCCAGCTAATTTTTGTATTTTTAGTAGAGACGGGGTTTCACCATGTTGGCCAGGCTGGTCTCGAACTCCTGACCTCAAGTAATCTGCCCGCCTCAGCCTCCCAAAGTGCTGGTATTACAGGCATGAGCCGCCACACCGAGCAATTTAGAATTCTATACTCAGCTAAGCTGTCATTCAAAAACATGGGTGAAATCAATATGTATTCATTCACATAGAAATTTTTTAAAGAGTTTATTATCAATAGATGCACTGTGATGATACTTTAGGTAAAAGGAAAAGTGAAATGTACAGAAAAACAATGAATTAAGAAGAAAAACATGAAGGATGAGGAGGAGGGAAACACAATAAAGGGATCAATAAAAAGCCCAAAATTAGATGTTAGAAATAAGTTTCAGTACCTTAGTAGTCACAAAAAATGTAAAGGAGCTAAAGTCTCTAGTTAAAAGATATTCAGATAAAGTAGAGATAAAGAAGCTGTATGCTATTTACATGAAACTCACCCAAAACATTAGAGACAGACATTTGGGAATAAAAAGTAGGAAGGAGAGATAATCAGACAAATATAAAGCAAAAGGAAGAGGCCGGGCGTGGTGGTTCATGCCTGTAATCCCAGCACTTTGGGAGGCCGAGGTGGGCAGATCACCTGAGGTCAGGGGTTCGAGACCAGCCTGGCTAACATGGTGAAACCCACTCTCTACTAAAAATACAAAAATTAGCCAGGCGTGGTGGCAGGAGCTTGTAATCCCAGCTACTCAGAAGGCTGGGGCAGGAGAATCCTTGAACCCAAGAGGCGGAGGTTGCAGTGAGCTGAGATGGCGCCACTGTACTCCAGCTTGGGCAACAAGAGCAAAACTCTGTCTCAAAAAAAAAAAAAAAAAAAAAAAGAGGAAGACTGATGCAGCTACATTTATGCCTCTGACAAAATAGACTGTAAGACAAAAAGTCTTATTACAAATAAAGAGGGATGCTACAAAATGATATGTTTAAAATCACCGGAAGACATAATAATTCTAAATTTATTTTTACTCCATAACATTGTCTTATGTGAAACAAACACCAAAAGAATTACAAGAAAATTAAGAATCTACATTCAAAATTGACATTTTAACTCATTATTTTGAACATGTCAAATTAATTTATGTGTTATGCAATATCAATCAAAATTCCAAATGGGGGTTTTATGAAACTTGACAGGCTGAATTTAAAAAGAAGTTATTTGGAAGTGCAAAGAACCAAGGATAATAGGTATTACACATCAGGCCAAGGGGATAGGAAACCTGGGCTGAAGCATAAACAGGGTTGTTCCAGGTTAGCCAACCATTACCAACTCCCTGGGAAGCAGAACATTTTGGTGAAATAATTAACTCATGCTCTTATAGATTCCTTACAGTGACAAAATGATCTCTAATTAATTACAGATAATAATGTACTTCCTAGATCATGTTCCTCGGGGATGTTAAATATGATCTCTTGTCTTACAGTTTTGGCTGCAAATTTAAAAACCAAGAAAAATCCAACAGACTCTCCATTATTTTTACCCCCTAAAGCAAATTTTAAAGGCCACTTCTGTATGACCTCTTAACACTCGTTCTGCCAGCATCAGCCCCTCAGCCACACTGTGGGCACAAACATGGAGAGGGAGGGAGAGAGAGAGAGAGAGATTGCATCCTGCACAGTTGGACATGCGGCATTTTCATTATCGTTCCATGATTACTATCATTATCATTTCAATAACAGAATATTATCAAGATATTTTCTAATATCTGTTGCATTTATTCTCTGACACAACAATTATTTAGAAGTGTGTTGTTTAATTTCCAAATGGTTTGGATTTTTCTGGTTATCACATCTTTATTATTTCTAATTTAATTCCATGTAGTCAGAGACTATATTCTCTATTATAATTTCTTTCTTTTCTTTTCTTTTCTTTTCTTTTTTCTTCAGACAGGGTCTCACTCTGTCACCCAGGCTGGAGTGCAGTGGTGCAATCCTAGCTCACACAGCCTCAACCTCCTGGGCTCAAGCAATCCTCCCTCAACCTCCTGAGTACCCAGGACTACAGGTGCAAAACACACTGCCTGGCTAATTTTTAAATTTTTTTTGTAGAGACGGGGATGGGTCTCCCTATGTTGCCCAGGCTAATCTTGAACCCCTGGGCTCAAGCAATCCTCCCACCTTGGCCTCTCAAGGTGTTGGAATTACAGATATGATCCACCGTGTCTAGCCTGATTTCTATTGAAAATTTTTTATTTTTATTTTTTGTAGAGACAGGGTCTCACTATGTCATGTTGCCCAGGCTGCTCTTAAACTCCTAGCCTCAAGCAATCCTCTAACATTGGCCTCCCAAAGTACTGGGCTTATGGGCATGAACCAACATATCTGGCCCATTTAAAAATTTTTATTGAGGCATTTTTTTTTTATAGCCCGGCATATGTTTCTTCCTGGTAAATATTCCATGTACAATTGAAAAGTCACGCTTGTTGATAGCATTGCTCAGATCTTCTATGTCTACTGACTTTTTGTCTAGTTTTCTATCATTGCTAGGGCAGGGATGTTATAATTTCCATTTATGATTGTGAAATTGTCTATTTCTACCTTATATTCTGGCCATCTTTGCTTTATGTATTTGAAAGCTATGTTGTTGAGTACATACAATTTTTAAAATTATTGTTGTTTCCTGTTGAATTGACCCTTTCATCGTTATGATGTGTCTCTCTTTATCTCTGGTAATACATTTTGATTTAAAATCTATTTTACATCAAGATCCATTTTAAATCTGATACTGATATAGCCACTCTGGCCTTTTTGTGCTTACTGTTTGCTTTATGTGTCTTTCATATGGTTGGCTTTTGTGTCGCTGCCCAAATTTCATGTCGAATTGTAATCCCCAGTGTTGGAGGTGGTCTTGGAGGGAGGTCATTGGATCATGGAGGTGGATTTCTCCCTTTGGTTTTGTTATTGTGATAGAGTTGTCACAAGATCTGGTTGTTTATAAGTGTGTAGCACCTCCCTCCTCTCTCTCTTCCTCTTGCTCTGGCCATGTAAGATATTCCTGCTTCCTTTCGCTTTCCACCCTGATTGTAAGTCTCCCAAGACTTACCTAGAAGTCGAGCAGAAGCAGCCATGCCTCCTGTACAGCCTGTGAAACCGTGAGCCAATTCAACCTCTTTTCCTTATAAATTACTCGGTCTTGGGTATTTCATCCACCATGGGATTACACAACGAGAAGGCTTTCACAAGGTGCAGCCCCTTGATCTTGGATTGCCCAGCCTCCAGAGCTGTAAGAAATACATTCCTTTTCTTTGTAAATTACCCAGTCTGTGGTCTTCTGTTATAGCAACACAATGAGGGGTAAGACCAATGGCAAAAGGGACTTTCAGATATAATTAAGGCTATGGACTTTCAGATAGAAAAATTAGCCTGGGTTGTCTAGTTGGGCCCAGTCTAAATCCACATGCCCTTAAAATAGAGAACTTTCTCCAGCTAACAGCAGAGGAGATAAAGCAGAAGATAAAGTTAGAGAAATTTGAAGTGTGAGTGGGACTCTGCCCACCATTGTTGGCTTCAAAGATGAGAGAAGGGACCATGAGTCAAGGAATGCAGCCAACCTCTAGAAGCTGAGAATGACCTCAACCTTACAACCATATGAAACTGGATTCTGCCAGCAACTTGAATGAGCTCAGAAGTGGATTTACCCTGAGAACCTCCAGAAAGAAACAGCTCTACTTCTTTGTGGTTTTATCCTCATAAGACCCTAAGCAGAGGGCTCAGCTGAGCCACTTTGTACCTGGACTTCTGGTCTGTTTAACTGTGACATAATACATGGATGTTGTTTTAAGTCTCCAAATTAATTTAATTAAGGTAATTTGTTATGACAGTAATAGAAAATTAGCACAGTTTCTGATGAGAAATCAGCTGTTAGTTGGATTAATTGCTAACCAGTACGTAATATGTAACTTGACTTTAATTGCTTTTTATCTTTGGCTTTTAGCAGTTTGACTATGCTGTGCCTTAGTATGCTTGTTTTTGTTTATTCTGCTTAGTATTCATTTTGCATGTACAAATTTACGTCTTTCCTAAAATTCAGGAAAATTTCAATCATGATGTCTTCTAATATTTTTTCTGCACCATTTTATTTCTACAGCTAGTATTCTAATTAATATAATCTATAAGAATTGTAAGCTTTGTTCATTTTAAAATATATCTTTTCTCTGTGTTGGACAATTTCTGTTGGTTTATCTTTAAGTATACTTACTCTGTCATGTCCATTTGGCTAGTAAGTCCATTGAGTAAAGAATTAATTTCAGAAATTGTATTTTTCAGTTCTAGAATTTCCCCTTCGTTCTTTTTTACTGTTTTTATTTCTTTCATGGGAGTTCCTATTTCTTTGCTGAGATTGTTAGTTACAACATTTTGCTCATTTAGGGACTGGATTTGATTGATCTTATTGTATCTTAAAGAATGTGTTTAGATAGATGATAGATAGATAGGTAGATAGATAGATAGATAGATAGATAGATAGATAGATAGATAGATAGACAGACAATGTTTTCATACGTTAAATAATTTTGAATGTACCATGGACATACGAATCTTACACTGTGGGTATTCTAGATGCTATTATTTTTCTCTGTTGAGTTTTCTTTGTCTCAGTAGGCAGTGTTCTTGGCTAGGCTGGAACTGGAACTGTTTTCTTGTGTGGCAGCTCCAGCCTCAGTTCAGGCCTTTTGCTCCAGTTGCTTCCTTTGGGTCTATTCCTCACGTGCTGGGTTCAGGGATGCTGGCAGTCAGAGTCTGGGCATTCCCTCTCTGGGTCTTTGTTTTCCAGGATTTCACCATCATTTTCAGTGCTCGTGGTTTCCCAGCTTCACCTTTCTCATTCCCCAGGGAAGAAAGATCATGAATGTTGTTATGTGCACCCCAGCATTATGTATGCCACCCCTTTTGGGGGAGAGTTAGCCATCTATGCCTTTGTATTTCATCTGTTGATTTCACAAATTTGTGTATCAAAACCCCAAGTATAGGAGTTTTACCTGTGACAAACAATGCAGGGAGAAATAACGGTGTGTCCTGACACATGTGGACACTGTTCAATTGTTTTCTATTAGTAAAACGACTAGCACCATGTATGCAGTTTGAAGACGTCCATATCTGGTGCACAGGAATGCTTTTTCTCCACGTGTTTCAAACCACACTTGGCACTACCAATATAATGTTTTCTAAAGTGATCGCTGGAATGGAAGCTTTCTCTTTTTTTTAACTTTTTTGCTAAAAGAGGTTACACATACATTTTTAGTTTTTGTCTAATTATGACCTTTAAATATATTTCTATTTTTTTTCCTTAGCTCTTTATATAATTGTCTTAGTCTGTTTTCCATCACTATTACAGAATACAGCAATACCTGGGACTGGATAATTTTTTTTTTTTTTTTCTGAAGCAGAGTCTCTCTCTGTCTCCCAGGCTGGAGTGGTAATTTTTTAAAACCCACTCTCACTGTAACTAATCCAGTCCCAGGAGAGCAAGAACTGACTCATGCCTGCAGAATTAACCCAGTCAGACAGAGTGGTATAACCCTCTTGACCTGATCGCCTCTTGAAGGCCCCGCCTTCCCCTGGGGACCAAATTTTCCACACACAAATTCTGGGGACATGCTGAAACCATAACAATAATGAAGACCATTAATGCTTCGTCTCTTAGCTATGTCACAAATCATTTCCCCAGTTTCTCTAGCTTTCACTTGTGTGTGGTATTTTTTGAATATAGGACTTTTAACTTTTCCGTAGTCAAATCTATCACGACCGAGAAACACTATCACTTAGTAATGAGGCTCCTTGCTTGGCAGTCAGAGAGACCTGAGTTCCAATCCTGCCTCTACTTGTTACCAGCTGTGTGACTTTGGTACATTGCTTAACCTCTCAGCACCAGAGGTTTCTCGTCCATAAAATGGTCGCAGCAGTGCCAGACCTTCTGGAATTGTTAACACATTGTGCAAACAATGGTTGTAAGATACCGATGCCAGAGATGGGAAGTGACACACGCTGTCCATGGCAGCTGCTACCTTTTCTATGGTTAGGATTATTTCCTGTCTGTCTTTTTTCCAGGCTTACAGAGTGCTTCTCTACCTCAAGTGATATGTATATTTACCTACATTTTCTTTAAATGCATTTTTGTTTTCGTGATCTATCCCAGCCCTACTGATTTGAACTGTTCACTTTATAAAATCTTTATTTTATATGCTTTTTCAAATTGTTTATGAGCTCAATACTGTTTTAGTTTTTTTTTTTTTTTTGAAACGGAGTCTCATTCTTTTTGGCCCAGGCTGGAGCGCAGTGGCGTGATCTCAGCTCACTACAATCTCTGCCTCCCGGGTTCAAGCGATTCTCCTGCCTCAGGCTCCTGAGATTACAGGCGCCCACCACAATACTTGGCTAATTTTTGTGTTTTTAGTAGAGACGAGGTTTCACCATGTTGGCCAGGCCAGCCTCAAACTCCTGACCTCAGGTGATCCACCTGCCTCAGCCTTCCAAAGTGCTGGGGTTACAGGTGTGAGCAGCCGTGCCTGGCATACTTATTGTAATTTTTTTTTTTTTTTTTTTGAGACAGAGTCTTGCTCTGTCTGCCAGACTGGAGTGCAGTGGCACGATCTCGGCTCACTGCAATCTCCGCCTCCCGGGCTCAAGCAATTCTCCTGCCTCAGCCTCCCGAATAGCTGGGATTATAGGCCTGTGCCACCACGCCCGGCTAATTTTTGTATTTTTAGTAGAGACGGGGTTTCACCATGTTGGCTAGGCTGGTCTTGAACTCCTGACCTCAGGTAATCCGCCCACCTCGGCCTCCCAAAGTGCTGGGATTGCAGGCGTGAGCCACCGTGCCTGTAATCCCAGGCGCCACTTAATTGTAATTTTTAATGAACATTTTGATACTGGTAGGTCATACTTCTCTCCTATTCATCTTATTCAAATCCTTTTCCTACACTTTCTTTTTACTCTTTCAAAGAAACTTTAGGTTATTTGATATTTTTCTTGGTCTGGCATAAAGTATATGAGGAAAATGAAAATTTCAGGCTTCGAAGCTAGGAACACTGTTTGTCTCTCCGTTTATTTAAATTTCCTTTCATGGTTTTCATAAAGTTTTTTCCTCACTGCACACAACTGGTTAGGCCATTTCCTAGCACTTTTACATTGCTGCCATGTATCCGATCCACCTAAGTGTGCTTTCTTTCTCATTTTTACTGGTACTTACAGAAGTACATACATTTTTATCATCTGCAAATATTGAGTTTTACTTTTTTCTTTGAAAATGTCATTTCATTATCGGAAACATCTAGCACCATCTTAAGCGGTGCAATACACAACGGAAGACAGTCCTTGGTTTTTTCACATTTTACTAATTATGAGGCTAACAGGTGAGATAGTATCTTATTCCCATTTTGCAGATAAGGAAGATAAGGGCGGTGGGGCACACAGCTGGTGAACTCGCCCCAATCCCATTTCGCATTTGATCCCAGGCAGCCTGGCCCTGCTGGGTGAAAAGTCCCATCCCAGAGAGGAAACACAATGAACGGCCTCGCCGTGCGCCCACGAGGAGAGGCCTCTGGGACACCGTCCCCAGGGCGCGGCGGCTGGGCCCGGCTTCCCGCACCGGGGCGCTGTCGGCCCGTGGTGCGGGGTTCGAGCTGCGGGCGGGGAATCCAAGCGGGCTCGCGGCGGACACCAGGTGTCACCTGGCCGTGGCGTCCGGCGCGGCGTGGGCGTCCGGGGGCGCGGCGTGGAGGAGCGCGCGGGATGGGGCGTGGGCGCGGGGAGCGCCGGGCGGAGCCTTAACAAGTGGTCGGGCGGGCGGACGAGGCGGGCGATGGCCCCGCGGCCGGGACGCGCACAGGGACCATGCAGGGCAACGGCAGCGCGCTGCCCAACGCCTCCCAGCCCGTGCTCCGCGGGGACGGCGCGCGGCCCTCGTGGCTGGCGTCCGCCCTGGCCTGCGTCCTCATCTTCACCATCGTGGTGGACATCCTGGGCAACCTCCTGGTCATCCTGTCGGTGTATCGGAACAAGAAGCTCAGGAACGCAGGTAGGGCCCGCGCCGCCTCCCCTGGGCCAGCGCTCCGGACGCAGCGCCTCTCCGCGGGCAGCCAGCCTTCCCCAAGCACTTGGTTCTTTTTCCTAAACACTGCGGACTTGGAGTTATTTTTCCTGTTAGAGAGGACTCTTCTCCAGCCTGCCCGTTGAAAGTGCCTTTTCATAAGGCGCGGAGTCACAGCCCCTAAGAGGTGGGACACTCCACCAGAGTCGGGTTCTCTTTCCTATGGGGACACCCCCGTCTGGTTGTCCTGTCTGAGGTTTATTAGATTGAGAAGCCTCAGGTCCAGGCTGCAGAAAGTTCCTCAAGCAGCCTCTGCAACGAACTGATCAATTGCTTGGTCTTAACATGTGATTTAGTTTTCCCAACATTGTTAAAATATGGAAACATAGAAGCTGGCAAAATGATGGAGCAGCCGCCGTGGTCTTGTTGTTCGGGAGTAGTCTGCAGTTACGAGCCTACAGTGGAAAGAGAGGCTCCCAAACGTGCTGTGTCCGGCAGGCGGCGGCTCCTCCAAGTAAACAAGTTGACACTTTAAAAACGGAAGTTGTTGTGTTAGAGTAGGCAGGTAGCCAGGCGTGAGCAGGAAAGAGTACACTTACGTATAATATGCAACTACAGGTAATTGTGTGCTTGAGTTAACTTGCTTTTTCCTCCGAGCAATGCATTGAACTGGTTTGTTCTGGTGGGAACCTGTGGACACTTTGTTCTTAGGATGCTGGATGTTCAGACCTCTGAGTGATGATTAGATGCTTGGTTCTCTGAAGAAACTAGTTTTTTATTTGGAGGCACTTTTGGGAGAAGGGGCGGGGAACGAAACGTGCACTTAACATGTCTGCCAAGATCAATATTTTCGTTTTAACCAGGTGGTTAAGAAAAGCTCTAATTTTGCTTAGCTCCTTTTGGGGAGGCTCACCCCTGCCCTGCCTCCCCCACCCGCCCCCAGTAGTGCTTTTACGGTTTGTAGTTTGAGAATTAGTTAGTTAAGCACTTAGTAATATGAATTGAGTTTGAGTCAGTAAATTGAATAAGCTCACTTCGTAGGTGATTGATATAAACTGGAGGAATTCTGCCTTCGAGAAGAGGCTCTTTCCTTCCTAGCAATAAAAACGACTTTCTCTGGACCAAACAGGTTGTGAGCACTGGGTTAATTGAATCCTAGTGCAGCCTTGTGCTGTGGCGCCGTGGTCAACTCGCCTTACAGAGGAGAAACTGGGGCTGCAGATTGTTCCCAGGGACTGTAGGTGTGAGCCCGGTTGAATTCCCAGAGCTGGCCTCCAGAGCTCGCCCTGCTTCCTTGCTGTCAACACCTGCAGCATTTGGGAAGTTTGAATCCTGCAGAACCTTTAAAAAGTGTTCACGGCTGGGCGCGATGGCTCAAGCCTGTAATCCCAGCACTTTGGGAGGCCGAGGTGGGTGGATCGCCTGAGGTCAGGAGTTCGAGACCAGCTGGCCAACATGGTGAAACCCCGTCTCTACTAAAAATACAAAAAATTAGCTGGATGTGGTGGCCCACAGCTGTAATCCCAACTACTTGGAAGCCTGAGGCAGGAGAATCGCTTGAACCCGGGAGGCGGAAGTTGCAGTGAACAGAGATTGTGCCATTGCACTCTAGCCTGGGCAACAAGAGTGAAACTCCATCTCAAAAAAATAAAATAAAATAAAAAGTAAAAAATGATCACGCCTGAACAATTTTACTTCTTGTGTTTTCTGAAGAAGAACTTAAGAACTCCTTACACTCACTTTGTATTTTATTTGCTAAGACGTGCTCTTAAGAGGATATTCCTGTAGCTGCATGGGAGACCCTTAGTGACCTTTAATCCGCACAGCTTTAGAAGTTCCATATTTTTCTAATAGGGATTTTTTGTTTATATGTGCGGTTCAAGCCATTTGAGGATTTCTGGAATGGATGGTAATTTGAAACAGTGATAAGGATAGCTGATTCAAATATAAGTTTTGGTATGCTTATTAAAAGTTTTGATGATCTTCAGACCTCTCATTTCAGCTAAATTAATTTTGTTGGCTTTAAGGATGAAATGTTGGGAAGAAGAGAATGGAAGAAATGACAATGTGAAGGCATCTAGGCTTTGAACCATCACTTTCCTTTGGAAAGCTTGGTATAATTGTGGTGATTTATGCCACCTTCCTCTCCTCAAGGGACTGTGTTGACATTTGACTTCCCAGGGAATAAATTAAAAATGGCTAACAATCTGCATGGCGGGGACAGTGGACAGCCACAGCCGACGCAGGCTGCAGACAACCACTGGTATCTGTGGTGCCAACAGAATATTCGCTCTACTCTTGTCCACAATTTGATAATAGAAGTGAAGCTACCATATCATATCTTCTGAGTAAATTTGATAGCATAAGGGACGATTCCCGCAATGGAACGCTAGGATTAGATCCTTGCTGTGCTCCTTCTGATTTCAGAAATCAGTGAAGCTAAATACCAAACTTCATTTTCCACATTTGTTGAATTGCAGGTAATACCCAACCGCTTAGCCTCATAAGAGTGTTGCAATGACTGTAGTGAAGTGGCGCATATGAGAATACTTTGAAAAGGATAAAACACGTAATACTGTGTTGGCTTGTTTGTTTTCTGGGTACACCTAACAAGGGCGTGCTCTGTTTGCTGGAAATCATTGCACTATAGACCTATGATTCGTGCATTTTTCTATATGTACATTATACTTAAATAAAACTTATTTTACAAAATATCAGGCAAGAATACAATACTATCTTGCCTATTCAAAATTCAATTATCTGGCAATCTAACTGAGGTAGAGTACAGCCAATAAATGGAAATTAGCAAAAATGACAGGCTCTCACCTACAGCGGATTTGTTCTAACTTAGAGTGCCACAAAACTGTGATACTGGTGTCTAGGTCCCTGTAGATTATGAGCAGGAAATTAGGAGGAAGATTGACACATTTAAAGAAATAGCACATAATAGCAAGCAGTATGGGTTGAAATAGACTCATTAAATGCAGATCTGAGAAACAGAACAAGCACAACCTTTTGTGCTTACATTGTGAAGATGTGAACAGCCCTGCTCACCATTCACGGCTCCTGAAAGCAGCACAGTGCAGCAACATATGTATTATCATCACCTGATTCATCAGCGAGAGATGTCATCATGAGTGGTGTGTTCTACTTAAGAAGACAGGGATATGATACATTTTAGAAAGATACCTGTCAAAAGCAGTTTATTATTATTATTATTTAATCTGTGTGCACAGTAGGGTAAACTTGTCAGTATATGTTTTTAAAAATGGTTTCCCAGAATGGCTCTATGGCTGGATGGCTGACTCTGTGTGAAGCCTCTCTTGCACTTGTTGCTTTCAGGTCTCTATAGAATGTTATATTTATTCATTCTGCATTACCACTCAGAGAGGATGCATAGAGTACGGAGTGAATGTGGACTTTGGGCCTCAGAGATCTGGTTCAAGTCTCGGATGTACCACGGCTGTTTAAGATGCCACTTTTCTTACAGGGATACTAGAAGGATAAACTTAGATTCTGCCTATCAGTCCACTTACCTACCCATCCACCCACCTATACGTCCAACCACCCATTCATCCATCCAGCCACCCATCGTCCGTCCATCCATCCATCTATCCATCCATCCACCTACCTACCCACCTATCTATCATTATGAGGTACAAATAATAGTATTATGATGTTAATGCTAGTACGCATCTGGTGATTAGTTCTTTTTAGATTGTTTTTATTTTTTAAGTGTATGTTTAAAAAAAAAAACAAGTAGACAATATGAACTGGAAAACAGTGAAATCAACCAGAAATGGAAGGTTTAGAATCTAATTCCCATTTGTGACATTATGCAAAATACACAAAATCTCCATTGTCTGAGTTTTCCCTTTTGTAACAACCATTATCTCTCTGCAGCAAGAAGGCCTGAGATTTAAAGACTGATTATTTCGATATTCAGCTGTTCTCTAATTTTAAGTGAATCAGCTCTAGAAGCTACAGTAGCTTCCTTGGGCAAGCAGGCTACCATTCAAAAACCTACGACGTAACTTGTACTGTACAGACTTGGAAAATGATTTCAAGCTAACCCCACTTCATGCGATCTCCAAGCCGAGAGGTTTCTTGTTGGCGCTGCTGTAGTTTCCCTCCTGTTGCTTTCCACAATATTTGAAATTACTGATTCAAGGCAATTTTTTACTTTAGAGACATTTTATTGATTTTTCCCCCTTGTATTCTTAGCTGTTGTTCAGTTTTCTATGACTTTCTATCTTGGTTTGTATAGTACATTGTTATGAACCCTAAGTTTTTACAAATATGTCAAAGTAATTCCCAGAATCCCCTGTAAATCTTATGACAGTAGTTTCAGACTCTCAAATACATGATTGAATTTGTCTGATCTTTCGTTCCTCCAGCTATTCATTTCGTAAGAAAGTATTTCTGGCAGGAATTTTCAGTGTTAAATTAATCACAGATAAGATAGAGCTTACTTTTGCTTGCCTTCAGCATCATTTTTCTCTTGGCAATTTTGGGAGTTAACCTAGGATAAAATAGTCCTAGATTAGACCTCCTTCTATTAATATTTACTGCCATTTGATGGTTCTGTTTTAAAAAGCATCTACACTGAAAACTATCATGCCTTGGAAGTCACTTTAAATCTCCACAGAGTCTTTGGAGCTCATTCTGCCCATTCTTCCTTAGCACCTTTTAAAAATAATCAACAGAATAACTGAAATGAATGGTAAGATCTTTACAAGGTGCCTTAAGCTTTCCCTTTTTTCTACATATTTGTAAGTTGCCTCGCTGACAGAAATACCCTTTCTTCTAAAAAGGAAACTCACATACTCCTTTAGAGTTTTCTAGTACCAAAAAGGCAATTAGTGGATTGTTGTTAAAGAAGCGTTTTTATGAATGCACAGAACTCTGCACGGTATCATTGGTGCCATCTCTGCCTCTTCATGAAGATGATCAGCAGCCTCACTTCTGCCCCTCTCAAATAATCAAGGTGACCAGGAACCTGAGCGCTGTATGTGATATCTCTGTGATTTTTAGTGCAGTTAAATAATGCTGCAGATAAGAAATAAACTGCTGGATTCTCTGGATGAAGTACTCAAACACTTGTCTTTCTACAGAGCTGTATACACTTTCGGCAATGCCATTGAAGGAATCAGTCTCAGAAGAAGAGACGGGAGAGAAAATGCATTTGCACGGTGCTGAATATTATTTAAGTTAATGGAGGTGAATTTGAGTTGTTAGGGTGCACGGTTTAAAAGCGTGCTCACTTGCTTTGATACTGAGTAGTTTTGGTGCTTATTGAGCTGAACATTTACCTGGATAAATACTTACTGCATTCCTAGAGTATAAGGCAGAATGTAAATGGTTGGTAAATTTTTGCAGGTTTGTCAAAATTCAAGGTCCTGTTCTAAGCGTGGGTCAAACGCGGCTCCGACTTTCAAAGAGATTACTTTCTATCGAGGCACTTTAGAAATGTGTGTTCTTCTTATTTTCAAACAAAGAGAAGACTTGGGGTACAAAAGTATGAAAATAGGAGCATATTTATACAGCAGAAAACTTTTTCAAGAGAAATGCGAAAGTTGGCTGGTAGATGGTAGCTGGAGCTTAAAGCAATCATGAGAATTTTTTAAAGTTGTTATCTTACGAGGAGAGAACAATGTAATAACTGGGAGATGTGAAAACTAGTTCACATGTGAAATAGCAGCAGATTGAGACGGAATTAGTGAGAGAATTTCAAAGAAACTGATCAGTGGTAGAGACACGGCATAACTATTAGTGAAGAACACACTGGCTTCAGGTCTTTCGAAGAAACGCCTGCTGGAGAACTAGCCTGCTAACTTACATTTATACTTGTTTTCTCAAATAGTTATTAAGTGGTGGATTATAAAAATGTGTAATCAGTAATTAGTATTTCCTCTTTGATGATTTTCTGAACATATTTAGGAATATGTTCTTGGAAGGGATATTGTGCTTTCATCCTTCCTGCATTCATTCCCTCCTCCTTTATTTAAATGCTTGCTGGATGCCTCCTATATCCATCTATAGGAGCTTAGGACACGATTTTGTTTCAAGAGAAAATTCTGGTTCACTCATTTTTATTTTAAGATGTGGTTTAAATTGCAATTTTTACTTTTAAGATTTTTTGCCAGTTAGTTTTCATTCCATTTTTTCCTTTTATTATTTACTTATCTTTTTTAGCTCCTTTCGTTGTTCCCTCTGAATTTGGAATACTTCCAACTGTTCTCATTTGTGTATATGTCTGTGTAGGTATCATATAGTCTTTTACCATGTACTTTTTTTAAAAGATTGTTTTACATATATAGTGTATATATATATATATATATATATATATATATATATATCTTTATAGATTAAGCATTCCTTATCTATGGAAGATTAGTGCTATTATAGGTCATTTTTTTTGGGATGTGTCCCTCTGAAACACATGGCCTCTGGAACCAGATGCCTGGAGTAAAACCCGGGCTTTGCCATCTCATGCGTGTGACATAGGGCAAGTGACCTAATTTGCTCAGTTTCCTCACTTGTTAATTTGGGACAATACTAATATTGTAAGGACTAAATGGCTTGCTGTATACTTAAAGTGCATTATGAATTAAATATAACATTCCCAGCAGCAGAATAAATTCCTTTTGTTAGTTAGTATTCTTGGTGTAGAGTTCTGATGTGTAAACATATTTTTATTTTTAAGGCAGAATGCAATATTTCACACTTACAGGTCTTTAAATACTCTGTAAGTACATAAAAATAGAGTCAAAGTTTTAACTTTTAAAAAGTTACTTTTATGAGAATATTATTTTATACTTTTGTAGTGTTAACATATTTTCCTGTCATTGATTTAACTTTCATATATAAATAGGGTTCTATTATGATTATACCATTTTTAATAAAACTCTCTTTTGGATTTAGCAATTTAGAGTTATTATTTAGTGCAGTTAATCTGTTTATTTAAGATGGGGTTTTCACTGAGTCCTTCAAGGTTCGGAAAAGTGCCTAAGGGAAAAAAGACTCCTACCCTAAAGAGAGTTCATATAGTTTTTTTTTGATTGCCTGTTAATGTCGCTGAAGGATTATGATTTTGTTTTTGTTAAAGTTTCATCCTAAATTCTCTAAGACGAATAAAGGTACAGTATCAGTAATTCGTCTTCCATTTAAGGGTGAAAGGCTGAACCAGTCAGGCTGTACTGTGGATGTTTTACAAGTTACAAATGCCTCACTAAACCACCCTTCTCAGAAGACAGTCACTGGGCATAGAAAATGAGCAGGATTATTTGCAGGATGTTACACCTTTAACACTGACTGAAATCCAGATGGGAACAAGCAGGAATGTGTATGATTTCTTAAAGACACCTCAGGTGCCTTTGGTCTCTCGTATTGTATATACAGTGTATATGCAATACAGTGTACAATGTAAAGTGTACAGTGTACAATACCGTGTATAATAGAAAGCAGTGCCAAGGTCTACTAGTTTTCTCTACAGCAGCAGTCAACAGTCAAGTTAGAGAACAGGTGGGGAACTAGAGACAGAGTGGGATAGAGAGAGAGAGGAATGAGCCAGGAGGACACGTGGAATCCAGGAGGCAACGGAGCCCTGAGGTGCTCAGATGGAACAGGGTGTTCAGACAACCGCGAGTACCATGAACCAGGTGTGGGACGACGGTGTGTCCCAGGAACAGGGTGTGATGGGTACAGCATGTCCCAGGAACAGGGTGTGAGGAGGACAGTGTGTCCCATGAACAGGGTGTGAGGACAGTGTGTCCCACGAACAGGGTGTGGTGTGGACAGTGTGTCCCACGAACAGGGTGTGAGGAGGACGGTGTGTCCCACGAACAGGGTGTGGTGTGGACGGTGTGTCCCATGAACAGGGTGTGGCGTGGACGGTGTGTCCCATGAACAGGGTGTGGTGTGGACGGTGTGTCCCATGAACAGGGTGTGGTGTGGACGGTGTGTCCCATGAACAGGGTGTGGTGTGGATGGTGTGTCCCAGGAACAGGGTGTGAGGAGGACGGTGTGTCCCAGGAACAGGGTGTGAGGACGGTGTGTCCCAGGAACAGGGTGTGAGGACGGTGTGTCCCACGAACAGGGTGTGGTGTGGACGGTGTGTCCCACGAACAGGGTGTGGTGTGGACGGTGTGTCCCAGGAACAGGGTGTGGTGTGGACGGTGTGTCCCAGGAACAGGGTGTGGTGTGGACGGTGTGTCCCAGGAACAGGGTGTGGTGTGGACGGTGTGTCCCAGGAACAGGGTGTGGTGT
Organism: Homo sapiens; assembly: GCF_000001405.40. Classification (NCBI taxonomy): domain Eukaryota; kingdom Metazoa; phylum Chordata; class Mammalia; order Primates; family Hominidae; genus Homo; species Homo sapiens. Next base: position 186,546,901 of record NC_000004.12, on the reverse strand, counting down.
GGACGGTGTGTCCCACGAACAGGGTGTGGTGTGGACGGTGTGTCCCACGAACAGGGTGTGGTGTGGACGGTGTGTCCCACGAACAGGGTGTGGTGTGGACGGTGTGTCCCATGAACAGGGTGTGGTGTGGATGGCATGAACAGGGAGCGAGGCGGATGGTGTGTTGTATGAACAGGGTGTGGTGTGGATGGTGTGTTGTATGAACAGGTGTGGTGTGGGTGGCATGAACAGGGTGTGATGTGGGTGGCATGAACAGGGAGCGAGGCGGATGGTGTGTTGTTGTATGAACAGGGTGCAAGGTGAGCAGCGTGTCTCATGAACAGGGTGTGGTGTGGACAGCATATCCCGTTAATGGGGTGTGATGTGGATGGCGTGTCACATGAAGAGGGTATTATAGTTTGGGGAGTTTAAGGAGTTAAAGGCTGGGAGAAGGAGTCACCAAGTATGTCACTGAATACTGCAGGGCTATTGAAGCCTGGGCATTGCGGGGTGATGCACTGTCATGTGTGCTGTGGAGAGCCGTGTGTGGAAGGGGGAGGGGAGCAGTGAGGCCGACGGCAGGAGGGGTGGGGGATGAGAGGAGGCTCATCGGCTATGGAGAGACCCCTGTTCCATTGCAGGGATCAGGGAGGATCCTCCCTAGCCAGGACTGTGTGCCAGGGAGGAACCTTCCGTGAAGCAAGACGTGTGGTTTCCATCACAGGGGAACAGAAATAAGACATGAGTGAATAATCCTGCAAAGGAAGATGGGCCACACGCCCTCAAATCCTCACCACGGCCCTAAGCAGCTTGATTTATTGCATATTAAGAGACTGAGGCTGTGGGAAGCTGTGACTTACCTGAGGTCACGTTAGCAAGTGGCGTGGCTGGGATCTGAATCCGGCTTTTGTTTCCACACTCATGGTGCACACTGCCTCTAGTAATCTGAAAAGACACTTTTCTAAGGTATAGTCTCTTTACATTTAAGAATCTAAAACATGGACTGTGTGCTTTGATGCCTCGAAGTAAAGCCCTTCCCTTTCCCTTGTACTGCCAGAGAATATTCCCTACACACCTGCGGTAGCTCAGCTTTCTCTTATCATACAGGTAACATGTATGCACGTGCAATTTTAAAAAATACAAACCAAGTTTGTAAATAGTTCTTTATTACTGGTCTTCGTGATGCTTAAGCTCAGGCACACTCAGTTCCTTTTAGTCTTCGTGAACAGTACTATTCAGGGGGCCTCTAATCTTGCTTTCCACGTGGTTAAAGTCCAGGCTGAAATGAAAGAAGGAGTGAATATTGACCTGCTGGGAAAAACCAACATCTTAGTGGATATGAGCAGGAAGAGCAAGTAATTTCTGCTTTTCTGAGGGAGTAGTTCAGAGGCCAAAGGGTGCGTTAATTCAATCAGCAAATTATTTCCGAGCACCTAATATGGGCCAGGCTCTGTGCTCACCGTGAGAATGTGAAGGTTCATGTCCACAGTGAGGACCTGAGTCTCAGAGGGAGACAGACGGCTGTGCGAATGTGTGTGTTTTCATGTTGCCTCAATATTGGAAGCAGATGCACACGTAGTGAGGTTGGAAGCATGGAAGAGCAGTGCCGGTGGGCAGCTACAGCCTGTAACTCCTACCCGGTATGGTTGGCTCGTGTCTGTAAGACACCATAGTAAGTAGCTCTTTTTTTCTATCTAGAAGCCAGTGACCTCTTTAGGAAACCACCCAACCTCATCATAGAGCTGAAGGTCTATTTCAGGTTTGCTAGAAACAGAACCTGAGACAGAGGCTTGGTACTCGTGCTTTGCTGAGGGAGCACTCTCAGGGGGAGCTTGTAAGAAAGAGAGGAGAGCAGATCAGGGCAGGGGAAAGGGTCAGGGAGGGATGGGGTCTCAGGGAAAGCTGAGACTTGGCCTCATCCATAAGTTGGGGCCTCTGGGCGTAAATCCAGTGGAGTTGCCATTACTTGAGGCAAAGGGACTGGTCGTTTGTACCCCATTCAGTGGCTCTGTGATCAGTGAAGGCAGTCTCTGGGGAAGGATCCAGTCCTTGCCAAATGAAGGCTCCCAGAACTCACAGACACTTTGGGGAGAAATGCGCCAGCAGCGTCTACGACAACACCTCTGAAAGACAGAGGATGAGCAGAAGCCGCCTGGAGCCCAGGCTTGCTGTGGTAATGGGCCCTGCTAACCCACACGCAGAAGGAAAGAAAGTGTCCGCAGGGTTAATCATTGCACAGATTTGGAGATTATCAAATGAGGAAAAAGATGGCTAGAGCTGTAGAAACAGACGTTTTTCAGAAATACACATTTTCATTGTTCATGAAAACTTCAGACACAGGGTCCACACTTTGCACAGTGTCAGATAGGTTGATAGATTTCTGTGTAATTCACAAAAAAGCAAAGTGATGCAGAAGTATTCATTCAAATGCAAATCAGCCTGAGGATTGCAGTGTGGGATTTCTAAAAAAGAGCAGAAATGACTGATAAAAGGTAAGAGTCTGGCCCAGGATAGGAAGATCCTGTAGATTTACTTAGTTAAGGCTTTTACTAGTTAATAACGGCATATCTAGCATAAAAAAGCATTACACAAATGGCTGCTGCAGGCCGGGCATGGTGGCTCACGCCTGTAATCCCAGTACTTTGGGAGGCCGAGGTGGGTGGATCATGAGGTCAAGAGATCGAGACTATCCTGGCCAATATGGTGAAATCCCATCTCAACTAAAAATACAAAAATTAGCTGGGCATGGTGGCGTGCACCTGTAGTCCCAGCTACTCAGGAGGCTGAGCCAGGAGAATTGCTTGAACCCAGTGGGGGTGGGGGACGGCAGAGGTTGCAGGGAGCCAAGATAACACCACTGCATTCCAGCCTGGTGACAGAGCCAGACTCCATCTCAAGAAGAAAAAATGAAAAAAATAGCTGCTGCTTCATTTCCACCTTCCAAATCTTATACAAAATTCTTTTGTGGGTGAGGCTATCCTATAATTATGCAGAAAACAGAATTCTAGGGAGCATAGTTCCAATTTAGCTAAGTTGACACAATACTAATTCAACACAGTCCACCCCTTGACAACTTGGGTTCTAGCTATATCTTTTAACCATATTTAACTTCGAAATAAAGGAAACATCAAAATTATGCTTCCATCTAACAAAGCAACTATCCCGTGTAAAATTGAAAATACATTAACCCTCTTTGTAAAAGAAAATACAGTCTCTTTATGCAACTTTACATCATTTTTATTATTCTAGTTGAGTCACATTCCCCATTTGATATCCTATAACTTACATTCTGAGATACAAGGTTCACTATTAACACATCTTATATGAGATGGTAGGGGAATAGCAGAGGGAAAGAGACACAAAGTTATTACTATATTCACAAATTGTTCATGCTAAAGCAAGCAGGAAATACTCATAATTATTTTAGCCCTCACTTCTGCAGTTGGCCAGGTGGCCACAGTGGGTATTTGGAACTACCATTCCCTCCTCATTTCCTCTGCCCTCTGGCTCTTTGCATGTTCTGGTGGCTGAAGCCTTCATTCCTAACACTCTGGGACACTGGCATTCCTGCCTGTATTGGGTTATTTTGGTTTCCCATTGGCTTCAATCCCAGGGCATGGGAGTACTGAGACACGCGAGGGATTTCTGGCATGCCAGATCTATACTTCCTTGCTCTTACTGTGCAATCATAACCCAGTTTCCCCTTGATGATCAGGACTAAACACGGTAAGCACAGTAACCCCCCTCCTTGTCTATGGATTCACTAGAATGAGGAGCCCCAAATAGCAGGTGGCACTCTCAACCTCCAGTTTTCTGGTTTTCTTTTCTTTGAGACAGGATCTTGCTCTGTCGCCTGAGCTGGAGTTCAGTGGTGCCATCATGGCTCCCTGCAGCCTTGAACTCTTGGGCTCAAGTGATTCTCCCACCTTAGCCTCCCGAGTAACTGGGAATACAGACATGCACCTGCACGCCTGGCTAATTTATTTTTTGTAGAGATGGAGTTTCACCATGTTGCTCAGGCAGGTCTTGAACCCCTGGGCTCAAGTGATCCACTCACTCCAGCCTCCCAAAGTGCCAGGATCTGTGCCTAGCCTCAATTTCCAGTTTAATGAAACCAAAGGGGTATCTCCTGGTGGAAGCATTGCTCCCTTGGGAACTAAGACTTTAGACCAACAGAACCTAAAGTTTCACAGAAAGGAAGCAAACATTTTGCTAGGGTATCACCAGGGTAATATGAGAGGATGAGCTGCCATTTTCACCCTTGATTTTCTGATCCATGAATCCTGGCCATGGGATGAACAACATTCTATGTTAATCACTGATTTAGAGCAGGTGCCACATGATAGGGATCTGTACCCTAGGCTCACCCGCCTGGTGCTGAAACTGAACCTTCAAAAGCCATTCCACCAACATATCAGGTCAGCTGTTTTGAGATGGGAAACCTGGTAAGGGCAGTGAATTCCCAGGACATGGCCCCATTGCTATACTTCATTTGCTGTCAGAGGAATTCCTTAGTCAAAAGCAACGCCATGAGGAATACCATCACGGTGGAGAAGGCGTCCTGTACGTCCGTGGGTGTTAGGTTGCTGGAAGATTTAAGGGCCTGAAAAGGTAGGAAAGGCACATCCATATTCAGAGTATGCCTCTGTTCCAGCCAGAACAAACCACTGCTCCCTTTGATGATGGAAGTGGTATGTAATCCACCTACCAGCAGCGTCTGGCTGATTTTCCCAGGGAATGGTGCTCCGCTGGTGTTATCTCCACTCTTGGCAGGCTGGACATTCAGCAGTGCAGCAGTGGCTGCATCCAGATCAGTTTTCATGAGGAGTAATCTGATGCTGAGCTCATGAATAACTTCTATCCTTGCTGCCATGACAACTTTGTGAGCCCATTGGTCAAGGACTGGTGGCCAAAGACAGATTAACTGATATACACAGGTTGCATCATCAAGACACAAATATCTTCACACCAAGTGTCCATTCTGAGAGGTCTGTGTGCTACGTCTTCCCCAGAGCCCCATAACCGGTTTTCTAATTATGTTTCTTCCAAATCGTTGCCCATCTAGCTCAGTGGTCCCTAACCTTTTTGGCACCAGGGACTGGTTTCATGGAAGACAATTTTTCCACAGGACAGGGTGGGGGAATGGTTTCGGGATGAAACTGTCCCACCTCAAATCATCAGGCATTAGTTAGATTCTCATAAGGAGGGTGTAGCCTAGATCCCTCACATGGAGTTCACGATAGGGTTTGCACTCCTATGAGAATGTGATACCACAGCTGAGCTGACAGGAGGGGGAGCTTAGGCGGTAATGCTTGCTCATATGCTGCTCACCTCCTGCTGTGCAGCCTGGTTCCTAACAGGTCACGGACCCAGTCTGTGGCTAATGGTCAGCTAGAGCAGTGGCTAATGGTCAGCTAGATCAGTGGCTAATGGTCAGCTAGATCAGCCGTCTCCAACCTGATCGAGCTGACCATTAGCCACTGCCCATGAATCTAGCTGACCATTAGCTACTGTCCCCATCAGGTTGGGGACCCCTGGTCTAGCTGACCATTAGCCACTGCCCATTAATCAGTGCAGATCTAAACCTGTGGCCCTCTCTCCTTCCAGGAAAAATGAACAACCAGTTTGAAGCATTGCTCAAAGTTCTGTTTCCTGGGAGGGTCTTCCTCCATCCTTGTTTTTCAGGGCTGTACTGAATTGGGTCTGTAGTGCTGCAACCATCCAATTTCAGGTAGTGTCAGTAGGTCATGAAAAGCCATGTGGAAACCAGGCAAGAAGGTTTTTTTCTTTCTTATTCAGCTGGTCAGGGGCACGTCCTCATGAGGCCATAGGAGCATGCTGAGGGAATGGAGGCAGGGTGGTGGGAACGCAGGCTGTGGCCTCTGAGCCACTTGCTCTTGCATCTTCCCTGTGCCTTCAGGAGCTGCCGGAGCCAGATCTTGGATGTGCGGCTTCTGTTTGATGCTGTGATGGGCAACTTTGTGATTTGGTGATTTGGTGGGTCAGACAGCACCTGGTCCTTCAGACAGACAGCACCTGGTCCTTCAGTCAGACAGCACCTGGTCCTTCAGTCAGACAGCACCTGGTCCTTCAGTCAGACAGCACCTGGTCCTTCAGTCAGACAGCACCTGGTCCTTCCTTCAGTCAGACAGCACCTGGTCCTTCAGACAGACAGCACCTGGTCCTTCAGTCAGTCAGACAGCACCTGGTCCTTCAGACAGACAGCACCTGGTCCTTCAGTCAGTCAGACAGCACCTGGTCCTTCAGACAGACAGCACCTGGTCCTTCAGATAGACAGCACCTGGTCCTTCAGACAGCTTTCAGATCACATGGTCACTTGGGGGTCCATGTTCGAGCATTCAGACTCTACCAAGGCCAAGTAGGAAGTAAAAAACGGTATCTGCAAAGGAGAGCACAGATTTGCTGCAAAGTACTAAGGGTCTGTGTTATGAGTCATCTGAATGTGCCTGCTAAGGCCTCCTTACAGCCTTCCTATTAACATGCAGTGGTCCCTCCATATCCATGGGTTCCACATCCAGGGATTCAACCAATCATGGATTGAAAATACAATATTTGAGGGATGTGGAACTCAAAGACATAGAGGGCCAACTTCACATATTCACAGGGTCTGCAGGGCCAACTGTGGGACTTGAGCATTGATGCGGTTTGGCTGTGTCCCTACTCAAATCTCATTTTGAATTACCATGGGTTGTCAGGGACCTGGTGGGAGGTAATTGAATCACAGGGGCAGGTCTTTCCCATGCTGTTCTCGAGATAGTGAATAAGCCTCACAAGATCTGATGGTTCTATAAGGGGGAGTTTCCCTGCACAAGCTCTCTCTTTGCCTGCTGCCATCCACGTAAGATGTGACTTGCTCTTCTTTGCCTTCCACCATGATTGTGAGGCTTCCCCAGCCACGTGGAACTGTAAGTCCATTAAGCCTCTTTCTTTTGTAATTGCCCAGTCTCGAGTATGTCTTTATCAGCAGCATGAGAATGGACTAATACAAGCATCCATGAATTTGGGTGTCTATGGAGATCCTGGAGTCAGTCCCTGCTGATACCAAGGGACAACCCTATAAACAATTCAAGCCCCATTGGTGTCTTAATCTGTTCCTGCTGTTATAACAATGTAGACTGGGAAGTTGTAAATAACTGAAATGTGTTTCTCACAGTTCTGGAGGCTGGGAAGCCCAAAATCTAGGCACTGGCAGATTTGGAGTCTGGTGAGGGCTGCTGTCTGCTTCCAGGATGGTGCCTTCTTGCTGTGTCTTCTGGAGCAGATGAATGCTGAGTCCTCACATGGTGGAGAGATGAACAACTCCCTGGCACCTCTTTTATAAAGGCACTAATCTTATCTGTAAGGGCTCCACCCTCATGATTTAATGGCTTCCTAAAGGCCCCACCTCTCAATACTATCACATTGGCGATTAAGTGTCAACACATAAATTTTGGGGGAGACACATTTAGACCATAGCCATTGGATCAGATGGATCAGGTGGCTGAGCAGCCTTCAGGGCCTTGTTCTGGGCTCCAGTCAACACTGACAGCTTTTTGAGTCACTCAGGAAATGGGTTGGTTTAATACGTCCAACCCTTTGTATGGTTGGTATATTTTGTTTTTCATCTTAGTGGTTGGAGGGTGATGCAATGACATTGTTTTCACCTTGGAAGGTGAATACAGGTGGCCTTTTTTTTTTTTTTTTTTTTTAATGGAGTCTTGCTCTGTTGCCAGGCTGGAGTGCAGTGGCACGATCTCAGCTCACTGCAACCTTCGCCTTCTGGGTTCAAGCGATTCTCCTGCCTCAGCCTCCCTAGTAGCTGGGACTACAGGTGCGCACCACCACGCCCAGCTAATTTTTGTATTTTTAGTAGAGATGGGGTTTCACCATGTTGGCCAGGATGGTCTTGATCTCGTGACCTCGTGATCCCCCGCCTCGGCCTCCCAAAGTGCTGGGATTACAGGCGTGAGCTGCCACACCCAGCCCAGGTGGTCTTTTAAGGAATTCTTTTGCCCCTGCAGGCCGTGACTACCAGTGTCCCTTAACTACTGGAAATAGGATTTCTAATACTTTAAAGCTAGTCCTATTACAGAATCGACTGCAGGTAACCCAAAACCAATACAGAGAAACCATCCTGAAGGTTCTCCTTGGTCCACTTCCAGAACCAAATTCTGTATCAGTCTGGGTTCAATCAATCCAAGAAGTAAAATTGCTAGAGCAGTTGTGTGAGCTGATTAAATAGCGTATTTGAGGTTTTCGCTTCTGTGTCTGGTGCTGCTGTCTAAAGTCCACGGATTTAAGAAGGAAAGCTGGATGTTAGGAGGGGACGCAGGGGAAGCTAGAACCTGGGAGGAGGGACTGGAGCTCTGGAGGATGGTCGAATCTCAAGCCAGGAGGAGGTGAGCAGGAGCTGGAGAAGCTGTGAGCACACTGCCGTCACCCACCCCCTGCAGGGCAGCAGATGAGACTCGGAGTGCCGAGCTTGTGGTGGCGTCTGGCACTTGACACAGACATACTGAGGGCAGAGAGCAAGCTACTGCTGCACTTCCGCCTTCAAAATCTCACGCAATTGCCTCTTGTGGGGAACACTAACCCGGAGCGGTGCAAGGAAAAGTCTTTTCAGCTTCGCGAAGTTGACACAATATAAACCCACTGTGCATCGATTAACCCTCGGCCAGGTACTGTTCAAGGTGGAGGGAGAAGATATCTAAGACAGGCAGTGTCCTCACCGAGGTGATAGCTGGGGCTGTGGGAGATGGGGAGAAGTAGAGACATAATCGCGATAAACAGAAAAGCAACGTCGTGCTGCTGTGTCATTCCCAGAAGGGACTCACAGGACTAGTTCTGAGGAAGGTACTCCCAGCAAGCTGACATTTTAGTTGTCTGTTACCTTATTTTATTCATATCTGTGCCATATTTCACTTCCACTTTAAGGTTTTATTCCTGGGAACAAATATTGACTGTGCATTTTATAGTTGGTGCCTTTAATCACCACAAGGCTGATCGCTGTTCGTCTTGTTGCCAGCATACTGACTTAGGTGTTTTCCTCCCCCATCTTCTCTTTAGAATGTTCTAGTTCAAATACGCTTCTTCAGAATTGTGCCTGGAGAGGCTGTAAGCCAGGACGTAGCCACAGGGCCCAGTTTCTGAGTCTCGTATCTGTAGGAGCACAGGAGCTTTCTCAGGGAAATAACATTGAACAACACTCACCAGTTCATAGCATTGGTATAATCCTGACTCTTTCACTAAGTAGTCGTACGACTTCATCCAATTTAACTCTATATTTTTGTTTTCTCATCTTTAAAAAGTAGGAATTATCCAGGGAGATCATTAACCCATCTCTCAATTTTAACATCCTATGATTCTATGATTCTGCCACAGTAAGGATTGGAACTATATTCAACAGAGAAGAAATTCTTACCCATGAACAGACATTATTTTACATTTCAGAATGCATTATTAAGCTTGTTGCATACAGTCCTGGATATCTGTAAAAATGGGTAGATTGTCCATATGTCTGGAGTTACATAGATTTGAGAATGGAATAGATGAACTTATAATGTGTATAATTATAATTAGATGATTTAATGACTCTTATCTGGTGAAGTTCATAAAAGAAAAAAGGAAATTCCCTTTTTCCTTCTCCGCCCAGACACCACACACCCCCCAGGCACACATGAACACTGGTGCTAAAGCTTTATGTGAGCTACCTGACAGCCGCACCTGTGGGGAGTCTGTGGCTTAATTAATTTTCACCAAGATTTGTAAAATGGGATTAATTCAAAGAATCAATGATCTAATTAATGTAATTGCTTGAATTGTAATGCAACATAATTACTATAAAATAAATGAAGCAGGGTATTCGAGCCATGAAAGAAATTTATGACATCATTTGTGATTTCATTTTTAAGCTCTTTTAAAAATAAATCCATATTAGGCCAGTTTGTCATCATGACACTCTGGGAACAAATGTGCTGTTACAATGACAGTTTGATTTGGAACAGAATTTCACATATTATAGATGCTTTTAAAGCATTAAACATTTTGAGCTAAATAATTTATTAAAATACACCTCTTAGGAATTTAAATGTTTCAACGCTAATTGAAAGTGATCTGTGGGAAAATAAATTTGCCTTTGTAACTTTAATTTGGATGAATACAACCAATTTTTAAAGTATTTGCTTTTATGACAATTTATCTGAAATTCCTAAATAAATGGCACAAATTTTGCCTTTCTCTCATCTTGACTGCTATGGGCTGTCTCATTTCAAATATTGGGAAGTGACAGTTTAATGAACTCATTGAGTGTATGAGCAAAAGTCACTGTATTTATTGGGTGTGGTCTAGGACGCAAATATGAGGAAATGTACTCACGAGGGCCACCATCTGGAGACGCAGGGAAGCCTGGCCTACAGGTCAATAGAATAGAAGGCGAAATCTTCTGTCCGTCCACCTGGGGCTCCCTCTGTCCCTGTCCAGCGCACCCCTTTCCTCACAGCTTCTGGTCTGTGCGTGCTCTGGTGCTGCTGCTTACTCTAGTGTAATTTTCTTTTTCTTTTTTTTCTTTTTTTTTTTTGATACGGAGTTTTGCTCTTGTCACCCAGGCTGGAGTGCAATGGCGCGATCTCTGCTCACTGCAACCTCTGCCTCCCAGGTTCAAGCAATTCTCCTGGCTCAGCCTTCCAAGTAGTTGGGATTACAGGTGCCCGCCACCACGCCCAGCGAATTTTTGTATTTTTAGTAGAGACGGGGTGTCACCATGTTGGCCAGGCTGGTCCTGAACTCCTGACTTCAGTTGATCCACCCACCTTGGCCTCCCAAAGTGCTGGGATTACAGGTGTGAGCCACTGCGCCCAACCACTCTAGTGTAATCTTTTTGACTTTTCCTGTCTCTCAATTCCTGTTTCCCCCTGCACCAAATATATGCATTTAATATGTAAACTGAATTGAATTTATTATAATTTAATCTGAGTAAAAAGCAGTATAAAGTGCTTTAAGACCCTTCAAAGGAGGAAGCTCTTACCACTAGGTGGGCAAATGAGCAAAGGCTTCTGGCATTTCTATTTGAGATAGACTTGGGAGAATGGGCAGGATTTAGAAAGTTGATGTGAGGAGCCATTCGAGGCAGAAGGAATAGTAAGAAACAGAGGCAGAAGAGCCGCAAAAGAAAAAAAACATATTTGCAGAACATCTCATAATATTTGACTAATGTAGCTGGGAGCAATGGCTCACACCTGCCATCCCAGCACTTTGGGAGGCCGAGGCAAGTGGATGGCTGGAGCCCAGGAGTTTGAGAGCAGCCTAGACAAAATGGCAAAACCCCGTCTCTACAAAAATACAAAAACGAGCCGGGTGTGGTGGTGTGCACCTGTGGTCCCTGCTGCTTGGGAGGCTGAGGTAGGAGGATTGCTTGAGCCCTGCAGGCGGAGGTTGCAGTGAGCCAAGGTCGGACCATTGCACTCCAGACTGGGTGACAGAACAAGACTCTGTCTCAAAAAAATAAAAATAAAAAAGTGACTAGAGTTTTTTTTTTCTGTAATTAAATATGTGTTGTTATATTAATTGAGAAAATTAACAGACTATTTAGGGTTTAAGTTTTGTAACGTAAGTTCTTTATAAGATCTAAGAGAATTTCTGCATTTTCCTTTGGTTCAAGGTGAGGGAGTCGTAGAATAAGAACATTTCTATGGTGTAAGACACGGTACATGGCGCTCACCACAGATAGTCTCATCTCGTGCTCACCACAGCCCTAAGAGGAAGCTGCTCATTATCCCATCATCCAGGGGAGGAGGCAGGTGCTTGGGGAGATCAAGTAACTTGCCCCGGTTGGACAGTTAGTAAGGAGTGAAGCCATGTTCTCATCCAGACGGCTGACGACAGATCCCTCTTGCCCTTAACTCCCTCTCTATGGGATCAGCAAGAACAGAAGCTAGAGGCCCCCTGAGAGCTGCTGAAGCACTACAGAGGGAATGAAGACTTGAACTTAAGGAAGTTGTGGCTGGCTTGACATCATATGAGATTTCTCAGGTGATGTAGAAGGCTCCAGAACAACAGATGGTGTGCAAGCATTCTGATCTCAGGACTTTTTAAGAGATGAGAAGCCGAACGGTTTGAAAGACAGCAGTTTTGAACATGGAACAGGCCCTGTTCTGGGGAGGTGGGAATGTGTGAACAGCGGATTCGATGTGTCAGGAGCGGCAGTGGACTGGCCCTCCTGGGAAACGGCCTCCACTTCATTTGCAGTGCGGCCGCCGCTGTGACGTCAGGTCATCGGAGCTGCAGAAGCAGCTCCTTCTTTAACAATTGTAACAGAAAACCCACTGTGAACTGGTATTCACTGTATTTTCTAAACGATTCTCTTTCAGGAAACATCTTTGTGGTGAGCTTAGCGGTGGCAGACCTGGTGGTGGCCATTTATCCGTACCCGTTGGTGCTGATGTCGATATTTAACAACGGGTGGAACCTGGGCTATCTGCACTGCCAAGTCAGTGGGTTCCTGATGGGCCTGAGCGTCATCGGCTCCATATTCAACATCACCGGCATCGCCATCAACCGCTACTGCTACATCTGCCACAGTCTCAAGTACGACAAACTGTACAGCAGCAAGAACTCCCTCTGCTACGTGCTCCTCATATGGCTCCTGACGCTGGCGGCCGTCCTGCCCAACCTCCGTGCAGGGACTCTCCAGTACGACCCGAGGATCTACTCGTGCACCTTCGCCCAGTCCGTCAGCTCCGCCTACACCATCGCCGTGGTGGTTTTCCACTTCCTCGTCCCCATGATCATAGTCATCTTCTGTTACCTGAGAATATGGATCCTGGTTCTCCAGGTCAGACAGAGGGTGAAACCTGACCGCAAACCCAAACTGAAACCACAGGACTTCAGGAATTTTGTCACCATGTTTGTGGTTTTTGTCCTTTTTGCCATTTGCTGGGCTCCTCTGAACTTCATTGGCCTGGCCGTGGCCTCTGACCCCGCCAGCATGGTGCCTAGGATCCCAGAGTGGCTGTTTGTGGCCAGTTACTACATGGCGTATTTCAACAGCTGCCTCAATGCCATTATATACGGGCTACTGAACCAAAATTTCAGGAAGGAATACAGGAGAATTATAGTCTCGCTCTGTACAGCCAGGGTGTTCTTTGTGGACAGCTCTAACGACGTGGCCGATAGGGTTAAATGGAAACCGTCTCCACTGATGACCAACAATAATGTAGTAAAGGTGGACTCCGTTTAAAAAAGCACCACGTTCCGGGTGAGATGGACACGCTGCGCAAGGCCTCGCTCTTGACAGATGTCTGGGAAAGCAGAGTGGTGGAGGAAACTTCCAACTTTTACCTGGCTGCTGCCATAGTTTCTGAGCTAACGTGCTGTCAGCATTATAAACCCCTCCAATTCTACTAGTCAAGAGAAGTACAGAATGTATGGAGAGTTACATGTTAACTGAGGAATGCGGTTCAGGGCTGGGGTGAGAGTAAGCTGCTGAATGCATTCAGGGGAAGGAGTGTGCAAACTTTTATTGTAAATGAGTGCCACAAAAGGGGTAATTGCATTCTTCTTCACTTTTTGAAGACTTCTAGCAGAAAAATGAAAGAGAATTTTATTTATAAATGAGCAAATGGAACAATTTTTTTTCTGTAAATGGAACAAACAATGAAAGTGGGGTGAGTGCCTCTTATTACAGAGGGAAAGGCTGAACATAAATCAGTTAATGGCTCATCAACAATCACAACCACAACCAACACCACAAACCTTTCAGCTGGCAGAGTTAGCATTGGGTAGCTATACTCATGGTCATAAATGTTTGCTGCTCTATATTACAAGTTGTGCATGCAACCAGATAAAGAACTAAATCATAGGCCGGGCACAGTCGCTCACACCTGTAATCTCAGCACTTTGGGAGGCTGAGGTGGGCAGATCAACTGAGTTCAGGAGTTTGAGACCACCCTGGGCAACATGATGAAATCCCATCTCTAAAAAAATACAAAAAATTATCTGGGCATGGTGGCACACGCCTGTAATCCCAGCTACTCAGGAGACTGAGTTAGGAGAATCCCTTGAGCCCCAGAGGCAGAGGTTGTGGTGAGCCGAGATCGCGCCAGTACATTCCAACTTAGGCTACAGAATGAGACTCTGCCTCAAAAAAAAAAAAAAAAAAAAAAACCATTTGACCCAGCCATCCCCTTACTGGGTATATACCCAAAGGATTATAAATCATGCTGCTATAAAGACACATGCACACATATGTTTATTGCGGCACTATTCACAATAGCAAAGAGTTGGAACCAACCCAAATGTCCAACAACGATAGACTGGATTAAGAAACGGTGGCACATATACACCATGGAATACTATGCAGTCATAAAAAATGATGAGTTCATGTCCTTTGTAGGGACATGGATGAAACTGGAAACCATCATTCTCAGCAAACTATTCCGAGGACAAAAAACCAAACACTGCATGTTCTCACTCATAGGTGGGAATTGAACAATGAGAACACATGGACACAGGAAGGGGAACATCACACTCTGGGGACTGTTGTGGGGTGGGGGGAGGGGGGAGGGGGGAGGGATAGCATTAGGAGATATACCTAATGCTAAATGACCAGTTAATGGGTGCAGCACACCAACATGGCACATGTATACATGTGTAACAAACCTGCACATTGTGCACATGTACCCTACAACTTAAAGTACAATAATAATAATAATAATAAAAAGAACTAAATTATATTACAGAGCTCTTATTCAGGTGTCAATTACCCTGGGATTTTAAAGCAGCAGTTATGTATAAAATTTTATTTAACTTTATTAGACATTGGGCTTGTTATTATTGTGTCACTGAGCAGCTCTTTTGAATTGATCTCTGTTAATTCATTAATTTGTCGAACGAGCTCAGTTAAAAATGACAAAGGATCAAGTTGCTGTAGACTGTTTGATGCGGTGCTGACTGTGTTCTAGATGGACACTTCAGTTGTGCAAGTAAATAATGAAACCAGATAGCTTTTCTATTATAGATACTGCAAAACAATATTCTTCAGTAATTCATTTTAGAATTTCACTGCCCTAATAGTACTGAAAGTCTGAGAGAGAAAAAATGCATCACAAAACTATGGTTTCATAAACTTTGGCAGCAGTTTACCCCAAATTGTTATTTGAGACTACTGTGAGGTATGTCGTATCAAGTGTTTTGCTACAGATGATAACCATGTTTTCTTGTATTTTAAAAGTCTGTAGCAAAGTGTCACATACTAGAATAAATTGCTGATTTGCAACTATATACGTAAGACAAAAAGTTATCTGGATATATTTGCTAATGATTCTTTTCATTAAGCATATTTGGAAAACACCAAATTATGTTTGTCATTGTTGGTGTATGTGTGTGTGTGTAAATTGTCTCCAAAACGTTACCCAAGTCATTTATGTGTAAAAGTTCTGAGTTCTTATCAAAATCACATTTAAATAGTAAAGATAACATTTAGGCCAGTGTTCCAAATTTCAGATAACCGAAACTTAAAAAATCAACCATGCTCAACTGAGCGCTTTTTGCAGTTTATTTTACACTCTTTTCTTGATGCTTGGTATGAATTACTATGTTGCTAAGTGTACACAGTATGATTCCTTTGTTCTTTATGGAATTTTATGTCTTTATTTCTGTATTGTACTATATTTGAATTGTATGTCAGCAAACATAGTGAATAGAAAACTGTGCCCTTTAAAAAATTGCCATGAGTAGCTCACCTGAAAATCAAGTATGTAACTTTCAAATATTGAAATGATTTTCCACTACCATCAGATAGTTAGAATATTGCCAATGAAACAGCTACTCATAAAGATCAAAGTAAAATACCCAGGTTTCCCCTACCAGAATCCCCATGTAGAAGTCTCATAATCATTCGAGGTGTTTTCTCCGGTTCTTCACTGTGATATCAATAAGTAGATCGCCCTTAGCTCTGTGTTTTTTTCCTCTTGAAAAACTCAGATATGTAATCAGTTGTGCTTGATATTTTCAGTGTACAAACTATTTTGTAGTCTGTTTGGAAGATTAACTCTTTCAAGACCATTAGATTAGGACTTATCAAATGACTGTTGCATACTGCTAATGGGCACCTGGGTAGTATCGTGTAGCATCACTGGACATGTGCTCCTTAGTCAAGAAAGCAGACTTTTTCTTTTTTTTTGGAAATAGAGTCTTGCTCTGTCACCAGGCTGGAGTGCAGTGGCACAGTCTTGGCTGACTGCAATCTCTGCCTTCTGGGTTCAAGCAATTCTCCTGCCTCAGCCTCCTGAGTAGCTGGGACTACAGGTTTGTGCCACCATGCCCAGCTAATTTTTTTTTGTATTTTTAGTAGAGATGGTGTTTTACCATGTTGGCCAGGATGGTCTCGATCTCTTGACCTCGTGATCTATCCACCTCGGCCTCCCAAAGTGCTGAGATTACAGGCATGAGCCACCGCGCCGGCCAGGAAGCAGACTTTTTCATGAAATCTAAGCTGTGTTAATGAGCTATCAACCTGTATTGAGGTAAGTATCTGCAGTCTATCAGAATCACTTGTTTCCAGTGTAAAGAATCTTTGCCAGTCTCCCCTTGCCTATGGGAGTACTAGTGGTGATGTGAGGGTTGACATAAAAGAGAGAATGATATTTTCTGTAGCATATTTGCAAATTCTAGGATTATTTGCATGTGTCTATAGCTGGGATTTCACTGTCTAGGCTGAAGGCTTTGTGAGGCCAAAAATAGTACCTGTGTTATAACAGGGAAAAATGCCCCTTTTGAAAAGCACTCAGTGGGATCTGAGACTCTGGTTAGGCAAAGTCTATACAAGGCCATTTGACGTGGAATAAGGATCAGCATCTATCATTGTCTTTTCTTCTATCAGTTACTGGAATGCTGTGCAATTATAAGCATTCTATAACTTAAGTACCTACACTAACATCCAGTTGGATTGCATAGACAGAAACATTTGACCATTCTAATTTACATAAATTATTTGAATATTATCACTGCAGAGCTTGCTTCAACTGTATTCTCCTATGGAAAATCTAAACCATGTAGGATTATCTTTTTTGCCTTTAGTGAATGTAACTTTTAAACATATATTGTTGTATTTTTCTTATACCTGTTGGAACAGATTAGTTTGGGACGTACTACATATACTATATTCTGTAAGCTTCATAGTCTTATAAAATATGGTTTTTCCATCATTCTCAGCAAACTATCGCAAGGACAAAAAACCAAACACCGCATGTTCTCACTCATAGGTGGGAATTGAACAATGAGAACACATGGACACAGGAAGGGAAACATCACACACCAGGGCCTGTTGTGGGGTGGGGGGAGGAGGGAGGGATAGCATTAGGAGATATACCTAATGTTAAATGATGAGTTAATGGGTGCAGCACACCAACATATGTATGTTGGTACAATATATGTATACGTATGTAACAGACCTGCACGTTGTGCACATGTACCCTAGAACTTAAAGTACAATAAAAAATAAATAAAATAAAATATGGTTTTTCTTTGTTTAAAACTAAAGAGTTAATAGATACTATAGATTGGGGAAAGGAATAACTTCAGTTTGCTCTATTGTATGTCTCATTACCAAATGTGTGTATGTGTAAATCATTGACATGCATAAGCAATCACATATTTTTCTGACAAAGCAGCAGAGCAACTTGATTTTAAATATTCTGGGAGGCGATTTGACTGGATAATCAATCTTAGATATTAAATCCATAATTGCTTAGTGATTAAACACATTCAACATGAATGTTAGGTAATGAATTTTGATCATTTTTTGGACTACCTCTGATTCATCACCAAATATTTCACTGTGAATAAGCAAACACATTTGGAATATGTTTTTAAGTCATCTTAAAGGACTGAATTATTATATTGGAGAATTACGTGAGCATGATCTATAAGCAGCTTTTTCTTTTGAAAACATAATTTTCAAAATTTCTTGTTCCATTCTTCCTTTTACTTTTTTCTACTTTTATGCTAGAAAATAAAGCATCTCTATTTTAAAAAGTTATTGTGTACAGTATAAAAATGCTCTAGGCCGGGTGCAGTGGCTCACGCCTGTAATACCAGCACTTTGGGAGGTCAAGGCAGGCAGATCACCTGAGGTCGGGAGTTTGAGACTAGCTTGACCAACATGGAGAAACCCCGTCTCTACTAAAAATACAAAAATTAGCTGAGAGTGGTGGCAGGCACATGTAATCCCAGCTACTCAGGAGGCTGAGGCAGGAGAATCGCTTGAACCCAGGAGGTGGAGGTTGCAGTGAGCCGAGATCGAACCACTACACTCCAGCCCGGGCAACAAGAGCGAAACTCCGTCTCAAAAAAAAAAAAAAAAAAAAAAGTGCTCTAATCTTTGCAATGGTAGCACCCACTTTGCTATGTTGATTACAAGTTTTTGGAAATCTCCAGAACTTGTAGGGGGAGAATTTAGGGAATAAATGAAAGTGATTTTAGTTGTGTCCAGTATTTATGTTGCTGATAAGCGTGTACTTATTTTACCAAAGGTCTTTTAGAAGACCAAAGATTGAATGTAAACTAAATTTGTAAAATACAGACAAAGGCCAAAAGGTAGAGATATCTAACCAAAGTCTTAGTATCCACATAATGTAATGATCATTGACAAGGTAAACGTTTAGTAAGACACTAAATGAGTACCAAGAGACTGTTGTGGCGGTTGCAGTGTCTAGAGGGTTGCGATGGAAGCTCTTGTGCTGTCAACTTAATGCCTGTTGGGGCATCCCTAACTGGGGTCACCTCACACTTGTCTAACCCCAGAAGAACAATGGAGTCGAGTGTGTGGCCACCTTGTTTGAAAGTGTAAAGGAAAATTTAAATTGATGGGACCACAATCATAAAAAAAAAATAAAGTTAATGATTTTAGAATCATGACCCCTAATCATATATATTATTGTATTTTTCTTCTCTGGAACAGAAACAGTTTAATAGAAACAACTATTTAGGAGTGTTTTTTACTGTTACAGAGTTTAATGTGAGAGACCAAGTTTGTGTATGGTTGTGTGTCTGTGTGCGTGTGTGTGCATTGTGTGTGTTTTAGCCAGCTAGCTGCTTTTTTTTTTCAATTGTAATGTTGTTGATCTTAGGCAATATGAACAGCCTCTACAGCTTTGAAGAGATAAAAAGATTATTTAGGTGCTGTGCTGTGTTGTTAGTAATAATGAAGTAATGCTATGTTCCTAGAAAAGAGTACCTTGATTATGAGGACACATTTCTGTGTTCCGATTACAGGAGAATATGATGAACGTGGCTGTTTTAAAACCAACTGATTACCACTGCTTTTAGAAAGGAGACACTTGTCTTTGTCCTTTTATTGTGATAATCTGGTGCTCTAATTTCTGATAGAACTGTTATGTTGCAGTGTGTGAAGCAGATGTGTCTAGTTTGCTAAGGAGAAGTAGAGAAAATTGCTTAGAATAAAAAAATGAGTGGTACCTTCTCTTTCTATGATGATGTGGAACAAGCCTCTAAGAACTCTTGAGTTTTGGTGCACAAAGGGACTAGTGATTATCCACCAAGCACCATTCTAATAAATACTGGATGAGCCTCAATGCTTACGATACAAGGATAAGAATCAATTCAACTGTTTGGTTTGCATAGTAGAACATAACTGATTTCTGCCTAGAAAAATTGTATCTTCATTAACTCTCTGACCATTGTGCTAGAGAATAAGTGTTTGCTTAGACAATGTTTAGGAAACTCAAAGTAGTTAAATATAAGATGTTAACTTGAGTTCTGATATTGTTTTATACTGGTAACTATTTTCTTTTAGTCTGGATATAAATTTTAATAAAAGTTGAGGAAGCTTGTTTTTCCAAAAGATGACTTGATTTTGTATTTTTGAAAACATAGCCCATGATGTAGTAAACTTGCATGTTTTTACTACTTTTTACTCATATCTGCACCTTGTTACTGCCAAGGATGAACTTTAATGGGATCTTTGCTTGTGTATATTTGTTTTAATAAAAGTTATATGTGTACACATGTGTATATATGGAAAAAGATGAATATGATTTTATGTCATTATTTTCAAGGTGGACAGTTTGTTTTTCCTGTTATTTGTTGGAAATTAAACAAAAGTTGGTTAAGAATGGAAGGTTGCTGGGTGTGGTGGCTCATACCTGTAATCCCAATGACCCAGGAGGCTCAGGTGGAAGGATCTCTTGAGGCCAGGAATTTGAGACCAGCCTGGATGACAACGAGACCCTGTCTCTTAAAAAGCAGAAAATTAGCCAGTAAAGATGAGATGTACCTACAGTCCTGGCTACTTAGGAGACTAAGGTCGGAGGACTGCTTGAGCCCAGGAGTTTGAGCTGCAGTGAGCTATGATTGCACCACTGCACTCCAGCCTGGGCCGGAGAGCAAGACCGTTTTTCTAAAACAATGGCAACAACAAGAAAGATGGAGGGTGGTTTTATAATTACTTAATATATGCATTTGTTTATAGACAATAGGCCTGTCTCTTTGGTTTTGGCATTTTTCTCAGCAGAATTTAAATTAGTTATTCATATGTGTTCATGTGCATACCTACGTTATAATATGTGTATTATATTGTTATATTCTAGTCCATCATGGAATGGAACTGAACATAATTGAACATTGCTTCATTTTGATATATGTAACCAACAAACGCTGTTCTATTCTAAGTATAAATTTATTGCCCAAATCAAATGTGTTTCTGCAAAAAGAAAAACAAAAAAGTCCCCCCAGAAAACATTTCTTGGTCAGTATATATGCATGGGATGGAATTCTTTATTTCTTGCAACTTCTGGAGGAAAAAGACAGCCTATCTTCTTGACCTTTGCATGGCCATGTTGTAGAATCATTCAAGGAACATTAGGGGGCATGGTAATGCCAATCCCTTCATTTTACAGACTGTGAAAATAAGATTCACAAAAATTAAGCATCTTGTCCATGATCTATTAGAGTTAGTAGAAGAGATAAGTCTGAACCATGAGCTCCTGTATTCACTAAAAATTTAGATAATATTGGATCCCTTGGTTTTCCAGAAACGGTGCTCGGTGATGGGGAGAAAGTGATGAACACAGCATGTATTATCCCAAGTGCTTCCCATGTAGCAGGAAGGGGACAGAACACACCTAATGAGAATGTAGTGCAGCTGCTAACATCAGCAAAAGAGACAACTAGATGCAAATACACACCACCGTCTAGGAAGTAGTCTCCTCTTCCTAAAACTCAAACCTGAATCTGATTTAACTAGAAATTTTCAGGAAATGCAGGGAGCAAGAAAGCATACTAGACAACATCGCAGGAGACAATCAGCAAAATCCAAACTCTACCCAAATCTTTAGTACAAAGAAACCACTCTAACAAGTATTTGAAAGAAAAAAAGATAGAGGAGGGAGCAAAGATTAAGAGACATATCAATTACTTTGTAATGAATGGGTTTGTTTAAGACAACTGTGCTTTTAGAAATTATATAGTACAGAGGAAAAATGCAAATACATGTATGAAAAGGAACTCGGTGTAGGTTACAGGTGGGACTTCATTTTAATGATTGAAGATAAGTGTCATTTATTTTTTTGGATAATGTGGGTAAAACTGACTAACTCTAAAAAATTAAGTTGGATTCCTTCTTCTGACCACATACAAAATAGAGATGGATTAAAGACATAAATCTGTGAAGATATATTAACGACATTGATAGGACAGTCTCCTCTATTTAAGAAACACATGGAACTCAGCAACAGCAGATAAACAGTTTTCTCAAGTCCACATGGAACATTCTCCAGGATAAACCACACATTCGGCCATAAAACAAGTCTTAATAAATTTAAAAAGGTTAAAATAATAATACAAAGTATCCTTTCCAACCACAGTGGAATGAAACTAGAAATCAGTGGCAAAGGAACACTGGAAAATACGCAAATATGTGGAAATTAGCACACTGTTAAACAGTAGGTCAGAGAAGAAATCACAGGAAAATTAGAAAATAGTTTGAGACAAAATAAAAATGAAAACAACCTACCAAAACTTCTGGGATGCTGTGAAAACGGTGCTGAGAAGGAAATTTGTAGCTGTACATACCTACAGTAAAAAAGAAGAAAGATCTCAGATGAACAACCTAAACTCACACCTCGAAGGAATAGAAAACAAACAAACTAAACTCAAAGCTAGCAGAAGAGGGAAATAATAAAGATTAGATCAGAAATAAGCTAGGGAATAGAAAACAATAGAGAAAAGTCAATGAAACTGAGTTGATTTTTCAAAAAGATCAACAAAATTGAAAACTTTTAGCTAGAATGACTAAGATACAAAGAGAGAAGACTCAAGTAACTAAAATTGAAAGTGAAAGAGGGGATATTATAACCAATTTAACAAAATTAAAAGGGCTTATAGGAGAGTACTGTGAAAAATTGTGCATCAACAAATTGAATGGCCTAGATGAAGTGTTCACATTTCTGGAAACATATGACCTACCAAGACTGAATCAGATTAGAGTCATTCATTGTCTTCGTCTGTTGTTGTGTTACTATAAAGAAATATCTGAGACTCTTTAGTTTAATTAGACCCCATTTGTCAACGTTGGCTTTTGTTGCCATTGCTTTTGGTGTTTTACCCAAAGGAATATAAATCATGCTGCTATAAAGACACGTGCACACGTATGTTTATTGCAGCACTACTCACAATAGTAAAGACTTGGAACCAACTCAAATGTCCAACAATGATAGACTGGATTAAGAAAATGTGGCACATATACACCATGGAATACTATGCAGCCATGAAAAATGATGAGTTCCTGTCCTTTGTAGGGACATGGATGAAGCTGGAAACCATCATTCTCAGCAAACTATCACAAGGACAAAAAACCAAACACCGCATGTTCTCATTCATAGGTAGGAACTGAACAATGAGAACACTTGGACGCAGGAAGGGGAACATCACACACCAGGGCCTGTTGTGGGATGGGGGGAGGGGGGAGGGATAGCATTAGGAGATATGCCTAATGTAAATGATGAGATAACGGGTGCAGCACACCAACATGGCACATGTATACATATGTAACAAACCTGCACGTTGTACACATGTACCCTAGAACTTCAAGTATAATTAAAAAAAAAAAATCTGAGACTGGGTAATTTTAAAGAAAAGAGGCTTACGTGGCTCACGATTCTGCAGGCTGTAAAAGCGGCATGGTGCCAGCATGTGCATCTGGTGAGGGCCTCAAGCCTCCTCCATTCATGGTGGAAGGGGAGCTGGTGTGGGCAGATCACAAGGGGAGAGAATGGAGGTGAGGGGTGGGGGGATGCGTGGAGGCGCTAGACTCTTTGTAACATAAAAAGACCAATCAACATAATAGTGTCTAAATAATTGCTGATGCATACTTTTAAAATTAATAATCATCAATGAAAATTTCAGATTATTTTAATGTAAACATGTTAAAGTTTTCCTCTTACTTTTTTGGACCTGAATTCTATAAACCAATAGAAAATATAAAATGTATATTAGAAAATTTGATGGTAACTACTAGACAAAAAAAAAATAGCATAATAAAACAACAGCAATAACAGCCAAAGAAATAACGGAAATTCATTCAATCCAAATCAGTAGGGAAAAAAGTAGGGGGAAATGAAAACAGAAATTCTTGTTCTGCTTTGAGCACTTTTGGTCAAGCCATAAGTGCTCACCAATCAGACACGAAGGGGCCGACCAAGCTCCCGAACTGAGTTTTAAGAAACGCGCACCGTAGGAAAGATAGTCAAGAGGATGGATTTGTACGTGACATAGGCAGCCTTCAGAATTCACGGGAATTATGTTTGGAAGTTTCCTGGGCTGTAAAATGACCTGTCTGTTGCCTACAGAATCGGCGTTTTATTGTTATTTGGATTCTAAGGAGAAATGCCATTCCTGAAAACTGGAAAAAATATTTGGCTATGAGTTGATGAAGTTTTCAGAAATGTGTGTAGACTGCTGTAACTTTTAATCCACCTACCCAGTCTTTTTCCTGATTACAAATGAGAGAAAAAAAACGGAGCAAAATAAATAATAATTTCAACAAAGGTATTACCTCCTTTAAAGGTGAGAATCTGGGAACTCAATTATTAAGTACCATAATGGCTCACACAAAAATAGGTGCTCTTCAGAGGCTCTTGAAAGAAATGTCTTCTGTCAGAAAATTTTCTCCCAGCATCTTAAAAATACACAAATTTTCTTGTGATAACCATATCATAAGCATCTGCCCTACTCCAAAACTGTCCATAGAAACTGAAAGGTCATGAAGGACTGTTGAAAGTATTGGTGGTTGCTAAGGTTATTAAGTAAGAAATCCTAATGGGCTGCTGGCATTTCAGGAGGACTCTTTCCTACCAAGACTCATTATCTCAATATAACCTTTTCTGATGATAAAGAAATTTAAAAACCACGTGTGCTCATATTGGTGGAATAAACATTGATGAATAAGCTAATAAGAATGCAAGACAAGAAAAAATTTTCTTTCTGAGAATTATTGATAATAAACATTTAAAAGCATCTTCACTTTTGAGGAAAGAAATGCAAAAAAGTGCATAATTTGATTTAGAAAAATTATTTTATCCCTTGAAAACCTCTTCATTTTTGCTACTCATTTAGCATCGTGTTTTGAATCTTTTCAGAGGTAAGTGTACTTGAATCTATGATATCATTTAACGTTTTTAATCAGACTTTAAAAAATAAACATAAGAACTGTATTGGGTTTAAATCTACACATTTAGCAAAATTTTAAGAAATATGAATGATTTATAACCAGGCTGAGCTAGGTGCTAGAGACATAGAAGCAAAGAAGACATTTTCTCCATGTTCCAGGAGTTTATAGTTTAGTGAGATGACAGAAATAGAATAAGGAATTCATTTGACTGAAATTGCATTTTGTTCACAGTATGAAGTATGTAGGCGAACATGAAAAGGAAGTTTTCAGAAAGGGTAACATGTAAGCCAAGACTCCAAGCAGGAGCGATCTGGTGACCTTCTGAGGAATGATGCCTTTATTGTGATTATCCTTTATGTTAGCTCTTTATTTTATTTCAGCTTAACAAGGTTTATTGGAAAAAGAACTGTGGACACAAATCTAGTTTAGGGATCGCCTGGAGACGATGGGACCCTATAAAATTAAGATTAAGGATATATACATTTTACCTCCTTAAAGTGATGCACTTATCCTGGTTTAAACTTAAATTTAGAAATACTGAGTTCCTTTTAATTGTTGACATAGGTCCATTTCAGAGAGCATTTTTAAAATTAGAGTCATTCATTGTCTTCATTTGTTGTTGCGTTACTGTAAAGAAATATCTGAGACTGGGTAATTTATAAAGAAAAGAGGCTTAGGCGTCTCATGATTCTGCAGGCTGTAAAAGCAGCATGGCGCCAGCATGTGCATCTGGTGAGGGCCTCAGGCCTCCTCTATTCATGGTGGAAGGGGAGCTGGTGTGTGCAGATCACATGGGCAGAGAAGCGGGGTATGTGGGGAGGTGCTAGACTCTTTTTTAACAACCAACACTCAGGTGAGCTCTCTCCAAACCTACTAGAGCAGGTCACCCAGGGGAGTGCAGTGGCACGATCATTGCTAACTGCAGTGTCAACCTTCCGGGCTAAAGTGATCCTCCTGCCTCAGCCCCCCAAGTAGGTGGGACTATAGACACATGCCACCACACCCAGAACTAGCACAGGAATATACCAGGAAAGCCAAGATCATCCACAGACTATATGAAGAAGGTGGATCTCCACTACAGGCTCCCTGAGACACTGAAAAACTGTGAGTCTGCTTGCTTTCCAAGAGGGGAGGCTGGTGGTCTGGGACAGGTTCTCAGTCCTGGCTACCAGCTGCCCAGAAGTAGACGTGGTGCTGTTGGGGGTTCACGATGGAAGTGAGACCAGCCTTTAGGACTGCCAGCTGCGTGGGTGTGAGGTGAGGCCCGTGACTGCTGGCTTTCCCCAACTTCCCTGGCGACTTGTATGACTCAGCAAAGGTAGCCATAATCCCCCTGGGACTATAACTCCATTGGACTGGGAACCACACTCTCATCCCCCACAGTAGCGGCAGCAAGCCCCACCCAAGGAGAGGCTGAGCTCAAACACGCCTATCCCTGCCCTCACCTGTTGGTCTTTCTCTACCCGCTCTGGTTACTAAGACAAAGGTCATCCTCTCTTAGGAGGTCTATGGCCCTGCCCACTGCATGGGAAACCTGAATACTTAGCCAGGTCCCCCTAGGGCAGGTCCGCATCCTCCCTATAAGACTGCAGCTGATGTGCTCTTGAAAGCACCACCTCCTGGCTGGAGGCCAACCAACACAAAACCAGTGCACTCAACAGAAGCACAACCAACACAAAACCAGCGCACTCAACAGAAACACAACCAAGGAGCCTCACGGAGTCCTCGTCACTCCTTTGCTACCTCCACCAGAGCAGGTGCTGGTATCTGCGGCTGCAAGACCCGAAGATGGATGACAAGATGGATGGAAGAGTCACGGGGCTCTTTGCAGACACTCCCAAGTACCAGACTGGAGCCTGGTAGCTCCGCTGCGTGGCTAGACCCAGAAGAGCAAGCACAGTCCCTACAGTTCAGCTCTCAGGAAGCCCCATTCCTAGGGGAAGGGGGAGAAAACCACATCAAGGGAGTCCCCCATGGGACAAAAGAATCTCAACAGCAGCCCTTGAATCCCAGATCTTCCCTCTGACATAGTCTATCCAAACGAGAAGGAACCAGAAAAACAATTCTGGTAATATGACAAAACGAGGTTCTTTAACACCCCCAAAAGATCACATCGGCTCACCAGTGATGGACCGAAACAAGACAAAACCTCTGAATTGCCAGAAAGATAATTCAGAAGGTCGATTATTAAGCTAATCAAGGAGGCACCAGAGAAAGGTGAAGTCCAACTTAAAGAAATCAAAAACACTATAAAGGATATGAAAGGACAATTCTTCAGTGAGAGAGATAGCATACATAAAAAACAATCACGGCTGAGCATGGTGGCTCACACCTGTGATCTCAGCACTTTGTGAGGCCAAGGCAGGCAGATCAGGAGGTCAGGAGTTCGAGACCAGCCTGACCAATATGATGAAACCCCATCTCTACTAAAAATACAAAAATTAGCTGGATGTGGTGGCACACACCTGTAGTTCCAGCTACTCAGGAGGCTGAGGCAGGAGAATCTCTTGAGCCTGGGAAGCAGAGGTTGCAGTGAGCCAAGATTGTGCCACTGCACTCCATCCTGGGTGACAGAGTGAGACTCTGTCTTAAAAAAAAAAAAATCACAACTTCTGGAATTCAAGGACACACTTAGAGAAATGCAAAATGCACTGGAGAGTCCCAGTAATAGAATTAAACAAGCAGAAGAAAGAACTTAAGAGCTCAAAGACAAGGCTTCGAATTAACCCAATTTGTCAAAGACAATGAAAAAAGAATAAAAAATGAACAACGCCTTCAAGAAGTTTAAGACTAAGTTAAATGTCCAAACCTAAGAATAATTGATGTTCCCAAGGAAAAAGAGAAGTCTAAAAGTTTGGAAAACATATTTCGGGGAATAATCAAGGAAAACTTCCCTGGCCTTGCTAGAGACCTAGACATCCCAATACAAGAAACTCAAAGAACACCTGGGCAAAATTCATCGCAAAAAGATCATTGCCTAGGCACATTGTCGTCAGATTATCTAAAGTCAAGACAAAGGAAAGAATCTTAAGAGCTGAGAGGCAAAAGCATCAGGTAACCTATAAAGGAAATCTTATCAGATTAACAGCAGATTTCTCAGCAGAAACTCTACAAGCTAGCAAGGATTGGGGTCCTATTTTTAGCCTCCTTAAACAAAACAATTATCAGCCAAGAATTTTGTATCCAGTGAAACTGAGCTTCATAAATGAAGGAAAGATAATGGCCTTTTTTAGACAAACAAATGCTGAGAGGATTTGCCACTACCAAGCCAGCACTACAGGAATGCTAAAAGGAGCTCTAAATCTCAAAACAAATCCTCAAAATAAACCAAAATAGAACCTCCTTAAGGCATAAATCTCACAGAACATATATAATGATAACACAATGAAAAAAAAAACAAGGTATTTAGGCAACAAATAGCAAAATGAATAGAATAGTACCTCACACCTCAATACTAACATTGAATATGAATGGCCTAAATGCTCCACTTAAAAGATGCAGAATGGCAGAATGGGTAAGAATTCACCAACCAAGTTTCTGCTGCCTTCAGTAGACTCATCTAACACATAAGGACTCACATAAACTTAAGGTGAATGGGGTGGAAAAAGATATTCCACGCAAATGGACATCAAAAGCAAGCAGGAATAGCTATTCTTATATCAGACAAAACAAACTTTAAAGCGACAGCAGTTAAAAAAGACAAAGAGGGACATTATATAATAAAAGGATTAGTCCAACAGTAAAATATCACAATACCAAACATATATTTACCTAACACTGGAGCTCCCAACTTTATAAAACATTTACTACTAGACCTAAGAAATGAGATAGACAGCAACACAATAATAGTGGGGGACTTCAATACTCCACTGACAGCACTAGACAGGTCATCAAGACAGAAAGTCAACAAAGAAACAATGGACTTAAACTGTACCCTAGAGAAAATGGACTTCACAGATATTTACAGAACATTCTACCCAACAACCGCAGATAGACGTTCTATTCATCAGTATATGGAACATTCTCCAAGATAGACCATATGATAGGCCACAAAACAAGGCTCAGTAAATTTAAGAAAATCAAAATTATGTCAAGTACTCTCTGAGACCACAGTGGAATAAAACTGGAAATGAACTCCAAAAAGAGTGCTCAAAAGCATGAAATACATGGAAATTAAATGACCTGCTCCTAAATGATTGTTGGGTCAACAATGAAATCAAGATGGAAATTGAAAACTTCTTTGATCCAAACGATAATAGTGACACAACCTATCAAAACCTCTGGGATACAGCAAAAGCAGTGCTAAGAGGAAAGTTCGTAACATTAAATGCCTACATCAAAAGGGCTGAAAGAGCATAAACAGACAATCTAAGGTCATACCTCTTGGAACTGGAGAAACAGGAACAATCCAAACCAAAATCCAGCAGTAGAAAAGAAATAAGCAAGATCAGAGCAGAACAAAACAAAATTGAAACAAAAAACTACAAAAGATAAATGAAATAAAAAGCTGGTTCCTTGAAAAGATAAATAAAATTGATAGACCATTAGTGAGATTAACCAAGAAAAGAAGAGGGAAGATCCATATAAGTTAAATTAGAAATAAAACAGGAAATATTACAACCGATACCACAGAAATACAAAAGATCATTCAACGCTACCATGAACACCTTTATGCACATAAACTAGAAAACCTACAAGAGATAGAAAAATTCCTGGAAATATGCAACCCTCCCAGATTAAACCAGGAATAAATAGAAACTCTGAACAGACCACTAACAAGCAGCAAGATTGAAATGGTAATAAAAAAATTACCACCAAAAAAAGTCTAGGACCAGATGGATTCACAACTGAATTTTATCAGACATTTAAAGAAGAATTGGTACCAATCCTATTGACACTATTCCAAAAGATAGAGAAAGAGGGAGTCCTCCCTAAATCATTCTGTGAAGCCAGTATCACCCTAATACTGAAACCAGGGAAGGACATGACAAAAAAAGAAAACTACAGACAAATATTCCTGATGAACATAGAAGCAAAAATCCTCAGCAAAATACTAGTAAATCGAATCCAATGGCATATCAAAAAGACAACCCACCATGATCAAATAGGTTTCATGCCAGGGATGCAGGGATGGCTTAACACAGCGTAAGTCAATAAATGTGATACACCATATAATAGAATTAAAAACAAAAATCACATGATCATCTCAGTAGATGCAGAATAAGCATTTGACAAAATCGAGCATCTCTTTATGATTAAAACCCTCAGCAAAATCAACATAGAGGGGACATATTTTAAGGTAATAAAAGCCGTCTATGACAAACCCACAGCCAAAATTATACACGAATTCAAAGATTCTCGCACAGATGAAGGAGTCAGGAAACAGCACCTTGGAGCTACACTGCAGCGCGATCTATGCTGCAGATTGAGTTCCCCAAGAGAGAAAGTCTAGTGTGCAAGAAATCTTCCTAGAAGTGTGCTCAGGCTAAACACATCAGGGGACTGTGCATTGAATTCAGTTGCAATGACATCACACAAAGGCCTTCATTGACCCCACAGGGAGTTCTGGAGCAGAAACAGATATTTAGAGTTGTCTCAAATTGTGCCAAGGGGTCCAGGCCTTTATAACCCAGCAGTCATGGGACATGGGGTGCTCTCTCGGGAAGAAGGCATGATCTCAGGTGGTGCAGCTCTCCTTAAGCTAGGGCATGGCCTAGAAAAGGACTCAGCTAGGAAGTGTGAGCTGTGGATACTCCCAGAAGCTAGGGGGTGAGTGCCTTGGTCTTAGAGGAGGGCCTCTCTCCAGAGCGTAACACAATACCCCCTGCAGTCCACCCCTTGCTCCATGCAGATCTGTCTGCCACCGACAGGCTCTGGAAGCAGCTCCTACAGAATTCTGCTGGGCTTCCTTTCTGAGGAGAACTCCAGGATAGCGGGATGAAATGCATTGACAACCACTGGAGCTGGTTTTCAGGCAATAATTCACCAACTCCCTCTTCCAAGAGCCATTTCAGACCCTCCTTACCCTCAGCTGGCACTTCTTTTTGTTGCAGTAATTACCTGATAAGGTGACCCTGAGCCTCCTCCCTGAAGGGTCTGAGCCTCTGGTCACCATGGCCTTCTTGAACCATAGCTGCTGCACTTGTTCATTTACTGTAAAAATTGAACGAGGATGTATAAAAATATGCCCAGGTGGATCATCTCTGTGTCAACTCTATTTTACCTGCCTGCAGTGTAACAGTGGCCCTATGTCTACCTGTTGATCAGAAACAATTGCCCCTGCAAACCCCTCTCCTTCCCTGGTCGTCTCATCTAGATGTATGTCTGCATGTGTATGTATAGTTGTATTATTGCGGTAAGGTAAACACAACCTAGGATTGACCATTTTAACCATTTATAAGGCACAGCTCTGTAGCATTAAGAACATTCCAGTATTGTGGGACCATCACCACCATCCATCTCCAGAACATTTTTGTCTTCCCCAGCTGAAACTCTGTACCCATTAAACACTTACCACCCCTTCCTGGCACCCCACAACCCTTGGAAATCTCCATCCTGCTTTCCATCTCTGTGAGTTTGACTACTCTACGTATTTTATGTAAGTGGAATCATACAGCATTTGTATTTTCTTGGTGGGCTCTTGACCCCGGAGTCTAAAGGGACACAGGTGGGACCCTGTCTGTGTCCTCTGGCAGAAGTTTCCCATTTGGGAACTAGTACATCTGCAGATCCTAGAGTTGCAGGTACAGAAACTACGTATTCCTCAAGTTTTCAGACATAATGGTAAGTGTTGTCATTCTACTTCCACCCTTTGGTTTCTGGACCCATGTATGTAATTTACTAACCCAAATCTAATAAATAATCAATTGTTTAAGAGGATACCGTGTCTCAGGGAATGATACCGTATCCATTCAGGTCACCGATCTCCACACTGGTGAATCAGTGGCGTCTTCAATAAGCCATTCCATTACTCTCTCAGGCTAGGGGTTTCTGGGTGGCAGGTATGCAACAGGACCAGTGGATTTCATGGTCATATACTGGCACCTTTTTACTGTAAAGTATGGTTTTTTGCTGTAAAGTGGGGCAATATTATTCCAGACCCTGTGTCAGTGGGATCAAGCATTCCGGAAAGTCCTCAGATGTTAGTGCCAGCTAATTGCCCTTAGGCAAGAAAGGGTGTATCTTGAGCATGTACCAATTTTAGTCAAGATGAATTGTGCCTTCCAAGCTCAAAAGACCATCAAGTGGCAGGTTAGAGTCCTCAAGGGATGGCGCCATATCAGGGTCTCAGTATCTGTCTCTCTTGAAAGCAGGCTGGATGTTCAGCAGCAGCAGTAGCTAGATTAGCCTTGGTGCACGGGAGCTCATGCCAGCAGGTCCAGGCATAGCCTCCCACCTTGCCACCACGGCTGCCCATTCATGTGCCTGTTACTCCTGAACATGAATAGCAGATGGCAGAGGCTGGCTGGTGTCAACCGGCCAAGTGATTCTCATTGGTAGTTTGGAACCTCTTCCCAGGTTGGCTCTCTGCTGGTGATTAATATGTGGTGCAAAGATCTGCACACTTTGTGCCCACTCTGAGGGCCATCCATTTGTCTCTTTCCCAGATCTCCTTATTCTCAGTCTGGTGCTTATTTTCTTCCAGCCCAATCAACCAACCAAACCATTTGCCACACAGATAGCCCATGAGCCTACGTATATTCCAAATTCCAGTCCCTTCTCTATCCACACAAAGTGGATGACTCATATTGGGAAGATTTCTCTTTATTGCTACAGTGGGGACAAGAATGACTTTATTTTAAATGGTAATCCACGTGACTAACCCTGAGTCTGGGAATGCCTCCAGAATGTCTAGTCAACGTGTGACTCTTTAGGTAGGAACACCTCTTCGTTGTAAGTGTCATGATGCCATAGCCACCTACATATTCCTTCTATGGCGCATACAGTTTTCCCCAAGATATAAGTCCTGGATCTGGGGGGTTGAGGTGTGAAGATGTACCTGTCTTGTGGCCACCCAAGATTACACTTCTGTCTGTCATTTCCTTCAATAAACCTCCTAATACTGACAACCTGGATCAGTTACTGTTCGGGACTACCTGTGATGGGCGGGCTGTAGGGCAGCTGCAATCCATTTTCTGCTTGCACCCACATATCAAGCCAATCATGTATGAACCAAGATCAGTCTTTGTTCTCCTCCATGAGCTGGTGGCCTCAAGCAGCCATAGGTGTGAGCTGAAAGGGTGGCACCCTGATTGCAACAGTCATGAATAACACAGAGCTCTGGGCTATCTGCTCTGAGAGTTTCCTTGTGCCTTGTGACCTGTTGATGCCCGATCCTGGAGGTATCACTTCCATGTCGTGGTGGAATGCTCCTAGGCCCACCTGACCTATGACTCAGTGAATCTGGCAGGAGCCAGCTTCTACAAGCAATTCTGGGAGCACTGTCATTGTCTCATGGCCAGTTCTCCGTGTTTGTCAGGGGCCACTAACATGTTAGGAGTTCTTTTGAAAAAAGCATATAGCTCTACACTGCAGACAGCATGGGTGTGCCCTAAACCCTTGGGGTCTATGTGTGATTCTCCTACTGGGACTTGCCATAAACTCTACATACTTCCCATCACACCAGAGATATTGCCATAGTGGTGCAAGCGGGGTTGTATGGCCCTGGAAGCAGAACCACTTACACTAAAGTCTGCAGCTGCCACCAGCCCATTTCTGCTCTAGAAACCACACAAAGGTGGCAGGTTGGTTGGTTGGTTTTTAATCAACGAATGTATGAGTTAGAGTAGCATTAGTATAAGGTAAGCTGCCTCCAGAATCTGAAGAGATCTGCCAGGAATTGTGTTTCCTTCCTAGAGGGGAGAGTTGCAAGATATAAATGTGTCCTCTGTGGCACAGATGGCCCAGCGTGTCTCAGGCCGCTGGACCGCTGAAATCTTCACTGACCTGGTGCTCTGGCATGCATGTGTACGATCAAATCATCCAATGTACTTGCCACTTCTTGCTCGTCTAGTCCGATTAACAGTATGCTTTTCAAATATTTACCGGTAATTGGGATTTCCTCATTTGTGAAATGCCTGCCCAGGGGTTTGTCCCATTTTTCTAATGGGTCACTTGCCTTTTCTCATTGATTTGTTGCAGTTGTTTCTACATGAGTCATTTGTCAGTTGTATTTGTTGCAAATAGCTTCTCTATTTTGTGCCTTGTCTTTATTTTATTTATGTTATTTTTATTTTTTAAGAGATGGGGTCTTGCCGTCTTGCCCAGGCCAGTCTCAAACTCTTGGGTGCAAGTGATCCTCCTGCCTTGGCCTCCCAAAGGTTATAGATATGACCTACTGTGATGGGTCTGTTCCTTATCTTTGTACTCTCTTTATGCTGTGAACAGATGTTCTCAATTTAATATGGTCAAACATGTTAATTTTTTTCTTTATGGTTAGTGACTTTGGTACCTTGTTAAAGAAAAAAAATTTCCCTACAATAAGATTATAATTTCCTATGTTATTTTCATGTAACAGCTTTATTATTTGCCTGTTGCATTTATGTATGTAATTCTGAGGTTGCTTTTTGTATAAAGACCCACTGTCTTTTTTGGTATGGATACCTACCCGTCATAGTGCCAATTATTCACAGGACTGTCCTTCCCCCTTTTTCCCAGCACCACCTTATCACAGATCAGATGTTCTGATGTCAAGTGTGAGGCTGTGACTGGGATTTCAATTCTGTTTTAGTCTTGTGCTAATTCCACTCTATCTTAATTCTTGTAGTTAATAAGTCTTGATGGCTGCAAGAAATAATTTCTCTACCTTCAAGAGTGTCTTGGTAAGTCTTGGTTCTTTGCATAGAATAAACTTGTCAAGTCCCCTCCCCCCTCAAAAAACTGTAACAATTTTAATTAAATTTTAATTGAATCTGTACACAATTTGCATCTTTGCAATATTGAGTCTCTAAGTCCATGAAGAAGCATGTCTCTTGATTTATGAACTTTTCTTTAATGTCACTCAATAAAGTATAATTTCCTCCCTATCTTCTATTAGATTATTTCTAATTACATGCCTTTGTTTTTGCTGCTCTTGAGTGTGTCTATTTAACATTTAATTTTTTTACTGTTGGCCTCATCAGGAAATTAAAATTGATCTCTGTATGTTAATTTTGCATCCAGTAAGCTGACTGAACTCTGTGGTTGTTTTTGTTTGCTTGGTTTTGTAAAATTTATTAAAGTTTAACAATCATATAGGAACATGTACCACTCATAAGTGTAGTGTTTGGTGACTTTCCCAGAGTGACCCTGCTGTGTAATTGGCATGCACATCAAGAAATAGAACATTCCTTAACATCCAGAAGCCTTCTTGTGTCTCTGCAGTCATCCCTACCATTTCCCACACATGTAATCAGTCTCGTTACTTCCATCAGCAGGGATTGGTTTCACCTGTTATTGGCTAGATTGACACGGAGCCATGCAGTACGCACCCTTTTGTGTCTTGTTTCTTTCACCCATGTTGTATGAACAAGGAGGTGAAAACTTGGGCGTGGTTCCTAGATGTTTGGAAGAAGGAAGCTGGCAGGAGCAGATTACTGCTGCGTCACAGCCCCACTCAGGGCACACTGAAGGGCAACGGTGAAGAGAAACGCTCCTGGTAAGCAGAATTCAAACAGTGCCCCTGATCGCCAACATCATGGGAAAGGAAAAGGGGCCTGAAACAAGGATAAACAGGGTATTGGGCAATTTCAAATAGTTTAGCTGGTTAGTTAAGGGCCTGGAAGAATTAAAATTGGAAAAAAAAGGCAAGGATGTCCAGGAAGCAGACATATGGTTGGACCCATGAGAGTAGGAACACAAAAAGCAAGGAAGACCCAAACCATCTGGTGGATTGGATGACTTGTTCAGAGGAGGCATCCTGCTTCTCCTCCAGCCGACCCTCGTGGTTGCACAGGGAGCGTATGGCGTGAGTATCTGTAGCGGTGGGAAGAGGGTCTCTGTGTGGGGGAGCGTATGGCATGAGTATCTGTAGCGGTGGGAAGAGGGTCTCTGTGTGGGGGAGCGTATGGCGTGAGTATCTGTAGCGGTGGGAAGAGGGTCTCTGCGTGGGCCTTACAGCATGGGTTCCCTGCCCTCCAGGCTGATCTAGCGACTGCCACTGCAGAATGCTTGCGTCGTCAGCAGCAGAGATGGATACTGAATCTTCACTGTGTACCAGCCCCCAAGGAGACCAAACCACCATGCCGTGTCGAGCTGATTACATTGGACACTTTTAACTGAGAGGGGGTATTGACATGTATTCCAGACATGCCTTCCCTACTGTGGTGCCTTTGCCAGCACTACCCAGTTTTCATCGAGTGCCAGAGTTATCATCATGGGACACTGAGTGAGATCTCTTTGCATCAAGGAATTCTCCTTATGCCCAAGGATGTGTGACAGGGGGAATAACATTGTCACATCACCCGGACCCTGCTGCCAAGACAGAATGTTGGAATGACCTCTGCTATGGGTGAATTGTGTCCTTCCAAGAGTAATATGTTAAGTCCTAATCTCCAGTAACTCAAAATGTGACTATATTTGGAGATAGGGCCTTTAAAGAGGTAATTAAGGTAAAATGAGGTCATTTGGGCCCTAATCCCAAATGATTGGTGTTCTTATAAGGAGGAAATTAGGGTACAGATAACACTCCTAGATGGAAGGTGACCATGTGAGGACACAGTGAGAAGGCAGCCACCTGCAAGCCAAGGAGAGAGGCGCCAGAAGAAACGAACCCTGCTGACACCCTGAGGTTGGACTCCAGCCTCCATATGCTGAGAAAATTAACTTCCATTGTTTAAGCCATCCAGTCTGTGGTATTTTGTTATAACAGCCCTAACACACTAATACAGCCTCTTAAAAGTGCTGCTGATACACAGGCTTGGAATGATATCCAGTGGAGCTGGGACTCTGACCTTCGAGGTGGGGACTGTACATAGAACCAATAGTCAGGATTTGGGGTTGGATGTTCAGTAGGTAGCAGGCAAGGCACAGGACCCAGCAGTGGAAGCAGGGATGTTCCTTCTCATGGTTAGATCCAGAGACCGACTCAGGGAATTGGTGCTCCCCATGCTGAAACTTCAGGCTCAGCTGCACTATAGCCCAGGAGGGAGATGCTTGCCCCAGAAAGAGGTAGAGGTTCTGCCAAACTTGAAGCTATGGCTGCTCTCTGGTCATTTGGAGCTCCTCATACCAGTAGACCATTGGGCAACAAAATGACTTCCTATACATGTAGGGTCTTATTGACTCTGATTATCATATGGAAAAAAAAGTCACCGGTACAAAACTGGGCTGGAAGGAGTATATCGGGAAGTTAGTATATTCACCAGGGAACCTGTTATTGCTGAATGTTCATTAATAACCATAAATGTGCAACTGCAGCAACCTTAGTCTCACAAGGACCTGGTCATCAGGGGTGAATATTGGGTTTTTCTGCCAAGTAAGCAACGTAAATCAGCACCAATGCTGACCAAAGGTGAGGGGATTTAGGATGAGTGGTGGAGGGCGGAAATGATGAGTATCACCTCTGGCTTTAAGACCAATCGCCACAGTAGGGACTATAGCTAGTCCCACTAACCCACCCACCCACCCTCCCTTCCTTTCTTCCTTCCTTCCATCCTTCTCTCCTTCCCTCCCT
Source organism: Homo sapiens (assembly GCF_000001405.40). Lineage (NCBI taxonomy): Eukaryota > Metazoa > Chordata > Mammalia > Primates > Hominidae > Homo > Homo sapiens. The sequence goes on along the minus strand of NC_000004.12, from coordinate 186,509,588 downwards.
CCTTCCTTCCCTTCTTCCTTCCTTCCCTTCCTTCCCTCCCTCTCTCCTTCCCTCTTTCCTTCCTTCCCTCCCTCTCTCCCTCCCTCTTTCCTTCCTTCCCTCCCTCTCTCCTTCCCTCTCTCCTTCTTTCCCTCCTCTCTCCTTCCTTCCCTCCCTCCCTCCTTCCTTTCTCCTCCTTCCTTTCTCCCTCCCTCCTCCCTCCCTCCCTTCCTCCCTCCCTCCTTTCCTTCCTTCCTCCCTCCCTCCCTTCCTTCTTCCTTCCAACAAATCACTTTGAAAAACTAAGGATGAGGCAAAATGAACTTACTGGAGCGGTTCACATACTGGAGGGTGTGTGAATGGACTGAAGTGATGCCAGAGGTGTAGCAGAGGACATCGATGCCTGCCCATAGTTCTTGGGCCTTATCATGCCAATTTACAGATGGATACTAAATATGATCAGTGAAAGAAGCCAGACACAAAAGACCACATATTACAGCTGAGTCTTGAACAACTCAGGGTTGTTCAAGGGTTTGAAATGTGCATGTCCACTGATAAGTGGAGTTTTTTTCTATACGAGTTGCACTGAGTATGCTGCCTCTCCTGCCTCTCCTCCTCTACTCTCCTGCCTCTGCCACCCGTGAGACAGCAAGACCAGCCCCTCCTCTTCCTCCTCCTCCTCAGCCTACTCACTTTCACTTATGAATGGTAAATGTATTTTCTCTTCCTGATGAGTTTCTTAATAGCATTTTCTTTTCTCTGGTTTATTTTATAATACAGTATCTAATATATACAACATTCCAAATACATGTTAATCAACTGTTTATGTTATCCGTAAGGCTTCCAGTCAACAGTAGGCTATTAGTAGTTAAGTCTTTGGAGAGTCCAAAGTTATATGAAGATTTTCAACTGTGCGAAAGGTTGGCTTCCCTAACCCCGTGTTGTTCAAGGGTCAGCTGCATATGATTGTATTTCTGTGAAATGTTCAGAATGGGCAAACACATAGAGACAGAAAATAGATTAGTGGGACAGGGAATGGGGAGTGACTGTTTAATGCTTAATTGTTTCTGGGGTGATGAAAATGTTCCGAAATTGATGGTGATGGTTGTAGAACATTGTGGATATATGTGAGAACACTGACTTGTACACTTTCAAATGGTTAAGACGGTGAATGTTATGTTATGTGAATTGTATCTTAACAAAAATGTCTATCCCATGAGGTTTTGGTAGAATTTGCTCATCTCTTCCTGGAGATTTTTAAAATTTTTTCAAGGCCTTTGATCTACTGAAGTTTTCTATACTTGAGACAATTTTGGTAACCTGTTTACTTAGATTTCTCCACATAAATGCTTGGTTCCTTTGTCTTATGGAAACACGAATCTGTTGATGGTTTTCTATTCCATTCCAGTGTGTTTTGGGCTACCCACAAACTGGCTAATATTATGGGTTTGTAATATGTCAATACTTGAATATGATGTTTTGGGTTTTGTAATTTAATCTGTAGTTTTAGGTCCAAATTATTTTAAAAATTGTGTGCCTTCTTTAAAGATTTAATATTTACCTTTTCTTTTAGTACTAGTTACAATAATTATATATTAGTGTATACATTTTTCATTCCACAGATTGCCTTTCTTCTTTCATATGTTTCCTGCTGCTAATTGTTCAGTTTGGTTCTCAAGACAGTTTTTAAGGGAGACGTAAGCATTGTTTCATAATTCTTGTTTAACTTTGTCTCCAACATTTGCACAGAAGACAGTTAGTTATGAAATTCATGGCCTATGAGTCTTTTCCTCTCTAAAAGTCTATAGAAAAGATTCTCTGTGCCTTGGCATTTATTGCTACAGGAGGAGGAATATGAGGCCAGCTTAATCCTCTAAAAGAAACTGCTCGTTTTCTGCCTTACTTTCTCAGGGTGCAATCCTTATCATTCTCATTCAGACTCTTCCAGGATGGATGTCTATCTTTACACAATTTTTCCTTTGCATATGGTGCACCATTTTAACTGAGGCATAGTGGTGTAGCTTCCTATGTGGAAAGTGTTCTTCTAATATCTAGATATCTTGATTTACATCCATATATAATTTCATACATATTATATACATCTTTTTTGCTTATTGCTTCTGTCACATTTGTTCTCAGCTTTCTGAAGGAACACCAGTTTTTTCCAAACATTGGCTCTCTTTTCTGTACATCATCTGTCATTTTCTGACTTGTTTTCATCTTTTCAGTCATTTCATATGCATTCTTCAGAAATTTTATTTTTCACATGACTGATTTGATTTTTTGCAGCATAATTCCTTTTTTCAATCTAATACTGGCAAGTTTTCGTTTAAGTTGCTTCTCTCCTTATGATTTTTCTTCTCTTCTTTCATGGTAATGGCCTGCTCTAGGGTGGAGTCCCAATCCCCACACTCTGATAGTCACATTCTTGTATGATTCCCTCTCCTTGAGTGTGGGTGGGACCTATGTCTTTTGTATAGCCAACAGAGTATGGCAAAGGGGCTGGGGTTTTGCTCCATGATATGCTATGTTCTAGAAGACTCTGGCTGGCTAGTCCACTCGCTCTAGAAACTCTTCTTGCTGGCTTGATGAAGTAGGTGCCCTGTGTGGCGAACAGCTGTGGGCAGCATCTAGGAACTGTAGGCGTCCTCAAGAGCCACAGGCAGCCTCTAGGAGCTGAAAGTGGCCTCAGGCACACAGTTGGATGAACACAGGGACCTCCATTCTGCAACCACAGGAAAACGAATGCCACTAACAACCTGAGTGTCGGAGCAAATGCTTCCCCATTTGCGCCTCAAGTGAGAATGCCGCCGGCTGACATCATGATTGCTGTCTTGTGAGAGCTGAAGCAGAGGACCCAGCTAAGCCTGATTCCTGATGCTTGCAAAATGCAAGGGAGTAGATGGGTGTTGCTTTAAGCCGTGAAGCTGGGAGCAATTTGTTATGGAGCAATGGATACCCAATACATTAATAGAGGATAAAATATCTTTAGGATACCAAGAAATTGTTGATATATTCTTCTGGATCTTGACAGAGATAACTTTCAGAGATATGCTCTTTTTTAGAGATTCCTAGATGATCCCCCATTTATTTTTTTCTGAAATACTAGCTTTTCCATGGATTCCATGTAGGTTACTCTCCACTTTTCTATCCTAGGATTTGTAGGTGCTGTCTAGGTGTTGAAAAGATGGGACTGGAAATGGGAGAAAGAAACCACCGTCTGTCATTTTCACATAGCAATACAGTAGAGAGAGATAACTCTACTATTTGGTCTGTGCAAGCTCTAAAAATTTGAGGCTGATGGAGGGAGGGCAGGAATAGAATTGGTGTGGAAAGGGCAATAATAGGGGCATGGATTGAGGAAGGGGATACAGACATACAGCTGACTTTTTTTTTTTTAAGAGATGGGGTCTCATTCTGTTGCCCAGGCTAGAATGCAGTGGCATAATCATAGCTCATTGCAGACTTGACCTCCTGGGCTGAAGCAATCCTCCTGTCTCAGCCTTCCAGATAGCTAGAACTACTGGTACACACCACTACACCTGGCTAATATATAGCTGATTTATGCATAAGTGTAGAGGTGCTTCAACTGTGGCTGAGGGAAGTTATTCTGTGCCATCCTATAAGAGATAGACAGCACTGAAAGATGACTAGCAGATAGAAGGCAAATAGAGAACCTGCTCACTGCAGCTTGGCAAGAGTTTAGAATGTTACAGAATGAACCATGGACCAAACAAAAATGACCAAAAGAATCTGCACAGGGGCCGGGCGAGGGGGCTCACGCCTGTAATCCCAGCACTTTGGGAGGCTGAGGCGGGCGGATCACGAGGTCAGGAGATCGAGACCATCCTGGCTAACATGGTGAAACCCTGTCTCTACTAAAAATACAAAAAATCAGCTGGATGTGGTAATGGGTGCCTGTAGTCCCAGCTACTTGGGAGGCTGAGGCAGGAGAATGGCATGAACCCGGGAGGCGGAGCTTGCAGTGAGCCAAGATCGCACCACTGCACTCCAGCCTGGGCGATAGAGTGAGACTCCATCTTAAAAAAAAAAAGAATCTGCACAGGTCTATCACCTGTCCACAGGAAAATCGTTAATTAGACCTAAGTGCACATTTACAAAAATGTATAAGCAAGTCATTATTGCATGCAAGCCTAAGCTGCATGGCAATAGTGATTTGGCCTCAGATGAAGAGGCCTGGATGTCAGGGGGAGCAGGTTAGATGTAAGGGTCTTGGAGAGTAGAATGAAGCAAAGCCCTCTGCTGACACTCCCAGTGGGCAGGCACCTCCTCCTCTCATTTCTGGGTTGGGTCCTGGATACATATAATTGCACTATGGGGTTCTTTTCTTCGGGGGGTGGGGACAGAGTCTCCCTCTGTCTCCCAGGCTGGAGTGCAGCGGCGTGATCTCGGCTCACTGCAATCTCCACCTCCCGGGTTCAAGCAGTTCTCCTGCCTCAGCCTCCCAAGTAACTGGGACTACAGGCACACACCACCATGCCCAGCTAATTTTTGTAGTTTTAGTAGAGACGGGATTTCACCATATTGGCCAGGCTGGTCTCAAACTCCTGACCTCGTGATCCGCCCGCCTTCGCTTCCCAAAATGCTGGGATTACAGGCATGAGCCACTGTGCCCGGCCACACTATGGGGTTCTTAAAGAAACCTTCTAAAATAGCATAAGTTTGATTCCTTTTATTAATTCTGTTCTCCAGAACCTTGGGCCGGTTGCTACAGGTACTTCGGTTTCAGAAAACAAACACTTTCAGCTTTTCCAAGTGGTCTGTTTCTGATGGACTGTCCTTAGGTAGGATGTGCTGAATTCTGGCCAAGATTTTTCTCAGGCAAGCTTCATCTTTGTTATTATTATCGCGAACACCATGCACAGTCTGACACTAGGTGGTCTGTCGTATGTTGTTAATGTTAACCTTGCCCCCCTGATTTTCTTGGCATTTTGGTTAGAAGTTAAAGGAAAATGGTTTGAGGATGTTAGCTGGATGTCAGCTGGATGTCTAGCATCCTCAAACCATTCTCCCTTCTTTATACACAGCAGCTGAGTAATAGGACTCAGCTGCCTTCTTTATACCATTGATGGTCCTTAAACCAGAACCATCAACGGTATAAAGAAAGCAGCTGAGTCCTATTACTGATTCTAATCTGGTTTATTGGACTGATTTAAAGGGATGGGCAGATATAGAGATACAGTGTGAACACAGTGATTTCTATCATGTTTGGGTGCTGAATCTTTAGAGGCACATACATAGATTCCTCCAGTGTCCTGATAAGAATGCCAGGGTAGCTCAGGGAGATGGATCGGAATGGGGAACAGCTGTTGAAGGCCCGAGCTACTGAGCTTGGAGGAGAAGATACTTGATTGGCATTTAATAGACTTCTTTTGGAAAAAAGTGAAGGCTACACAGGCAAGGTTTGTATCATATGGCTTCATGGAGCTAGTGAGTGAAATGTTATGAAGAGCAGAAGCCTTTGACAGAATTGCAGCCAAACAGATAAAAATGTAGGCCATGGTGATTAATTTCATGTCTCAACTTGGCTGGATCACTGTACCCAGATATTTGGTCAGACGTTATTCCAGATGTTTCTGTAAGGATATATTTAAAATGAGACTAACATTTAAATCAGTAGGCTTTGAGGAAGCCAATTCCCCTCCATTATGTGGGCAGCCTTCATCCAGTCAGTTGAAGAAGGGCTTAAGAGAAAATCGACCGCCCTCTGAGAAAAGGGGATTCTGTCAGCAGGTGGCCTTCAGACTTGAACTGCAGAACCAGATCTTCCCTTAAAATACATCTCTTTAGGCTGGGCACAGTGGCTCATGCCTGTAATCCCAGCACTTTGGGAAGCCATGGTGGGAGGATTGCTTGAGCCCATCTGAGACCCGTCTGGGCAACACAGTGAGACCCCATCTCTAAAATAAAAGTATTAAAAAATAATTAAAAATTATTTCAAAAAACTCTCTATATGTGCATGTGCACACACACACACACACACACACACACATTGTGTTAAGGCTCTCCAGAGAAACAGAAGCAATACAATGTACAGAGAGAGAGAGAGATCTATTTTGAGGAATTTGCTCACAAGACTGTGGAGGCTAGCAAGTCCAGCATCTAGAATGGGCCAGCAGGCTGGAGACCAAGAGGCACTGCTGCAGTTAACGCTGGCAGCCATCTGCTACGGAAGCACGTCTTGTTTGGGGGATATCAGCCTTTGTTTCATTCAGGCCTTCAGCTGCTCAGATGAGCCCCCCCAACATTATGGAGGGAAGTCTGCTTTACTCAATGTTCACCCATTGAAACGTCAGTCTCATCCAAAAACACCCTCACAGGAATATCCAGAATAACATTTGACCAAATATCTGAGCATCCTGGTGCAGCCAAGCTGACATGTGAAATTACCCACCACGTGCATCCCATTGCTCCTGTTTCCCTGGAGACCACTAACACACTGACCAATAGCTTTGGTTTCTGGCAATGGGCTTGAAAGTTTGGATAACAGAATCACTCATCAAGACATGGTTAGTAAGCTTATAAACTAAGAGTGCTAATTAATATAGAATTACATAGAGGATAAAGTGTGTTTGCTTTGTGCATATAGTTAAGGACCCTGGGTATTAGTCTCCATTATTAATTATACTCACCTCATCACTAGGGACCATCTAACACGCGCCAGGGCCTGGGACTATGACGAGAACAAGGCAAATGCCTGCCTTCATGGAACTCACATTCTTCTTTCTGTTGTGATCTTACATGTTGAAATAGGTGTCTGTTCCTCTTTCCTTCAAGTGTGCTGTGATTTATAAGTGTTTCCTTCTCCCATCCTAGCTTTATCGAGATATAAAGATTGTGTATATTTACAGCGCACAATGGGAAGTTTTGATATATGCACGCACTGTGAAACGGTTACCACAGTCAAAGTAATTAACATCCATCACCTACATAGTTATTGGTTTTTCTTGTGGTGAGAACATTTGTCTCTTAACAATTTCAAGTATACAATAATACATTATTATTGACAGCACCGTCTCATACATAGATCTTCAGAACACACTCATCTTATCTGACTGAGACTATCCTCCCTTTGACCAACCTCTCCCCATGCCCCATGCCTCCAACTCCTGGCAATCACCATTGTACTCTGCACTTCGACCTCTTTGAAACAAGTAATTCTTTCAAAGAACTCCTGCACTGGTCAGCACTGGAAAAAGTGTTGCTAGTTAACTAGCTGATGTGTAGCAGAATGAGTTGCATTATCTATTAGAAAATATGGAGATTGTAACAGGAGGTATTTCTTCTACTTCCTAAGGGCTGAAATGTTCCTAGATATTTACCTTGAATATGTCATTTTAATTTTCTGAACATAGTCCAGTTATATGTCGCTGCATAATGCTGGGGACAGCAAGTAGATGGCTAACACAGGAGAGCCATTACCCATGGAAGAGAGATCTCTGTCTTCTGTACTAAAAGGGCAACGACATTTCCTCTATTAGATGTGGGCTCTCTTCCTTTCCTTGCCTTGATGTTTCTTTTTCTTTATTCATTCCCCCTTTGGTTAATTTTCAGAAAAACCATATCTCCAAATATGTAAACTGAATAAACTGGTGTCCTATGTTTGAGATAAAAGTTATTTTTTGTCTTGTAAGCTTGTTGTACTTTTTCTCCATTGCTGTGTAACTAATGCCCCCTGGATTTAGTGGCTTCAAACAGCACACTTTGATCCATTCACAGTCCCTGTGGCTCAGGAGTCCAGGCGTGGCTTAGCAGCATCCTCTGGCCCAGGTTCTCTACAAGGCTGCAGTCAAGGCTGTGGCCAGTGCTGCGGCCATCTCACAGCTGAACGTCGGGGATCAGGGGACGCATTCACATCCAGGCTCGCTCATGGGACTGCTGACAGTCCTCTGGTCCTCTCTGGCTGGTCCAGGGACATCATTTCATTGTTATGCGGGTCTCCCCGGAGGCCACTCACACCCAAGATGGAAGCCACATTCTTTTGTAAGAGTGACCCCTTACTCTGCCATATTCTGTTCATTAGAAATGAGTCACTAGGTCTAGCCCACACTGGGGGAAGAGCTTCCACTGCAGTGTGGCTCCCAGGAGAAAGGGGATAGTGGGAGCTCACTGAGAAGCAGCCTACCACATTTGTTATTATTTTCAATGTCTAACAAACCATGGATCCCTGTCAATTCTTCAATTTCAAATATTTTCCCTTAATCACCCCTTACTTTCCATTTCACTGCCAACACCTCGATCTCTGTCTTCCTCACCATAAGGCAGATTCGTAACAGCTTCCATAACTCGCCATGAGCCCCGCAGAGCCCTGGTTCCCCGCTGCTCGTTATTATTCCTGAAACGCCCAGTACCACTTCCTGTTCTTACTCATTTATTTATTTGGAACACTTCAGGAATTCGCGTGCCGTCCTGGCACAGGGGCCCTGCTGATCTTCCCTGTACCGTTCCAATGTTAGTCCATGCGCTGCCGAAGCGAGCACGCTTCCTGTTCTTGTTCACGAGCCTGCAACGCCCACCGTTGCCTGCTTCCAACTGTGCCTCACGTTCCTTCCAACGGCGCCTTCCATCCCAGCTGGGCGGGGCTTCGCCGTGTTACCTTCTCAACATGGCGAGCTTGCTGGACGTCACGTCGCCTTCGCCTTTTCCGCTGCGGACTCTGCTCACCGACCTCCTCAGTAGAGCCGGCCCTGCTCACTACCGCGCCCACGTGTCCTGTTGTGCTTCATTCCCACAGGCCGCATAAGGTAACATTTACATATGTTCTGGCTGCTTGACTGATTCTAATTTCCCTGTCGATGCTTTTCTTCAACGAGGCTGAAACCCGTGTAACTTCCTCTATTTCTGTGCATATGCGGCATCTAACAATATTGAGCACATAATTCCTCAAATGCTCGTGGCTTCAGGTGAAGATAGAGCTCTGGGCTTCCTAGCTGCCTAAGCCAAAAAAAAAAAAAAAAAAAAAAAAAAAAGCTAGGAAGGAGAGATAACATAAAAGCTAAAAGAAGGACTATTTTGAGCCTGGGCGCAGTGGCTCACGCCTGTAATCCCAGCACTTTGGGAGGCCAAGGCAGGTGGATCACCTGAGGTCAGGAGTTCAAGACCAGCCTGGCCAACTTGGCGAAACCCCATCTCTACTAAAAAATACAAAAAATTAGCCGGGCGTGGTGGTGGGTGCCTGTAATACCAGCGACTCGGGAGGCTGAGGCACGAGAATCGCTTGAACCCAGGAGGGGGAGGTTGCGGTGAGGCGAGATGGTGCCATTGCACTCCAGTCTGGGCAGCAGAGAGAGACTCCGTCTCAAAAAAAGAGAGGACTGTTTTGAGATATTTCCTAATAATTCTATCTCAAAATGTACAGAGACGGACATACTACGATTGTTTTTAGTAATGCCACATTTTTCTATTATTTCTTCTTTTTAGTCATTCTATTTCTATGATAGACATAGAGAATGATATCTCAACGAGATGATTTTGTCCCCAAAGAGATATTTGGCAGTATCTGAAGACATTTTTGGTTTTCACAGCTCAGGGGAGGGAGGGTTACTCCAGGGACCCAGTGGGTAGAGGCCAGGGACACTACAATGTATAGAATAGCCTCCAACAACAAATAATTACTTGGCCCTAAATGTGAACGATGCGGAGATTGGAAACCCAGCTTTATCTCGGGCACAGGAGTGGTGTAGCAAAGTCAGGGCGAGCCTGGATTCTGAAGTCACAGCGCTTGTGTTCACATCCCAGCTGTGCCATTCACTAGCTGTGTGACCTTGGACAAGTTACTTAGCATCCAGGTTTCCTCTTAAGTGATCGGAGTAATAGAACTCACCATTAAGCGTTGTTGGGAGGATTAGATGAGTTAATAGTTGTAGAGGGCTTCAAGCAGTGTCTGGAACATAATAAGAGCCATCACAAGTGTTTGTGGAGTGAAAACCCCTTTGCAGGAGTTCTGTGTGATGTAAGTGGAAGAAATCATCCCTTCCGGTGATCTCCCCTAGTCACGATGGAGTAGAAAACCTGAGCAGAATCTCATGGGCAGAGAGTAGCCTTAATTGGCTGCATCAATCCCTTGTGGCTGAATGACAAATTCATTGTTATTACCTTTGGTCTCACCACCATCTGCAAGTTGGAAATTGTAGCTAGTTTTAATTCAGCGTTAATGTGTCAACTGAACATTCTGGCATTTCTCTGAGGGGATCTAATTTGACGATGTAAAAAAGGAGGTGAACCAGCTCTTTTAAATAAGAGCAGGCTTGCAGGTGACTAACATGCTCTTTAGATTTCAGACCAGGAGAGCCACCCATTGTTAGTTACAGCAACCAGGTCCAGCACAATGGAGAGACCACTCAGAGGTGCCCACACCATCAGGACAGGAGCTATGCAGAACAAAGACACTCCCTTCTGAAAGGGACCATGTTCTGTGGCTTGCTCCAGATTTTTAATTTACAAAGCAAGTGTGTGTGTGTGTGTGTGTGTGTGTGTGTGTGTGTGTGTTCAAATCACTCATCAGGTTAACTTGACATCTGAATTGCAATCCTGCAGTGTGCTTTTGCAAGTAGATGAATTTCCCCTGCATCAGAACAGAATTTTCTTAGGTGTAGGTTTTATGTTATGATTCTTTTTGGGAGTTGCAATCATAGGAAAATTAGGAGGACTAAATCAAAAAGTGTTTTAAAAAGCAGATAACTTTCATCACTTGATAATACATACATCTGGTTACATCTTAGTCTTTCCTAATTCAACTTAAGAATGAAGCTTGTAAAAGTAATTGGCACCTGGCTGCCTCTGCTTTTCATTTAAGTCTCCATGCTGGAAGTCAGGATGGGTACGTAACTGACAAATAATTAATTTGCTTCTTAATTATTTACATCAGTTTCCCACTGTCCTGTAGAAACACAGAGAGACTCTGGGAGCAGCTAAAATATGTATTTTCAGGGTCTCCTTACGATTATGCTAACAAGTCTTATGGTGTCCAGAGCAAACATTAGCCAGGTGCGGCGGCTCACACCGGTAATCCCAGCACTTTGGGAGGCTGAGGCGGGAGGATCACTTGAGCCCAGGAGTTCAAGACCCTGTCTTACAAAAATTAAAAAAAAACTAAAACCATTAATTGGGATTTCAGATAACAAAACATAATTTAAGGAAAAACAATAGCACAATACTAAAAACCTGTAATATTGTTCTCTAAGAAGTGACATTGGTTGGTTATAAGCAAGTTTGGGTTTGAAGCATGTGAGCTCGTGGTATTAGTTAAAATTTCATGTCCCCTTCAATGCCCTTCCATGCAAGACTCCTTTGAGACCTTCACTGCAGGTGCTATGAAAAGAAAATATTCTGTTTGCAGCAGAATAGCAAAATGAATGCTGTGCACATAATTTTAGTGCTTATTTCAGATTTAAGTTATAGTTATTGTGTATTTTATTCATGTTGCTTTATGTGAACAAAAATAAAATTATTCAACACTAGTTCCAATATAATTATATAATTTTTTACTTCCAGTAAAAGTAATGGCCCATGTTTGAGAATGAAATCTTAGCGAGGTGAAACTATAAGTCTCTCTGATAGTCTAATTTTCTAGTTAATAATTTTTCTCCATAAAAAGCTAAAACTTAAAAAAAATTCCAACTCTTTTTTCACGGAAAACATATAAATTTTTAACATTTGAAACAGAAGAAATACAGGCATACGATTGAAATTTCAAGTGTAATAGGAGTGTTGCCAGGAAAAGGTGTTCCAATCCAGACCCCAAGTAAGAGTTCTTGGATCTTGTGCAGGAAAGAATTCAAGGTGAGTTGCAGAGTGCAGTGAGGAGAGAGAGTTTACTGAAACCTACCCAGATACAAAGTAGGGCATCCTCAGAAAGCAAGAGGAGGAACCCCTCATCTTTGTCTTAAGTTTTTCTTATATAGGGGTCTTATCTATGTAAAAGCTAAGCTACATTATGTCTACACGCCAGTGGGCTGACGGTGTGACAAAATTTATTCCTCGTTGGTTTAAAGAAAGCTGTCCTTGGCACTTTAGTGCACAAACACACCACAGCATGACTATAATTATCTTTAAAAGCATATATTGCTATGTGATATTGGGACATTGGGACATTTTGCTGTCATAAGAGTTTGTCCTTGCAGGCATTAGGCGTTTTTCTCAGCTATTAACATTCTATGACCATGGGTGGTGACATGGTTTGGCTGTGTCCCACCCATGTATCCCCCACCCAAATCTCATCTTGAACTGTAGTTCCCATAATCACCACGTGTCATGGGAGAGACCCAGTGGGAGGTAATCGAATCGTGGGGGCGGTAACCTCCATGCTATCCTTGTGATAATGCGTGAGTTCTCACGAGATCTGATGGCTTTATAAGGGGTTTTCCCCCACTTCACACTTCTCCTTGCTGTACTTCTCCTTGCTGCCACCATGTGCAGAAGGACGTGTTTGCTTCCCCTTCTGCCATGATT